>NC_000011.10:117778485-118081515 GCF_000001405.40 Homo sapiens | reverse complement strand
GGATTATGCGAGGAAGCTGGAGGGTGCTCTGGGGGCCACGGGCAGGGGAGGACTGTTGCGGTTTTCCATCTTGTTTACACATTTCTCAGCTGCCGACGTGCTGGTTAGTCAGAGTGGCAGGCTGGGAGGTGGCGTTAGACGTGTCACAGGGGGATTGCCACATTGGCTCTGCCCCACTCTTCCCCTTCCCTATCACCAGGGTTTCCGGGCAGGCTCAGACCTGTGCCTCCCTCATGCCCATCCCCCTCTGGGATAAAAACACTTTAGTAACCCCTCAGATAGATCTGGTATGTTTTCCAATTGGACTTCGGGTGAGCCTTGTTTTCAGTGTCAGATAAATCAGAAATTGGTTATAGGGGATTCTGTCTTTGATTATTTACCTGTCATCCATCAATCCACTCATTCATTCATTCACATTTACTAAGTGCCTAGTCCATGCCATGGATGCCATGCCCTGTGCTAGGTTTGCGGCTAAAAGCAGAAAAGACACAGACCCTGTCCTCAAGAAGCTCCCATTCTGGTGGCAACAGGTTTAAAAGAAAATGTGGTAGATGATTGCACTTTAGGTTTGGAGGAGTTCACTGTCCCAGGGAATCCTTGCTTGGGAACTTGAAGCGTTTTACTGAGGCTGATGTTTTCACCTGAGCAGGAAGGAAGACTGAGGGCAGAAGAGGCACCTGGGAAGTCTGAGGCCGTGGAGATTTTCAGGCCTGAAAGCATTTGTCTCCTGCTGCCCTGGGGCGTTTCTGGGGCTTTGGGAAGCTTGTCGGCAGTTCCCCAGCTCTGTTTTGGGTCTGTTTTTCTCATCTCTCCCTCTACCCATGACCCCCTTGAGCTGGTCTCTCCTCATTTCTTACATTCAGCTCCTCAGATCTCTTGGGCTTTGGCATGGGTCTGGGCTAGGGAGGTGGCTGCTGGGTTCTCAGCTGCACTGAGGGAAGACTGAGAGGAGGAGAGAGGCCTGGGGTCACGCAGGAGCCCTGACATCTGAACCCCTTCTCCAGGGAAGCACCCAGGCACAGAGCTTGACCCCCAGGGTCAGGCTGGAAGCGCCCTGGGAGATGGACAGGGCCTGGGGATGCAGCTTCCACCTCGGCAGGTGCAGCTCCCATGACCTGGAGTGCCGGAGTCTTTGCTCCAGCCACAGCGAGAGCCTGTTGTCCCTATACTACCACTCTTTCTTGCTGTTCACACATGCAGTCCCCTGTGTCTGGAGCTCCTTCCTGCTTTCCCTGCCTGGAGAGAGCCTGCCCATCCTTCAGAGTCCAATGCAAATAGTTTCTCTTCCAGGACAATTTCCCGACTTCCCTAGAGAGAATCTATTGCTTTTTCAGCTCCAGGGGTACCTTGTAACCACTGCTGGTGTTATACTTGTCACACTCTGTGTTGAGCACCTGCAGGGTGAAACCTAGGTATTGGGTCCTCCCAATCCCCAGCCCCATTTAGAGGCTGGCCAATGAAAGGGGCTGATTAAATGGTGTCTGGCTGGAGCTTCTTTTGGTGGGGGGGGAGTGGTTACAGTGACACCAGGCCCTGTCACCCAGGTGGCAAAGGATCCAGGAGAGCAGGCAAAGCAAGCAGCCCCTCCTTGCCTGTCTTGCCCTTTAGGACCTTCCCACTGCCCAGCTCAGTTTACCACCTCAGAGCCTAGGATGGCACTGCCAGGGCCGAGTGGGCTTCTGGATTCTGTGCCCCAGTCAGGGTGGACCCTGCAGTGCTCCCAGCACCCCGCTGCCCGCAGGCTGGCTCCTGACTGCCACGTTTCTGAGCCCAGCCAAGCCCAGCCAAGCCCCTTGACTCTGTACCAGGCTGGCACGGAAAACAGGAGGTGGGAGGGAGGACCAGCTTCCTCCAGAGCAGCCGGAAGCGTCAGGGGGTTGACCTCAGGTGTTAACACCCACGTCTGGTGGCTCAGGGTGCGTTTAGGTCTCCGGAACAGTAATGAGTCAAGGCCAGGATAACCAGTCCCAGGGTCCCTGACTTCCCTCCAGGCCTCAGCTATGGAGTAGTTAGCATGGGACACATTTCCTTCGGGGACAGGGCTTGGGCTCTGACCTCTGCCTGGGCCTGAGTCCCTGCTCCAGCTCTCCCTAGGAATACCCAGCTTAATGGGTTCTTGGGAGAGCTGTCATTAAGACGCAGCAGCTCAAAGGACCCTGACTGTCACAGAAAGGGGCCTGTGGGGATGGAAGGAGGTAGGGAATGGAAGGGAAGGGAAGGGAGGGCTGAGCCTGGGTGTGGAGATCCCATCCTCCCCTCAGGGCTGGGAGCTATGGCTGTCAAGGGTTATTAAGCACAGGCTTAATGACAGGGTTATTCAGCACAGGCAGTATAATGGCTAGCTCCGGGGCTAGAAACTTCCTTGACCACACCGTGGAGATTGGCCATGCTGCTGCCTTGCCTTTGGGGCCCCAGGCCTGACCTGACCCCTCCACCAGTGTTCCCACCTGCCCTCCCCCGCTCCTCCAGCAATGCCCAGCTCCTTCCCTGGTGGCAAAGGGTCTGTGTTGGGTGTACTACCCAGCTGTCATTTCCTAGCACAGACTCCTCTTTAGTCCTAAGTCCTTACATCTGTGCGGGGCTTCATGGTTTCCAGAACCTACTCACATGTATTAGCTGTGTAATCTCTGCGAACCCGGTGCATGTGCGTGGGGCTGTTGTGGGTCATATCGTTTCCGTGGGCAGGGGAGAAGGTGAGTCTCGGGAAGATGAATGCCTCAAGACAGCACAGCTAATCAGGGAGCTGGCCTCAGCCTTCTGATTCTGCAGTTAGTGACCTGCCCTAGAAATGATTCCCTTCTCTGTTGCTCCCCCAAGAGACACCCCAGGTCTCCTCAGTGCCTGCCACCCAGAAGCAGCTCACAGCTAGGTAGACTCCACAGCTGCTCTCCTCTCCTGGGAGCCCCAGGGGATACAGCGTCTCTGCACACAGGCCAAACTTTGGGGCGCCTCCTTGGATGGGAAAGCAGGAAGCTTGTGCTTTGATCCTGGCTCAAAGGGAAGCCCCTTCCCCTTTCTGATCATCAGCTACAACCGCACTAAGAATTGTTCTTGCCAGAATTTTCAGAAGAGTGTCGTGGGAAGTGCTCAGGTTGGGAATAGGAGACAATCACTCGAGGGGCCCCTGCAGGTCACACCCTTCCCCCTTGGACAGTGGCTTCTCCTTTCCTCTCTTCCCTTCCCTTTCACTTTGGTGGCTGGGCAATTGCTGCCTCTTGGCCAAGGACTGGAGAAGGAAGACCCCTGGGTTCCTCCTCAGACCCAGTTATTATCTCTTCCCCTCCCTGGCCCTCAGCTGTCCTCCTTGAAAGATAGGGTTGATTCTCTTTGCCCCAAGACAGCGAAGACGCTCCAGGTATTCAGAGGAGGAGGAGAGAGGGTGAGGGCATGAAAAGAGACCAAGTAAAAGATGACCACAAACACCCTAGATTGTTTGGAGGCATCTCTGCACTGTTTTCTTTTCCTTCTTTCTTTTTTTTTTTTTTTTTTTTTTTTTTTTTTTGAGACGGAGTTTCACTCTTGTTGCCCAGGTTGGAGTGCAATGGCACAATCTTGGCTCACCACAACCTCCGCCTCCCAAGTTCAAGCGATTCTCCTGCCTCAGCCTCCCAAGTAGCTGGGATTACAGGCACCTGCCACCACGCCTGGCTAATTTTTTGTATTTTTAGTACGGATGGGGTTTCACCATACTGGCCAGGCTGGTCTCAAACTCCTGACCTCGAGAGATCTGTCTGCCTCAGCCTCGCAAAGTGCTGGGACTACAGGCGTGAGCCACTGCACCCAGTCTACACTTTTCTTTAAAAAGAAAAGGAATCAGTTTCCCCAGGGAGTGGCAGAGGGCAACCGTGGCATCAGAACAGCCCCCTGCCTTGGAAAAATAGTGCCAACCTCTAACCAACAGACCTGGAGACATTGGGCAAAAGAACATGCAGGATTCAGGAAAGAATAGTCGGGAAGGACAGCCCTGGCTCTGTGCTCAGCTTCTTAGGTGAGCTGGTCCAAGGACCATGGCAATGGAGGAAGAGAGGAAGGCAGGTGGGTATGAGACGTGTACCGGGCTGGGGTGTGAGGGGATTTGGGTGTGGCCTCTTTTTTTAACCTAGAAGGTGTCACAGAATTCTCAGCTGATGGATGCTCAGGCTGCTTGAAGGGCCTTACATGGGGAGACCCACCCTTCCTGTGTCTTGGGAGCAGAGGGCCCCACACTCACCATGCTGGCTCTGTGATCCTCCCGGTCTCCCTGTAGCCTGGAGCTGAGATTGTCACCCCAAGGCAGCAGGAGGGCCTCCCCACACAGGTCCTGGCTGGCCAGCAGGTCAGAAGTCCCTGGTCAGCACTGGCTGGAGGAGGCCCGAGTGCAGGGCAGGCCTTGGTCCCTCACGCCCAGCATCCTTGTCCGCTGAGCAAGCTGCTGCCTCTCTCTGTGTATTCCAGGAGTGATTGGGGGACTTTGGGCAGCTTGATTAAAACAGCCCTACAAGTGAAGTTGCCAAACTGGAATGATTATGTGTCTTGTAACCTGACACCTATCTTAGGGGCTGGAACAACACCTGAAGTCATTCATGGGACCTTCGGCCTCAGAACAGGTGACACACCTAAGGCGTAACAAAAGCCTTCCCGCCTGAATGACTTCCACCCAACTGGGTGTTGGCTGAGGGTGATGCCAGAAGTTTCCGCCCCCCCTCCCCCTACCTTCTAGGTGCATGACTTCTCACTGTGTGGGTGCTTTGGTTTGGGGTTGTGGGAAGTTGGAGTGGTCTGGGGGTTGGGCGACAGGGTTTGCAGCTCAGTACAAAGAGATCATTGCCAGGTGTGGAGCAATAGGATTGGAAAGTCCACAGAGAAGGAGGGAGTTTCTTCTCTTAGGGAGGTAAGATGTACCCCCTTTCCCTGGATCCCAGAAGTGAAGCTGTCCTGCACAGAGCCAATGTACTAGTGCTTCCTGCCCCTGCCTCAGCAGCCGTTCAATATTCTGAAAATCACTATTGGTGCTCTGGCTAGAGCCCACGTCTCCTCGTCCACGGAGTCATTTCCTTCTTTCTTTCTTTCTTTTTTTCTTTTCTTTTTTTAAGACAGGGTCTCTCTCTGTCCCCCAGGCTGGAGTGCAGGGGCGCAATCTCAGCTCACTGCAACCTCCGCCTCCTAGGTTCAAGCAATTCTCGTGCTCCAGCCTCTCGAGTAGCTGGGACTACAGCCACCTGCCACCACACCCAGCTAAGTTTTGTGTTTTTGTATTTTATTTTATTTTGAGACAGAGTCTCTGTTGCCCAGGCTGGAGTGCAGTGGCGCGATCTTGGCTCACTGCAACCTCCACCTCCCAGGTTCAAGTGATTCTCCTGCCTCAGCCTCCCAAGTAGCTGCTGGGATTACAGGTGTTGTGCGCCACCATGCCTGGCTAATTTGTATTTTTAGTAGAGATGGGGTTTTGCCATGTTGGCCAGGCTGGTCTCAAACACCTGGCTTCAACTGATCCACCTGCCTCAGCCTCCCAAAGTGCTGTGATTATGGCGTGAGCCACCGCACCCAGCCCCACAGGATCATTTCTGATTCACGTTCTGCCACATCCTGATAGCTGGAGCTGCCCCCTGGCCAGGGGATGTGCAAGGTGAAACCTTACAGCCACAGATATTTTGCTGGGAGAGACTTGGATAATTGTCCACATTGTTCCCCCATTCTGTGGGCGACAAAACTAAATTCCAGAGAGGCAAAGTCAATGACCCAAAGTCACATAATGAATTAGTGTCTGGTTCCATATGAATCCAGATCTCCTTCCATTTCTCAGACCTGACCCTCCCAGGAGACCAGCCTGGGTTAGACGTGTGTATTTGTCCTTCTGTTGATAACGTGCTTCTGTGTATCAGCCCTTTAATTCTCCAACAACAACCCCAATATTTTGTTCCCATTTGTCAGCTGAGGAAACTATAGCCTATGGACATGAAGTAGTTTCGGGCAGAGTTGGGGCTGGAACCTGGTTCTCTTACTGGTTCACACTGCCAGGCTTGTGAACAGGCTGAATGGAACACAAGTGTTTGAAAGCCCCAGGTTCATGGTTTGGGATAATATGGCCCATGGAGGACCCCAGTGATGTCTGAGCAGGAGGAATACCGGATCTGTGTAATGGATTATTGGCCAAATCTCAGCTGATGAATGCAGTGTGGCCTTGGACTTGTCTCTGAGCAGCAGAGATCTGAAGCTGGCCTGCAGGGCTCTGGAGCCAGCACAGCCCCAGCCCTTCCTTACTGATGGCTGGTGGCCTTGAGAGTTGGAAGTCTTGGGCAGAGGCAAGAGCCTGTGATCTCAGGTGACCTCAGGGTCAGGGCCGTGATGGTCCAGGCAGGCACCTCCCCAGCAGCAGGGCAGTGAGAAGCCAGTGGGCCACTGGGAGCCACGTTTTCAGTTGTCTTGGTTCCTCTATGTGCCAGGCTAAACATCTGGCCCACAGGTTTGCATTGCTTTACCTGGTGCTCAGGTGATGAACCAGGAAAGAGGCAGCTGTCTGGGCATGAAGGCTGCTGGGCATGGCTGGTTGGAGGGATGATGACTCAGCCCTCCTGGCTTCTGCTCCCATTTGGGTCTGGGAGTTTGTGGAGAGGTCCGGGAAGAAGGCACATAAGCAGGACTGGGCAGGGTGGCTGTGATGCCTGCAGGTGGGGGTGAAGGTTTACAGAGGGAGGCACAGTGGCCTGGAGACAACAGAGGCCCACCTCTCCCAGGTGCCAGGGAAAACCAGCTGGACCAGAACCCACATTCTTTTTTTTTTTTTTTTTCTGAGACAGGGTCCCCCTCTGTTGCCCAGGCTGGAGTGCAGTGGTGCAGCCTCAGCTCACTGTAACCTCCACCTCCTGAGCTCAAGGGATTCCCCCGCCTCAGTCCCCCAAGTAGCTGGGATTACAGGTGTGAGCCACTATGCCTGGCTTATTTTTGTATTTTTTGTAGATACAGGGTTTCACCATGTTGACAAGGCTGGTCTCAAACCCCTGAGCTCAAGCGATCCACTCGCTCTGGTTTCCCAAAGTGCTGGGACTACAAGTGTGAGCCACCGCACCCGGCCCAGAACCCCCATTCTCCCGGAGGAAGCCTCAGCTCTCCCTCAGCCCTGTCCTGCCTGCTTCTTTCTCTTGCCCATCCATCTCTTTAGATCCTCCTCCTGTTTTTCCTCTCTTCTTTCCCTCCCATTACTTCTCTTTTATCTCTTCCTCTTTATTTTTGACATTTTTTTCTCTTCCTTCTTCCCTTTCCTTATCTGTTTCCAGCATGTGTGTCAAGATCCGAGGCAGAGTTATCATGAAACTCCTGAAGCTGAAGCTTCAGAGCCCCTCACTTGCACGGTTCCTTCCAGGGCCCTGGGAAAGGGCCCGGCAATATGTTCACACAATCATACGTTTTTGTAAATTTTGCTGAATATTTCTTTGACGTGCTTTTTCTTCAAGAAAGCCCCTCAAGAAGTGGCCTATCCCTGTGAGTGAAGGCCAGAGCCTTCCTCACCCAGGCTGGTCCCATACAGGTGACCTCAGTTTAAGGACCAACAGGTCTCGTCCAGCTGAGAGCTCTATGCACACCAGATTCTGAGAGGTGTCAGCAGCACTTTAAAAAACTTTGTTGTTTGTTTTCTATGAGGTTTCTGGACAATGGTCTGAGCTCAGACACGTTCTGCAGGAGAATATTATTTCTGTAAAGATGGTTATTTAACCCTCCTCCACCCCATCATGGCGGCGCTGCTGAGGGCTGACCCAGAGGCCAGGGGAACTCGCTGGTGTCCATGGGGGAGGTCCAAGGCCTATTGCCACAGCCCTCCCGCCTTGCACAGCACAGAGGCGGTCACCCCAGGGACAGGCAGGCACCCGGCTGCTCCTGTTGCCCTTCCTGGAGGAGGGGGCTGCCTCCTGTCCCTGCAACTGCTTTCCTTATGGGCCAGCCTGACGCTCAGACTTGTTTGAAGCTGCACCGGCAGCTTTTTTGTCTCTTTTCGGCATTCACAACAGCCGGGGACTTGATCTGGATGTATTTTAAACCACATTAAAGAGTCTGTTGCTTTTTGAAAAAAACCAAGCCCCTCAAAATGCATAAGCTTCAGGCCTCTCAAAACCTGAATCCTCCCTGGTCAAGAGCTTGAGCTCTAGTGGCCTGGGGTCCTGCCTCCTAATCTCAGCCACTAATGATTTGCGTAACCATGGGCATCTTATTTAATCCTCTTGCACGCCATCTTCTTCATCTGTAAAGTGGGGATAACAATACTTCTGACCTCATAGGGTTGTTATGAAGATTAAGAGATAATCCTGGCTGGGCGCAGTGGCTCATGCCTGTATTCCCAGCACTTTGGGAGGTCAAGGCAGGTGGATCACTTGAGGTCAGGAGTTTGAGACCAGCCTGGCCAACATGGCAAAACCTCTATTAAAAATACCAAACTACTCTACTAAAAATACCAAAAAAATTAGCCGGGCGTGGTGGAGGGTGCCTGTAATCCCAGCTACTCAGGAGGTTGAGGCAGGAGAATCGCTTGAACCCAGGTGGAGGTTGCAGTGACCCAAGATCTTGCCACTGCACTCCAGCCTGGGTGACAGAGCGAGACTCCGTCTCAAAAACAACAACGACAACACAAGACCTTCACTTCCATGTGAAGTGTTTGGTGCCTAAGAGAGATGTTGTAAATGGCACTGTTATCCCCATTCATTTCACAAAATGTGTGTTTATGGAGCTCATGCTAGGCCTACCTCTTGTGTTAGGCACTGTGGATTAGGAGATAAAACACAGGCTCTGAATACAAACACCCTACAGTCTACTGAAGGAGACAGGAGACATCCACACATCACAGTAAGCTTAAAAAGATGTTCTAGTAGAGATAAAAAGAGAACACTTGGGGGTTTGGAAACCTTTTTTCATTTTTACAGCTCTCTCTGCTCCCTTCCTCCTTCCTCTCCTCCCTGCCTGATTTCCTTCTTTCTTCCTGCCTTCATTTTTCCCCTAGATATTTTTGCTTAGCTACAGTAATTTGTAGGATGATATATCAATTGCCAGTTGTTTCTTTTTGAGGACGGAGTCTAGCTCTGTCACCCAGGTTGGAGTGCAATGTCACGATCTCCGCTCACTGCAACCTCTGCCTCCCAGGCTCAAGCAATTCTCCTGCCTCAGCCTCCGGAGTAGCTGGGATTACAGGTCTCTGCCATCACACCCAGCTAACTTTTTTCTTTTAGTAGAGACGGGTTTTGCCGTGTTGGCCAGGCTGATCTCGAACTGCTGACCTCAGGTGCTCCACCCACCTTGGCCTCCCAAAGTGCTGGGATTACAGGTGTGAGCCACGGTGCCTGGCTGCCAGTTGTTTCTGATTGTGCATTTGATCTCAGTATCAGCAGTCACCCACTCATCTGTCTATATGTGCCTGGCCATCCATCCACCCATCCATCCAGCCAGCCAGCAAGTATTTTCTATGATGATATCAGACAATGTGGTTAGACACTGTGGTTGGGAAAAATAAAATATCTCCTGCCTTGAAGAGCTCAGTCTGCCCATATACTGCCCTTCCCTTCTAGGAGCTTCTGAGGGCAGCAAGCCCTGTAGATCCTTCCTGCTCAAGGTATGTGTGCCCATGGACCCAGCAATGCCACCAGTGCTGGAAGCTGGTTAGAAGTGCAGAATCTCAGCACGCCCCACTCTTATTCAGTCAGAGTCTGCATTCCAAGATCCCCAGGTGATTTGAATTCACCTTAAAGTTTGAGCAATGCTGTTCTAGGTCTCTTCCCACACTCAGGAGTGGGTAGAGGCTATTATTTCTGAAGTGAGCTGAATTCAGAGACTGGAGCTTGACATAGATGAACCCCTGAGGTTCCTTCCAGCCAGCAGAGCCTATGGTTCTTCCCTTTGAACCCAAGTAAATTGAGATCAGTTTCAGTGACTGGCTCATTTGTTCACATCTCTTCCAAGAAATTAGGTAGAGAAGGGCGCAGTGGGTGGGCATGAGCTGGCAACAGCCCAGGCTCACTCATACCAAGCAGCTCTGGAATGCAGCGTGGAGGGAACCCAGTGTCTTTTTTACAGGGGCCAACAGGAGGCACCTTGGCTCACTGTGAGGGGATGCAAAGCAGGCTCCCTGTTGATTCACTAGCTTTCTGGAAAGGATTTCTACTGCTTAGCAGTCCTTCTCCTAAGACATCATTTAGTCTCAGAGGCGGTTGAATTGAGCCTCAATTATCTGTACCAAAGAATCGAGGCAATTGAAAATCCCAAACCTGGATCCCAACCCTGAGCCCTAGTCACCTCTGTTCAGTGGGAGCTGACCTTCCTCTGGCCCCTGCCAGGATGAACAGGTGTTCCCTTCCACATGCCTGACTTGAGGGTAGGGGTGAGGGGAAGACAGGCATGAGTCTGACAGAATGGCAGGACGCATTTTCTTCAAATAAGCCACACACGGTAAGGAAATAGCTACCATATAATGTGCGCTCCCATGTGCCAGGCTCTTTTGCCTGTGGAAAGAAGTCTCATTGTCTCATTTTGTCTTTGCAGCCACCCTATAACGTGGGTGCTGCTATTACCTCCATTTCACAAGGGAGTAAACTGAGGCTCAGGCAGGGTTGAGATCCAGGTCGGTGTAACCCAGGATGCCTAGGCCTTTTGCCCTAGACCATGCATGGTGGGCCCTGCGTAGATCCTGGAGGGGGCCTACACTGGCTTCTGCAGCCCACTGGGGACCTCTGGGAAGGACTCAGGTTCCTGTAGCACCAGAGTCCTGCCTGGGTTTGCCTCGGTTCCGGTTTCCATATTGTCCGTGTAATTTGCCGGCAGTCTCAGTGAACATCCTGTTCACTCAGTCCTCTCCCCTTTAATTAGGCAATGAACTAATTTCAGATTATTTGTGAGTCCATCCCGTTTCTTTTCATCTGTCTCTCCAGGATACTCTTAATTTCACCCTGGGGCAGCCCAAGGGTTAGAAGACACAGGAAGGACAGTGGAGCTGGGACATACTGCTTTCCATCCTACATGCACTATAAACTCCAGACCATGAACATACAGTGTTTGACAGTGTTTTTAATAAGAATCTGTCTAGAGGCTGGGCACGGTGGCTCACGGCTGTAATCCGGGCACTTTGGGAGGCCGAGGCAGATGGATCACCTGAGGTCAGGAGTTCGAGACCAGCCTGGCCAACAGGGTGAAACCCCGTCTCTACTAAAAATACAAAAATTAGCTGGGCGTGGTGGTAGGTGCCTGTAATCCCAGTTACTGGGGAGCCCGAGGCAGGAGAATCACTTGAACCCGGGAGGCGGAGGCTGCAGTGAGCCGAGGTCGCACCATTGCACTCCAGCCTGGGCAATGAGTGAAACTCCACCTCAAAAAAAAGAAAAGGAAAAAAAAGAATCTGGCTAGAAAGTAAATGGTATAGATTTACTTTATCCCATTTGTTTTTCTCAGTATCCGGATAATGAACAACATATACTTGGAATGACCTCCGTGCATAGCTTTAAATCTTAGCTCTGTTGCCTCCCAGCTGTATTGCCTTGGTGAATGGCATGATCTCGACTCACTGCAACCTCCGCCTTCCTGGTTTGTGTGATTCTCCTGCCTCAACCTCCCGAGTGGCTGGGATTACAGGTGCCTGCCACCACCCCTGGCTAATTTTGTATTTTTAGCAGAGACGGGGTTTTGCCATGTTGACCAGGCTAGTCTCGAACTCCTGACCTCAGGTGATCCACCCGCCTCGGCTTTCCAAAGTGTTGGGATTACAGGCACGAGCCACCGCGCCTGGCCTTGTATGAACTTCTTTCTATCCTTTTATAGGGAACCAGCTCCCAAGATAACAGAATAATACATTCACTGTGCCCTCGTGGCCTAATACCCTCTCCTTAGGCCCTACCTCCCAACACTATTCATTGGAGATTAAGTTTCCGACACATGCTTTTGGGGACACACGCTGAAGCCATGGCAGTATTCTAACTAAAACAGTCTCTAAAGCATATATGAAGCCCCTGTACTGAGCTCCCTGGGAGATCTCTCCTTTATTTATATCTGTGGCACCAGCACAGTGACTGGCAAACGAAAGGTGTGTAAATGTTGGTAGAGTGACTTTGGTTTAAAACATAACTCCTGCCACAGAGGAAGATAATTCTGGCAGTAGTGTGGGGGCGAGGCAGGGAGAGGGGGTTAGAGACAGTGCCAATAGTTCAGGCAAGAGATGGAGAAGATCTTAATTAAGGCCTGGTCTACCGGCATGAAGACGAAGAAAAGGAAGACGAATATTATTTACTGACATTCTACTCTGTGTTGTGCATATATAAGATATCTAATAACCTTGCAAACAAAGTGTTGATGTTCCCATCTTACAGATGAGGGAACTGAGGGGGTGGCCCGATACCTCACAGCCTGTACTTGGCAGGCAGACCCAGAGCACAGGTGCAGTGTGGGATGCTGGGGTGCTGGCATTCACAGATGCTGCTGATGCAGAATAGAGAGGACTGACGGGGGGAAGACCTGGGGATGATTCAGTTTTCCATTAGGGTGATGAGTCAATGGTGGTCCGTTAACAAATGAGTTCTTTGGGTTGAACCTGTTGGAAGAGAGAATGCTTTTAGATCGTCGTGGTTAGGCCTTGCCAAATCCCACGGATGATAATGTATTGATAATGCTGGTGGCTCTGGCTTGACTGAGTGCTTCTGGCCACGGAGTGATGCGTGGGGAGAGACCACGGCTCCTGGATGCCGCTGGGCCTCTGTGGGGTGGCCGAGAATGCAGACACAGTGCCGCCAGGTGGTGGAAGGTCACTCCGCTACCCCGGGTTTCTCGCTTTTCCCAGTAGATTTCATCTGCAGCCTGAAAGGCCAGCAGGAAACAGCGCTGTGAGGTTCCACATGCAGGTACCATCCTGGCTCACCCTCCCTCAGCCTCCCTCCTTCATCCTTGCCCCAGCTCATTCCCCAGGCTGCCTGCAGAGGGGTGGGTTCAGGCTGAGAATGAAAGTTCTTGAAACTGAAATCTTTGGGCCCAGACTGTCTCTTGGCCTCACCCCCGTCTCTGTAAAAGCCTCTCCTTCATCCAACGTTTACGAGCGCCTCTAGTGTGCTGGACACTGAGGACACAAAGATGAATAAGGCGCTGTCCGCAGCTCTTTCACAGGCCGGGAGGGAGACTCGACACAGAGATCGTGCTGTCATCCTGTTGGCAAACTCTAAGAGGAAAGAGCACACAGAGCCGGAGGGCTCCCTCCCCGAGGAGGGAGCATTTGGATTGAGCTTACGGGGAGGAGCAGGACTTTGTCAGGTGGAAAACCAGGGGTGCAATGGGAGGAAGAGCATCCAGTCCAGAGAGGAGGCTGTGTGCGCTGGGGAAATGGTGACTGACCCACAGATACTGAGCATCCTTTCTGTGGCAGCTTGGTGCTGGGACCGGGGAGATGAATCATACATGGCTCCAGTTATGAGAAACTCTTGCAATAGACATTTTCTTTTGAAGGATCTGTACACAGGTAAGGAATTTGGACACAGACCTTATGTACTGGAAGCCCCTAAACTAGAGTTCTTGTACCCAGAAATTATGCAAGACAAACCATTGGGATAGCGAAAAAATAGAGAAACTTCTATTTCTGTGTATTTCTTAACTAAAAACAAAGAAAACAACTAAACTTTTCATATATATATATATATATATATATATATATATATATATATATATATGTTTGTTGTTGTTTTGTGGTTGTTTTTTGAGATGGAGTTTCACTCCTGTTGCCCAAGCTGGAGTGCAATGGCGTGATCTCGGCTCACTGCAACCTCCATCTCCCGGGTTCAAGCGATTCTCCCACCTCAGCCTCCCGAGAAGTTGAACTATAGGCGCACCACCACACCTGGCTAATTTTTTGTATTTTTAGTAGAGACGGGGTTTCACCATCTTGGCCAGGCTGGTCTTGAACTCCTGACCTCAGGTGATCCGCCTGCCTTGGTCTCCCAAAGTGCTGGGATTACAGGCATGAGTCACTGCACCCAGCCAATTTTTTTTTAAGAGACAGGGTATCGCTATGCTGCCCAGGCTGGAGTGCAGTGGCTATTCACAGGCATGATCCTACTACTGATCAGCACGGGAGTTTTGAGGTGCTCCATTTCCCACCTGGGCCAGTTCACCCTACCTTAGGCAACCAGGTGGCCCCCTGCTCCTAAGAGGTCACCATATTGATGCTGAACTTAGTGTGGACACCTGATGAGCATAGCAAACCGAGGCCCAGAACTCAAGTGAGGACTCAAATGATCTTCCTGCCTCAGCCTCCCGAGTAGCTGTGACTACAGGCACGTGCCACCGCACCTGGTGCATTTGTAATATTTAATGTACAGGTTGGCCTCGTGTCTGCACTTGGACCCTGTGTCAATGGCCCACATGTTGTGCGCATCTGCGAGGGTCTGAGGGGGTTAGCATATTGTGACATGTTTACACATGGTCTGTGAAGTGGATTTCTCGGTGATCTCATCTGGTTTTAACTAAATTAATCCTCACACAATGGACAAGGTATTTAGGAAATTTCCTGAAAAGATATCAGGGATTAAGAGAAGGATGCAGGCAAGCACAAGCAAATGGCCAGGCTCTTGCTCCCCTATTCGGAAGGGGCTCCCATTATCTTTCTATCTTGAGTGTAAAATTGTAACAATCTCATTTTACTTGATAGAAACTGGCAAAAAAAAAAATCCAGAATTATCAAGATAATGTTTTGATTTTTTTTTTTTTAAGTCAAGGTCTCACTCTGTCACCCAGGCTGGAGTGCAGTGGCAGGATCACGACTCACTGCAGTCTTGATCTCCTCAGTTCAAGTGATCCTTTTGCCTCCTGAGTAGCTGGGACTCAGGCATGCCACCATGCCCGGCTAAGATAATTTGAAGTATAGTCTCAAGTCTCCTGATGTTAGTACTACTCTGTCTTTCAGGGTGTATTATGCCTTCAGATATTGGCTAGTGATGGTAATGTATGTAAATATAATTTATACATAAATACATATATTAGAGATGTGTGCTAAAATTCTTTTGTTACTGACAGAGATCAAAGAACTTTGGAGACCACAGCTCTAGGTAATAAGGAGCCAGTAGGAGTTTAAGCAGGAGGATGACTTGTTTGTTTTTGTTTTATTTTGAAAGATCATTCTGGTAGCTGTGTGGATGGAGAGCCTGGGGTAGAGAGAATAGTAGGGAACTCATGCAGCGGTCCAGGTGAGAGATGAGATCCCAAACCCAGGGTAGGGCAGCCAGGAGGGCAGAGCAATTTCACATGCACGTTGGACTTGGTGACTGACTAGATTTGGAAAACAAGGGCGAAGAGATCCAATCCCGGGGTATTTCCAGGTGTCTGGGGGATTAGGCAAATAATAGTACCACCTACCAAGGTGGCAAACAGAGGTGGGTTTGGGGAGAAAGGTGAAGAGTCTGGGACTGAACAGTTTGAGTCAGAGGTGCCAGGGAGAGCCCTGGGTGGAGGTCGTACGTCCGGGGGGTCCTGTGGCTGGTTTGGGGCTGCAGCCCCCTCTTCCCCAGCAGGGCCCAGGTGAGCGAGCGGGCTGGGTCATGGTCATGATGAGTAAATCAGGCAGTAATGGTGTCCTCTGTCCAGACCTCCTGATTCTAGCCTGGTCACTGGGTGCTGCATCCCAGGTATCAGACCCTGATTGTTACCAGTGGAGGGTGTCCTGATTCTTTGTGCTTCGAACAAAGAATTGGACAAAACGCACAAAGCAAGAAAATAATGAAGCAACAAAAGCAGAGATTTAATGAAAACAAAAGCACACTCCACAGGGTGGGAGTGGGCTGAACAAGAAGCTCAAGGGACTGGGTACAGAATTTTCTGGGGCTTAAATACCCTCTAGAGGTTTCCCATTGATTACTTAGTGTACACCCTATGTAAATGAAGTAGAGGACCACAATCAGTCTGATTGGTTGTGGAGAGAGACCAACCAGAGATTGAAGTGAAGTTACAAAGTTACACCCTATGCAAATGTCTGATTCGCCTGTGGAAAGTGACCAGAGGCTAAAGTGAAGTTACAAAGTTATACTCCTATGCAAAAGAAAAGTTGGCCAGCGACGGAAGGTGTGAAAGTTGGGGTTTTCCTTTTGATTTAGTTCTAGGAAGTCAGTATGAATTGGCCTTAGGTTCCCTGCCTCCAGGCCCTATTCTCCTGCCTCATGATCACTCTCTATATTTCACTTTTGCAAAACCACTCAAAATGCAGGTACCCTGTCTTCCTCCTCCTGTGAGCCATCATGGACGTGACAAGGCTACCTCTTCACGGTGCTCTAGGCCAAAGCTTTGGGAAAGCCAGATTAGGCTGGGAGTGTCCTTGCTGTAATCGGATGCTGAGATAAGCAAAGTGAAATGCAGTGGAGAAGCAGGTGGGGCAGGGCAGGTTTGGGCGCTGTGCAGCTGCCTAGGCTGGGGAGGGACGGGTGTTTGACCACGCAGAAGGGCTCTACAGGGCCACGCTTTAGGACAGGAATATGCATTCTGGCCTTATCTGGTCATTTCTGAGTTGGGATATCTGGATCACTCCAGGGCAGGGTGTGCTTGACTCAGAGCCCACTCGGGGCTTGACCCAGAGAAGGCTAGCGTTTAATATTAGTGATGAAGGCTGGGCATGGTGGCTCACGCCTGTAATCCCAGCACAATTCCGCCAGGCGGGTATATCGCTTGAGTCTAGAAATATGAGACCAGCTTGGGTGATATAGCGAAACCCTATCTCTACTAAAAATTACAAAAAGTAGCCAGGCGTGGTGGCACATGCCTGTAGTCCCAGCTACTTGGGAGGCTGAGGTAGGAGGATGGCTCGGACCCGGGAAGTAGAGGTTGCAGTGAGCCAAGATCTTGCCACTGCACTCCAGCCTAGGCAACAAAGCGAGAACCTGTCTCAATAATAATAATAATAGTGATGAAAAAAACAACAAAAAATCTCCACCCCTGAAAAAACAGACAAATAACAATAACAAAAGCCAGGCACGATGGCACATGCCTGTAGTCCCAGCTACTCAGGAGGCTGAGGGAAGAGGATATCCTGAGCCCAGGAATTTGAAGCCAGCCTGGGCAACATAGGGAGATTTCTTCTCTTAAAAAGAAAACAAACAAAACCCTTTAGTATTAGTGATGACTCTGAGGATGACACCCAGAACCGCCAACCTGAACCTCCGGTGGGACCTTGGGGTCCATGTGGATGGGGAACACAGTGTATGAAATCAATGGCAGATTGGTGCCTATCTGATCTCCCATTTAAAATTTTTTCTTTGCAAGAGAAAAGAAGAGTGATATAGATTGGTGTGTTAGGAAAAAACTCAAACTCAATTTTCCCCTTGGTTCTCACGCCACAATCATCAACGCAATAGACTTCTGTGACCAAATGCCTGGGGGTTCTCCCCACACACCAGTAAGCAATCATTTCTGCAGCAGACACTGGCTGACACTTCGAGTCAACTCAATTCCCACACTATCTACCAGATAGCAACAGATCCTATGGTTGATGAGGGCTCAGTGCCACAAGACCGCAACTCCCTTCCCACCAGTTACAAATCTAGGCCTCTGGACCTTCTAGCCAATTGTTCTTCATTTGGGGTTCCCACAACTCCCTCATTTGCTGGAGTGACTCAGAGAACTTAGGAGAACACTTACCTTTACAGGTTTACTATAAAGGATATTACGAATGATACAGAAGAAGAGATACGTAGGGTGAGATATGGGGTAAGGGACACGGGGCTTTCATGCCCTCCCGAGTCGGGTCCCCTTCTGGAAACCTCCACCTGTTCAGCTACCTGTCCTTTTTTAGGCTTTTATGGAGACTTCGTTACATAAGCATGATTAATTAAGCCACGGGCCATTGGTGATCAACTTACCCTCCAGCCCCTCTCCCCTCCCCTAAGTTTAGGGGTGGGGCTTAAAACCCAACCTTCTAATCCTGCCTTGGGCTTTCTGGTGATCAGCCCCTGATCTACCTGAAGCCACCTAGGCCCTTCCAGGCCTCAGTCAGCTCATTAGCACACAAAAAGACAACCTTTGGAGTTTCTAAGGACTTTAGGAGTTGTATGCCAGGAAATGGGGCTGAGGACCAAATATATTTACCACAATAGGCAAAAAGATTCAACATGAAGAGGGTAAAGAAGATTTAGAAATAAAGACAGAAAAATGCAGACGAGAGAGACAGTAAACAGAAAGAGTAGAAAGGTAAGCAGAAAATCATCAACTGAAAGAAACAGAAAGAAGAGTAGAAGTGTTATAGGAAAGGGGTCCCCATCCAGACCCCAAGAGGGGGTTCTTGGATCTCACCCAAGAAAGAATTCAGGGCAAGTCTGCGGTGCAAAGGGAAAGCAAGTTTATTAAGAAACTAAAGGAATAAAAGAATGGCTACTCCATAGACAGAGCAGCCCCGAGGGCTGCTGGTTGCCTATTTTTATGGTTATTTCTTGATGATATGCTAAACAAGGGGTGGATTATTCATGCCTCTTCTTTTTAGACCAAATAGGATACCTTCCTGACTTTGCCATGGCATTTGTAAACCGTCTTGGCGCTGGTGGGAGTGCAGCAGTGAGGACGACCAGAGGTCACTCTTGTCGCCATCTTGGTCTTGGTGGGTTTTGGCCAGCTCCTTTACTGCAACCTGTTTTATCAGCAAGGTCTTTATGACCTGTATCATGTGTTGACCTCCTATCTCTTCCTGTGACTTAGAATACCTTAACTGTCTGGGAATGCAGCCCAGTAGGTTTCAGCCTTATTTTACCCAGCTCCTATTCAAGCTGGAATTGCTGTGATTCACATGCCTCTGACAGAATTAAGAGAGAGAGAAAATAAAAGAGGCAACAGAAAAACAGATGGAAGTCAACGAAGAGGCAGAAACTCAGAGACACAAAGAAGGCAAGGGTGCAGGGGTGTGGAGGGAGGGCCAGGAGAGGGTTGGGAGGGATGAAGCCCTTGTCCTGGGTTCCTTCTTTCCCCATCCACATGCCCTGTTCTCCGTTGCAAATGGAAGAAGCCAGAGCCCAAGTGAACCACCTGTCTCCATTGTTGACTCCCAGCTGGTCTTTGAGAAGCATCAGAGGCAGTTGTCACCTTTGCTTTGGCCGGGAAGGAGCCTTCCAGCAGGGCCTGGAGAGGAGCTGGGCTGGCCTGTGGTCTTGGCCCCTGTGAACTGAAGGGAAGCCTGACTTGATGTATTAGCTCAGGGGTGCCTCTCTTGACCCACTTTTGTTTGTTTGTTTTTGAGATGGAGTCTCGCTCTGTTGCCCAGGCTGGGGTGCAATGGCACAGTCTTGGCTCACTGCAACCTCCACCACCAGGGTTCAAGTGATTCTCCTGCCTCGGCCTCCCAAGTAGCTGGGATTACAGGCACTCACCACCACGCCCAGCTAATTTTTGTATTTTTGGTAGAGATGGGATTTCGCCATGTTGGCCAAGCTGGTCTTGAACTCCTGACCTCAGGTGATCCACCTGCCTTGGCCTCCTAAAGGGATGGGATTACAAGGATGAGCCACTGCACCTGGCCCCACTTTCATTTTTGATGAAACAAAATTGGAAGCTTAGTTGGTGGGAGGTCAAGGACCTTCCAATTCCAAGGGGAGACTGAGTTGTAATGAACTTGGACCGAGGCAGTTGGTGGGGTTCTGCCCCATGTGGTAGGTGGCATTGTTACTTACACGCCAATGCTTTTGCTGTGGGCTGCAAAAGTGGGAATCCCTTGAGCAGGGAGGGTTGGTTTTGTGAAGTCAACTCATAATGGGGACAGAGGCTTGATGCTGGCTCTGTCTAGCATCATATCTAGTGAAAGAGTCACCAAAGAGCGGTCCTGGGTGCAGAGGAAATGGGCCCCGTAGATCCAAGCTAATCGGTGTCCAGCAGCCCAGGTCGCAGGAAGGGCTGTGGGGAACATAAGCAGGTTCTGCTTAACAGAGGTTGCCTCTGTGGAGGCCAGCAGGATCTGTGAGGTTTTCCCAGGGCTCAGGTGAAGTATCCCCCACCCCTCCCACTTCCTTTGATCCGACGGTGTTCGTCTGGTAACTTAGTTACTGATTCTGCTTCCCTGGAGCACTAATGCCAAGAAGAAGGTAGCTCCAGCTGGGGACCTGCCACTCTAGTCCCTGAAATAATTTACTACTTAAAAAATGTAATACATTGGCATAAAAGTAGCTAGAAATGCCACTTATTGAGGGAGAACTTGCTAAATGCCTTCTGTGAATCGATCATCCAATCTTTTCAATCTTGTGAGGTGGGCATTATTTTCTCCATTTCACCTACAGGGAAACACTCTCAGAACTGGGGTTTGAAGCTGGGTCTCTCTGCAGCTGAAGCTTGGAGTCTTAATCACCTCCCTTCTTGGAAGAGGCGGGGTTGAAAATGATGCTGGGCTTGCGCCTTGGCCTGTCTATAGCCTCTCAATCACTCCCACTGTGGGTGTCATGTGTCTGTCACGAGTGGCAGTGCAAGGTGTCCCGTTTTGGAACAAGCAGGGCCACGACCATATGCTAGAATGGGTGACTCAGCAGAAGCGGTGCCTCTGGGAGCCTCTGCTGGCCTGGACGCCTCCCACTGGAGTTCCTCAACCTGCAACCAGGACACTGTGATGTGAGGTCACAGGGCTGGAGAGGGGCAGCCTGGAAGTGCTTTCTCTGTCCCTCTCTTACTTATAGATCAAAAAAGGAAAATTAAAAGGGGGCCAGGGTGGGTGTCTGCCTGGGGATCCAAAGGATGAGGGCAGCCATGTGGGAGGGATGATGGGAGTACCCATGTCTGGCTGGTAAGAGAGACTTGGAAGCCAGATTAGAACCAGCATTCCAGGGAACCTGGAGCTGGCAGGGAATTAGAGGAAGGGGTGGCGAGGGGAACAGCCAGAGGGACACCCTGGACTCTGTAGAAGGGGGTCCCAGACAGCCATTTGCAGTTGCTCTCCCAGACCCCCGGGGGTCCAGAGGAACACAGGATGCTAAGCCTAGAAGAAAGGCGGCCAAGGACAGTCTCCCAGGTGAGCATGGCAGCTGTCCCTGGGTTTCCACCACTAAGGCTTCCCAGGGCTGCCTGGCCCCTGTCCTGCCCTCGCTGCCGGCCTGGGAAGAAAAGGCTGAATCGAAACAGACTGCAGCAAAACCCTGACTCATGCCTTCCGATGCCAGTAGACCTGATTTTGTATTTCCCAGCACTTTCATTAGCACCAAGAGCTATTATAATTGCAAGAGGTGTGTGGGGAGGTGGGAGTGGGTGCTCACACTCACAGCATGGGAAGTGGGGCTGAGACTCTTGTCAGGGGAGAAAGACCACAGCCTCCTACCCCATCCCCGTTCACCTGAGAGGTGGTGGGATGGGGAGTGGTCTGGGCTCTGGGCAGAGACTCTAGGCAGGCCACATGGGTGGGGGACCTGGAGGAGAGGCATGTGAGTAGATACGGCTTGAGGGAGCCCCTAGAGCGCGGGAATTGGGTTTTGATAAAGGGACTGGGCTTGGGCACAGCCCTGGCTGCCTCCTGGCACCCCACTCAGACTCCTCTCCTCCTGGGCCCTCACAGGTGGGTCTGCAGGTGTGTCTGCCAGGGCAGTACAGCCTCCACTCACTCCCAGGCTCAAGGCTATGAGATAAAATGCTAATCATTCCCTGCCTCTAGGTTCCTAGCTTGCTTTGGTACTTATCTTCCCTGTCACGGAGGGAGTGGGAGGCCTCTGATCCCTAGGCCGGCGTGGGAGCCGGAATTCTAGACAAGTTTATCCAGTAGGATTGAGCACCTCACCCTGTGTCTCAGATATGGTGGTTTGGAATAGCAGTTTGGGGTTTCATCTGGGCTCAGAGTGAGGCAGGGCTCTGGGATTCCAGGCTGCTTTTCCAGGTAAGGCGGCAAATGAATGGAGGTAGAGCTATGTGGGAAGACCTGCTGAAACTGAAGGATCCTGACGGACCCCAGGGCACCCCAAGGCCTATCAGTTAGTTGCTTGCCTGGGCCCCAGAGCCCCTGTTGCGTGTTGCGTGCTCTTGGGTTTTTAACAACAGCAGCCAACTTGTGTGTCATGCTTCACAGTTGGCAGAGACCTTCCACACATTCTGCACTCTGAGATGTGTCTATGAGGCTGCTCATGTTCCAAGTAAGAGGTGAGCCCTCGGTGAGTGGCAGAGCCCAGACCCCTGCAGGGCTGTGGGCTCCATGCTGGGTGCTCTTCCCTCCTCTCAGCACCTGTGTGAGGAGTGAGGGGCACCACTTCCCCTCCCAGACTGAGAACTGCCCCCACCCCCATGCCTGGGCATCACAGGTGACAGCGTTCTTCATGTGACCTTCCCTCTTCTAGAGACTTCTCACATCGGAGCAGTGTCATGGGATGATATTTACTGTGAATAGGAAGTCCCACGCCCCCCAGGTTATAACTCCTCTACAGGATGGCCGGGAGCTTGAAGATGTTCTCAATCACACACTCTGGCCTCTGCAGAACCTAATGTTGGGGTAGGTGCCGGCAGTGCCTGGTGACTCACACTGAGGCTGTGTGCAGACGCCAGTGTGGGACAAACCCAAGTGTGGAGGAACTGGGATGGTCCCTGTCTCTGGACAAGACCCTGGCCTGGTGGGAGGCCTCCCCCAGCTCTGTCACCACGCTCTGGGGACGTTTCTGATGCATTTGTCGCTTGCCCCTCTTGCCCTTTTTGACCTCTCTCCTGCTTCTCTGTAGTTACCAGCAAAGCCTCAGAAGCACTTGCTGCTTTAGGGATAGGAAGGTGGGGAGAGGCTCTGAAGCTGTGGCTTCCTGTTCTGCAGAAGGACAGCTCCCACCCCATTCCTTCCCCAGGCCCCCCGAGCTGGGCTCTTGGTCATCTCCCAGAGCAGTTTGGCCTGGAGGCAGGACGTGCTCTGCGCCGCAGCCCTCGGGTCCAGATGGGTGCCCTGGGTTTTTGGTTCCCAGTCTGCACTGCCCCTCCTTTGATAGAGAGGCACCTGCCCTGAGTTCCCTGAGGTTCTGATTTTTCTCTTGTGCTTACAACTGGATTTCTGGTTTCGCTTCTACTCCAAGCCTGGTCCCAGGCACGTGCCTCTCACCCTGTGGTTTCGCACCCCATTCCTCGCCCCGTCATTTCTTCTTGTGCCCAGGCTGCAGCTGCTTGCTGGTCCCTCGTCCAAAGCTGCCCACCTGCCCAGGCCTGCGCCCCTCCCGCCTTGGGTCCATGTGCAGCTCTAGCCCCTTCCCCACACTCCTGGCCCTGGGGTGAATACTGAACCTGAGACTGGGATAGGAGGAGAGAAAGCTCAGTGCAAGGAGGGGTGAGCCCAGGAAGAGGAGACAGCCAATTACCGTGGGGGCTGCAGGGAAGTCCTGAGAGGTGTGTGGCAGCCAATGCATGCTCCGCTTCAGGGACCCTGCTCTCCTGGCCCAGCAGAACAGTCCCACAACAGGGTGACCAGCCCCCAGGCCACGGGGACCTGAGACAAATTTTTAAAACAATTACAAAACTTGCTCTAATTAGGCAGGACAATTAATTAGCTGTCAGTATGACCCTATGTCAACTAGGTCACAGGGTCAACAGAGTTTAATCCCCTGCCTGCGGTTACCCTACCCTGCAGCCAGGTATCAAATTATAGGCTTGGATGAACTGGAGATGAATATCATCGTTTACTTTGAACGATAATGTCTGTTTGTGTTTCATTCCACAAAAATTGCCTCTTGGCATCATCAAGCTCAGTCTCTGGTCAGTCATCCTCCAGTCCTGCGCTGCCATCCTTCCAGCCTTTCCACCCTCGTGCCTGCATTCCGCCTGCTGTCTGCCTCATAAAGAATCCCAGCTCCCGACACCTCCAATTTCTCTCATCACACCTCCGATTTCTCTCATTTCATCAGCTCCTTCCTGGCTTTGCTTTCAGCCTCCGAGGCGAATCCCCTCAACATACCACTCACTTGCAAATATAATACCTTCATCCTTGTTCTTCTCCCACACCTGGCCAGCAACACTGCAGCCCTGGGGCAGGCCAGCCATCCACCCACATCACCCCTGCACCTGGGTGCTGAAAAGTCCTTTGGCCACAGAGCAGTGACCACAGCAACGGCACTGCCTCCAGCGCCCAGCGGAGTCTCCCACCCCCAGCAGTGTGTCATCTAGATGCCCACGGTCAGTTCTTTCCCCACAGTGGCTCTGTTCATGTTTCAGAGTCCTCTTCAAGGTCCCCATCAGGACTCCCCTCCCCCAATGCTCTCATCAGATGCTCTGACCTCCTACTGCACAGAGGAAGCAGAGATCCTCAGATAGGAATGCCTCATGTCTTGCCTCTCCTTATCCTTCCCACTCCCATACACATAACTACACCCAGACCCTTCCTGAGTGCACTTTGGTTTCCAGGAAGGTTTGTCTCTATCCCTTCAAAGCCTTCTGAACTCTATTCCTCCTTCTTAAGAGAGCACCAGTTGGCAGTTCCTTCTGCGCCTTCAGTGTCGCCCTTTCTCCAGCAGGTAGCTATGCCCACATCTCCCTTCTTCCAATGCACCGCTTTCCCTTGAGGCTTCCGGCTGCTCTCGCCCTGTGGCCAGACCTTCTTCCTTCCCCTCACCACTCAGCTTGGGGAGTGAGCGGCCAACCTTTGTCACCTCCAGTTCTCATGGAAATGTGTGGCCTGGCTATTTTTCTCCTTTCTTCACCACCTCCTTGCACCTCCATCCACTCTACACCCCTCGGTGGTCTGGCCTCTGCTCCCTTCATTTCACTGGAACTGTGTTTGCAGAGGCCACTGATGACCTCCGTTGCTACTTCTGCAAATGGTGTTAAATGATCTCGCTTGCCTTCTCTGCAGAATTGGCCTGTCTTCCTGGAGCCTTTCTCACACCGTGATTGTCCTTCCCTGTCTGGATCTTCTCCGTCATCTCCACTTTGTATGTTGGTGTTCCCGAGGGGTTCCTCTGTGGCCCTCTCTTTTTCTTGCTTTTATTCTCCTCCTGGGGATTTCATCCCCTTCTGCGATTACACCTATCACCTGGGTGCTGATATCTCCCAAATTCAGCTTTCTGGTCCAGGGGACCCTCCTGAGCTCTAAACCTACATCTCTATTGCCCCATGGACATCTCCTCGTGGGGTCTGGCAGGTACCTTGAGCTCAACAGGACGATGGAACTGCCTTCCTGCATGTCCCCATTTTGATCAGTGGCATTGCCATCCACCCTGTTGCCTAATCAACACCCAGGAGTCACCAGGCCTCCCCTCTCTCCCTAACTTACTACCTCCAATTGATCCCCAGTTCTGCTGACCCTCCCTTCCTGATGTCCTATCCACCTCTCCCCTGTCCCTTGCCCTGGGTCAGGCTCCCATCATCTCTCCAGGATGACCCTTCTGGCTGCCTGGAGGGCCGCCTTAGCCTGGGCTCGCTACTCCCAGCATGTCCCAACCCTGGCCCAAGTGAGCCTCTCAGGGGCCAATAGAATCCCGCCTCTCCTTGAGAAGCGGCAAGACCTCCATGACCTGCCCCATCCACCACTTGATCGTCGGCCACTACCTGGCCACATGGAACCTTAAGGGAACCGTGATCTCTCCTACCTGTCCACCTTCAGCCTAGAGCCTCTTCTTCCTTCACCACCTCCTCTGCTTGGCAACTGACTACTGACCATCCTTCACAATTCATCACAGACCTCACATAGTCCAGGGATGCTTCCTTGGCATCACCCTCAAATCTGGGTTTTGGGATCTCCCCTAGTGCTCTCCAAGCCCCCATGTTTACCTCTTATAGCACAGATTACCTGTCACTGTGTGCTATCTCAGCTCCTCTTTCTCTCCACCAGAGGTCTGCAGCTCTTTCTCCCATTTCCAGATGCCTGGCCTATGTAGGAAAAGAATAGTATATGATTATCGAATCAATAACCAAGGAGGACTTCCTAGAAGAAGCAGCTATTGGGTGGTGTTTTGTAGGCAGACATGAGCTGGTGTGAAGAGGAGGATGAGAATGAATTGCATAGAGTAGAGTCTCCGACTCAGAGTCCTTCAAGAGCCAGGGGAAACTAAGGGAAATGACTAGACATATTTAACAAGTAGTGGGGGACCCCAGGAGAAGACATGCCCCACCAAAAGACATCACATTCAGGTATGAATTCAGCACTGCAGAGGCCAAAAAAGCACAAACAAAGCATGTCTTGGTAGGAGGTGGCAGGGCCGGGGTGGTGGTGGCAGGTGTGGCATAGAGTGAGTAAGGCTGTTGAAATGGAACAGCTGGTGGGGTCCTTAGGAAACCAGGAATAGCGCATGACTTCCTGCAAGATGGGGTCTCTATAGTTCATCCTGACCCTGGCAGAAAATCCGCATATCTTGGAGGCCCTGGAATTTGAGGGATCCACTCAGAGGCTGCCAAACTGGCCTTGGCAGCCACAAACAGGAATGTCATACCAGAGACATGGGAGGCAGGGACGGCCTTCCCTTTTTGGAGCTGATCATAATTCCAAAAGACACAATCCTGAATGTTGAAATCCTGAAAGTTCAAAATCCCAAAAATTAGGCCAGGCGCAGTGGCTCACGCCTGTAACCCCAGCACTTTGGGAGGCTGAGGCAGATGTATCATTTGAGGTCAGGAATTTGAGTCCAGCCCGATCAACTTGGTGAAATCCTGCCTCTACCAAAAAATACAAAAATTAGCCAGGCATGGTGGCGCGCACCTGTAATCCCAGCTTCTCAGGAGGCTGAGGTAGGAGAATCGCTTGAACCTGGGAGGTGGAGGTTGTAGTGAGCAGAGATCGGGCCACTGCACTCCAGCCTGGGTAACAGAACAAAGCTCTGTCTCAAAAAAAAAAAAAAAATCCTGAAAATATAATTCTGGAAAAAATAATGAAAACATTCATTAAAACATATTTATTTACATTTCAAAGGGGATTTATATTGGAAACATATAAAAACACAACAGGACACTTTATAGTGTACATTACACAATAAAATAGGCAGTGATAACATACATATTTTTGCACGCATAAACACTCAGGTAATGACGGTTGCATGGGTATAAGAGTTATGAGCAGATGAACCATGTTCATAAAGAAATAGGTCAAAAAGGGCAAGATGTAAATCCATGGCACCGTGGTTGTTACTTGTGTGCACCCAGCTTTATAACTGGTCATCTGAAACAACAGCATGAGCAACCAAAGTCTCTGGATGAGTTTGATCAAAAACTTCAATGGATCATCACCAAAAATGCAGCTGTCTATCCATGGAGCTGCATTCCAAGCTGCAAGGAGCTGAGATTCCAAGAAAATTTAACTTCACAAAGGCAGATGTACAGAAAGGACATCTCTTTATCTAATGAGAAAATGTCAATGTTTTTCTGTACATGCACAATGCGTCCACACAAAGTTGACATGGTGATAATGCACTTTCAGGGAGCCAAATTTGAAAACAAACAAGCAAACAAACAAACAAAAAAACAAGAACAAACAAAAAAACAAAACAAAAAAATCCCAAAAACCCCCAAAACCCTGCATAAAACAAATTCGAACTCTCTAAAAGTCTATATAACTTATACCTCCAGTCTTGCAAATGATGCAAAGATGAAATACCTAGCATAGGGAATTGTAAAAAATCATGCTGAAAATTTAAAATAGTGAAAAAGGAAGGAAAAAAACAACAAAAAACGATCCTGTGATTGTGATTTTTGGGATTTTAGATGTTAGGGGTTTAGACTTTAGAGATTACAATCTTTCAGGATTTTAACATTTGAGGTTACAGTGTTTGCGATTGTGTCTTGGTCCAACTCCTCTTTTTCCTCTCTGAGACCTTGCAGGCAGATGTGGAGACCACATCACTGTCAGAGGAACAGGGGCTGGGGTGGGGGTCTTTGGGACCTTGAATGAGATGAGTTCTCAAAGCTTCCAGGCTAAAGAATAACATAAATGGTAGGACTTGAGCCTCCAAGTGAATAAGAGCCTTGTAAACACATTGCTTTAGGGAATTAAAGAGCTATGCTGGATGTCCAAGGAAGGCCCCACCCGTTGCCTCTAGTTCTTGGGGGAAGGCAACATTTCAGCCACCAGAGGGCGCTCAGGTTGCAGGAATGGTTTCTCAGGACTGCTGTTTGGAGGAGTTGAATAAGGAATCCAAGGAAGGGTTGCCAGAGCATGGGAGCCATGCAGGTGGGACTCCAGGACTGAAGTCCGACCTTTTCAGTCACTCTGCCATTGTCCCTGGCTGAGGCCATCAGTTAATTCATTTATTCAAGGAACATTTGCCCTGTACCTGGGAGCCCTGAGCTAGTAAGCTTTGTGTGTGTGTGTGTGTGTGTGTGTGTGTGTGTGTGTGTGTGTGTGTTTTAGAGAGTCTTGCTCTGTCACCCAGGCTGGAGTGCAACGGCATGATCTCGGCTCACTGCAACCTCTGCCTCCTGGGTTCAAGCGATTCTCTGGCCTCAGCCTCCCAAGTAGCTGGGATTATAGGCGCCCTGCCAACACGCCTGGCTAAATTTTGTATTTTTAGTCGAGATGGGGGTTTCACCATGTTGGCCAGGCTGGTCTTGAACTCCTGACCTCAGGTAATCCACCCGTCATGGCCTCCCTAAGTGCTGGGATTCCGGGTGTGAGCCACCGGACCCGGCTGTGAGCTAGTAGGCTTTGGAGACACAGAATCAGATAAGCCTGTCTGGACCCTGGAGGAACCACAGCCTAGGCTGGGAGGTGGACCTTCAACAGTGCAGTCCCCTGTGGGGTATTTGTGCTATGACAGAGGGACATGCTGAGCGTGGTGGCAGCACCCAGGATGAAGTGTTGATTCTGTCTGGGACCTGGGAGAAGGCTTCCTATTGTTGGAAGTATTTGCTGTGGGTCTCGGAGGGTGAGCAGGAGTGCCCCAGGCTGAGAGGTTCCAGGAGAGGCAGGCAGGGGCACATTATAAGCCAATGCCTATGTTTGGCTGGACAGAGAAATGCCCAGGTGGGGGTCGTGGGATGTGGCTGGAAGGAAGGGGGCGTAGGCGATCACGTTAGGGAAGAGCTAGGGGCTTATCTCAGAGGAGAGAAGCATTCTATGTGGGAGCCAGGGCAGACTCAGGTTCTGTGGGGGCCTGAGGCTTACATAGTTTTGAGGCTTTCTTAGATGAAGAATACAAAATTATAAATACAAACTTAGGAAGAGGGACTTGGAAGGGTCCGTACAAGTGAGCGGCTTGAAGCTTAGCTTGTTGGCCTCCTGGCAAATCCTCCTCTGCGTGGGAGACACATCTTCCACAATCTCCCTGCTTCCCTGCAGGGCCCCAGCCTGCCCTCAGCAGCTCCCCGCTTGCAGCAAACCACCCACTTCCCTCTCACTCCTGCCTCTCGCCCTTCTTTTGTCCCCTGGAGTCCTGAGCAGCCGTAGAAGGCCGGACGCGGGAAACTGGAGTCTGAGTTTTCCTCTGGGGAAAGGGAGGCAGAGCTGCACAGCTGTTGGGGGACGTGGGTGGGGATGACCTTTTCTATGGTGTTTATGCAAAGAGCACCCGCTACCCGCATTGTTCCAAGAGTTGCCTTTGAACCTGGACAGCAACTCTTATTCCCGCTTTAAACAATGTACAGTGTGGAAGAGTTCCCGCTCTTTGCCAGGCACTTTCACACCTCTCATGTCATCAGCGCCATGTTCTAGGGAGGCAGGCAGTACTGTTCCCTCTGCAGAAGGTTCATGATTCAGACACCTGGCAGGTGGGACCTCACACCTAGCACTCTCCCTGCGTCACCCGTGTCTCTTGTTCACAATCAACCCAAGAGTATTAGTATTAGTATAGTATTAGTATTAGTATTAGTATTAGTATTAGTATTAGTATCAACCTAAACTAAGATTGCCCTGCTGGGGCACCAGTACAGGAAAATGTGTCACTGTAGAGGTGAAACCACAGATGACATGGCTGGCTTTGTTATTCTCCCCTTCCTGTGGTGTGTTTTGATGGTAAGGGTGTGCACAGGTGGGGTGGAGCTGGCAGCCCTTGTTACACTGTCTGCACTGTAGTGAGAGTTCTCACCGTTACCCCCTTCTTGGGCTGTTGGGAGAGCTCTCGCCTGGGTTTAACCTCAATTTCAGGCTATCACCAGTGCAATGGATCGCTGAGACTCAGCCCTGATTTGCAAGATCTGCTGGGTGTTCAATATGAGGGTCTCATCCAGGGCATGGGGAGGAGAGAAGTGGCCGCTAATTTAAGTTGCCTTTAATCAAATAAAGAAAACCGAGCATCCAGCTGTGTTAGACTGTGCTAGGATAGTGCCGAATCAGGCATGGCCTTGTCCTCATGGCTCACTTCAGCATCCACGAATGGCTCCTGTGTGCCAGGCAGTGAGCTGGCTTGTGGGAGACCCAGGGGTGGGTGAGCAAGCTGTGTGCCTGAGTGTGAGAAACTCCCATCTGTTTCAGGATGTCAGCCTTTGTTATAAATCCACAGAGAACAATACAAGGCATAGCATCGTCTGTACAAAACTGGATAGGATAGTTTCTCTGCTTCTTGTGCCACCAGTTAGAATAAAAGACAATGCCTCCGATATCCACTGGTCCTTTCTTGGCTCTGCATACAGGCAAACATGAGCCTGCCTCTACCTCCCTCACACATCTTCACAAAAGCCCAGAGCAATCCCTTCTGTCTCTCCTGCTTTACTAAAGGATGAGAATCAGAAATAGGGGAATGGAATGAATCAAAGCATCTTCCCTGCCCCCAGATAAGCTCTTCTGCAGATAGGGTGGGGATGGATTGGGGGAGGTCACTGGAGCCATTTTCTACAAAGGATGCTCAAAGGTTTGGAAGTCCTGGGTCTGGGATTCAAGATGCATCCCTGTGGCAGAGGTGACAAAGGAGAGAGGAATCATCCAAGTATTTAGGTGTTTCAATGCTTCGGGCAGATCTACAAAACCCCAAAGCCTCTGAACTTGCAACCAATCAAAGCAACCCTGATTTATCCTATTTTCTGCAACATGCATGCATCGGCCGGCACTTATGATGAGGAAGCAAGGGTGGGGGCTAGAAGAGTGAGTGAAATGGAGGCTTTGAGGCAGGAGGACTGCGGGGGTGCTCAGGATGGGTGACCGCCACTTTGTATGTGTCAGTTGTTTCTGCTCCCCACCTTCTTGCCCAAGGTCTGGTGGGGATAAACGGAGAACCAAAGCTGCCTTGGGTCTCCAGATGGCAGGGGCAGCTGATGGTTGGTGTCAGTGGCTGGGTGCTAGTGCCCAGCTCACCTGGGCTGTGCATGACTCTGGCCCACTTGAGCCAGACTTGGCTTTGTCTGGGCAGGGGCCTTGGCCTAGGTTCCCCCAGCTGGCACCCCGTCTTTACAGACCTAGGAGCCCAGGAGGCCTGTGGGGCAACCTGTGCCTGGGATGCTGCCTGGGTGAAGGAAGATGTTCTGTGATTCCCCAAGGCCCTTTTCCTCTTCCATTACTTCATGTGACTCTCACAGCAATAGCACGAGGTATACATCACTCACCAGCCTCTTCATTTTATGGAAGACAACCTGGAAGGTCAGAGTGGCTCACCTGAGATTGTGCAACTGGTGTGTCCCAGGGCTGGGGCTCCAGCACACACTCCTCTGAAGGCAAGCCCTGTGCTCATTCCAGTACTGAGAGACTTCAAAGACCCTCTCTATATCCGCTCCCCACAAGGATCCTGGGCCCCTTGGTACCTTCTAGGCCCCAGTGACTCCACTTCAGCATGAGGTGGTTTGAACTCAGTGGCACAGGTCTCCACAACACCTCCCTGACTATCCTCCCTCAGCATCTAGTGTGGGAGGCACAGTTTGCACGGCGGACACATTGACGGCAATCCAAGGCAGGAGTAGTTAGTGAGGAACGTGGACTTACCCTTGCCAGACTCTTTAGATCACGCCTCCCATCAATAAACAATTTTGCGCATGCACTCTGATATTTATGTATTTATAAAGTATATTTGTATTTATACTCAAACATATATGACCATTAAAAAGCACACACGCAAAAATTAAATTAAAAGCATTAAGGATGGGCCAGGTGCGGTGGCTCATGCCTGTAATCCCAGCACTTTGGGAGGCCGAGGTGGGTGGGTCACCTGAGGTCAGGAGTTCGAGACCAGCCTGGCCAACATGGCAAAACCCCGTCTCTACTAAAAATACAAAAATTAGCCGGGCGTGGTGGTGTGTGCCTGTAATCCCAGCTACTCAGGAGGCTGAGGCAGGAGAATTGCTTGAACCCAGGAGGTGGAGGTTGCAGTGAGCAGAGATCGCGCCACTGCACTCCAGCCTGGGTGACAGAGCAAGGCTCTGTCTCAAAAAAAAAAAAAAAAAAAAAAAAAAATTAAGGGTGGAACAAACATGCGAGAATTGCAGCTTCCCTTCAAATCACTCACAGACGGTTCTGGGGTCCCCAGCCAGTGTCTCAAATTCAATGTTTGGACCAGTCTCCCGGCCACTCTTGGCAGGGGCCATTGCCCCTCTCTGGCTCTGTGTGGCATTGTCTCCTGTGGTCCCTGGTGCCAGGGCAGTGGCTACCCTGTGGAGGCCTGGAAAAGATCCCTGACCCCTGCCCACCCCTGACGTTGCTGCTAAAGCTCACGCTGGCAATGTCCCTGGGAAGTTTAGTGAAATAGCGCTCTTACTTAAAAAAATATATTTTTGGTTGCAAAAGTAGTACATTATGATTATTGGCAAAATCATCATCGTTTTCACTTGCTTTTTTTTTTTTTTTTTTGCAGCTCTTCAGCCTAGGCGATAGGCATGAGGCTGCAGGAGGAAGGAAAGCTGAAGGGCAGGTTTTCCCCTTCCCCATCCTGGCCCAGGACCTGTGACACTTCACTCCTTTAGGTCATGTCCTTTCTAGAAAGCACCTCCATCTCTTCCGGGATGGCCTGCTGTTTGGCTATTACTCATGTGTTTAATCTAGGGCCGTGTTTTTTGTTTTTTGTTTTCTGTTGTTTTTTTCCCCCATACTTTATGACTTTTGCATCATTCCTGAGCCAGCTGTATCATTATTTACTTAATTTCTTTCTTTCTTTCTCTCTTTCTCTCTCTCTCTCCTTCCTTGCTTCCTTGCTTCCTTGCTTCCTTCCTTCCTTCCTTCCTTCCTTCCTTCCTTCCTTCCTTCCTTCCTTCCTTCCTTCTTTCTTTCTTCCTTTCTTTCTTATTGAGATGGAGTCTCGCTCTGTCATCCAGGCTGGAGTGCAGTGGCGCAATCTAGGCTCGCTGCAACTTCCACTGCCCAGCTTCAGGTGATTCTCGTGTCTCAGCCTCCTGAGTAGCTGGGACTACAGGAGCACGCCAGCAGGTCCAGCTAATTTTTTTTGTATTTTTAATAGAGACTGGGTTTCGCCATATTGGCCAGGCTGGACTCAAACTCCTGACCTCAGGTGATCTGACCGCCTCAGCGGGATTACAACTGTGAGCCACCGTGCCCGGCCTAATATTTTTCTTAAATCTGACTCACTTTTTTAAATTAATTACTTCCTTTAACCTTGTTCTAAGACATAAAATCCACAAAATCAGGATTTGATATGCTAGTTAAGTCTCTTCTTAAAAACGTGAAAATAAATGCATAGCTATTAAAACAATAAATGGCTCCTGGGTACCACTATGATCACCTCCCATGTTACCAACGGATGCACCCCCACTCTGGGGGCAGTGATGGGGAGGCATGCAGAGAGAGGGCTTGGCGAGGTTCCATCTGAGCCCCAGAGACACCTCCTAAGAGACTGTCAACAAGCCCCTTGAAACGCTCTGGGCTGCTGTCTGCATCTCCTTCTTCCCAAGACACAGACCTTGCCTAGCAAAGCTTAGGCACTCAAGCCAGTACCCTGGGACAAATGTGGAGGGTCACAGAGATCCCCAGCCCACAGAAGGCATTTGCTTAGGCTGCTGTAAAGGAAGCTTTGCCTTGACTGCCCCCAAGGTGAGTGGCCATAGCTCATACTCAAAGTCTCAGTTTGGCTGCTGAAATAACTTATTTGCTTCTCTGTCCATGGGGCTTCTCCGTCCACTAAATCCTTCAAACAGAAGCACTGTTTTCTCCATCTCTCCCAGCCCTCAGTCTCTGGACAGGACAGTCTAAGGTCTGGGATCCTCTGAGATGGCTGTGGCCGGCTGTGGGTGTATTGCCCATGCCTGCTCCTAGATGACATCTTGGCTGTCCTGAGCCACCACCAAGATTCTGTTGAGGAAGAGTCAGGGCAGAAGAGCTGAGCTTCAGGGTGTCATCTGTCAAGAATGCCCCAGAATGCCAACCTCCAAAGCCCCGACTGGGGCCAGGGCTCATTCTTTGGATATTTTCTCTGTCTCCATCTCTCTCCCTTTCTCTCTGTTTTCAGACACACAACAAGTGTATGTATTCTAGAATGCTTGTTAATTGGTTAATTTAGTTAAAAACAGATGAGATCGCCAATAAATCCATGTCACAGACCACGTGTAAACATGTCACAATATGCTAACCCCCTTAGACCCTCGCAGATGCACACAACATGTGGGCCACTGACACAAGGACAAAGTGTGTGTCATTTCTCCCAAGGTCACCGCATTGGGGTGGTGGCTGACTCTCAGCAGCCGGTTTACTCCTAAAACTCATTCAGTGGTAGGGAAGCTCACTTCTATTCCTTGACTTTATCTTGCTTAGGGAAGTAATAAAACTATTCTTGGGACTGGCTTCTACAAAGAAATTTAAAATGTTTATTTATCTTAAACTCCTTTACTCAAAACAATACATTTTCAAATCTAAACATCCTTCTCTCTAAACTTAAGTATGTTCAGTATGACTCTCACTTTCTTCCTCCTCAAAGTGAGATAACCAGAACTAATTACTTTGGGAAACTCCCTATACCGACTCTCATATGAATAGACTTTGATGGACCTGTTCCTCTGTCCTCCAGACTCAAACGGTGTCAGTCTGGCTGTGAAAGAATCCCCTGGGGAGCTTATTGAAAATTACAAATTCCTGGGCCCACCTCTGGAGAGTTTCCTTGGATAGGTCTGGAGTGGGTCCCAGGTACTCCATTCTTTGAAAGATCCGTAGGGAACTCTGAAGAATTTGGGAACAGCTGCTCTATACCTGCCCTGACTTGCCTTAATTGGAGGGACAACTTGGCTCAGACTTAAGGCAAGGTTCTTGATATCCAGGCGTCTGTTGAGGTTGAGGGCTAAGCAGGCAGGAAACTACCTGATGTTAAGACTGCATTTCTGACACAGCCAGGCACCAGGACTTACAGTTTTTTGGGGCCTCCTGGTTCTTCATAAACCCTATCATCAGTGCAAAGGTTGATGCCAATCTTCCTGTGTGCTTGGTAGGAGATCACACATCCATCTAATCTAATGTGGTATCAGACCAAAGTGGCATCATCACTTAAAGATAAAGGGGCCCGACTCTGAGCCTTGTTTTATGTCATAGGAAATTGTGATCTGTCAGGGGCTGTTTCTGCCCACCTTATTGTTGCATTAGAGATCAAAGGCAGACTTTTGGTCATCAGTAGGTGGAGATCTCTATGGGTACTTGGTGCCTAACTGGTCTCTGTCCAGAGGAGGACAAAGGCTACTGATAAATTATTGAAGAGCTGCCAACACTCTATGCTGTTCTAGAAAATTTCACTCTAAGTGAAGGAAAATAACTTATTGAATATCTACCATGTGTCAGGAGCCATATAACTCTCCTTTCACATACACGTCTCACTTAATCTTCACGTTAACCTTGTGAAGTTAATATTTTAATCCCCATTTCAACATAAGAGAGGATTAAAACTCAATCTTGCCCAGAGTAATGATATTTTAGCTTCCAGATGGCCTGGCTCCAAGTCTTTTTCCGTCATCACACACTGCTAAAGCAAATATCCCGATGGTCAAGAGTTAAAAAGATCTGCCTGAAATCTGCTGTCTGTTCATTCATTATACTGGGTTGAAAGATTCAGAGCTGTACATTATCAGAGAGAGAGTGAAGGTAAAGTTTAGAGAGCAGTAAACAAACCAATGGGTCTAGTTTCAAACAGGAGATACTTGATTTTTTATTGTTATGTGATTGGTTTGTTTTCTTCAGCAATATTATTCATCACACAAATATTTCTATTGCAAAAGATGAAAATCATGTGAAATTGATGATACCTGTTTTTGACCTTTAAAAATGACAATTTTATATGGTTCAAGCTAATACTAAGGCAAAACTTGAAAGGCTCTTTTTACTTCTACTCCCTACCCCACTCCCCTGGTTCTTCATAAACCCTATCATCACCTGCTTTACACCTGCCCTGACTTGCCTTAATCATAGGGAGAACCGCAACTTGGTGACAGCCTTTCTCTCTCTCTAGTGTGTGTGTGTGTGTGTGTGTGTGTGTGTGCATGTGTGTATACCATAACTAGAATTATGTGATATCTATTCTTCTGCAACTTGAACTGATCTTTAAAACGTGGAATTGATGAGCAACAGATGAGCAACAAAGGAGGAATTCTTGATTCCAGCTGGAGAAAAGTGTAGGCTCCATAAAACCTGATGTATTGAGGGTGAGGGGGCCTAGAAGCCAATGGAGATGAAAATGTTCCATTTTTCTTGCCAAACCTGGACCTTGGGCAATATCATCTCCACATCTGCCTCCACCATTGATCCTAATAGTAAAGCCTAGGGCCTCCCACTAGGGTCTGTTGTACTTAGGTTTTGAGTTTTAGAACTTCCTTCTGATTTTGTTTGATGTGTTGCTAATCTTCCAGGGGGTTGTGCTGCTTGCTTCTTCATTTTTTGTTTTGTTTTGTTTTAAAGTTCCTTGTCAGTATAATCTAAAAGCTAGAGATGTCCAATCACCTGCTGGAGGTTTCTTCTAAGTGATCAAACTAGGAGGTTTTTTGTTTGTTTGTTTGTTTTGTTTTTTTTTTAGTAGAATGAACTTTTTTTTTTTTTTTTTGGAGATGGAGTCTCACTCTTGCCCAGGCTAAAGTACAGTGGTGCAGTCTCGGCTCACTGCAACCTCTGCCTCATGGGTTCAAGCAACTCTCCTGCCTCAGCCTCCGGAGTAGCTGGAATTACAGGTGCCCGCCACCACGCCTGGCTAATTTTTGTATTTTTAGTAAAGACAGGGTTTCACTGACCTCAAGTGATCTGCCCACCCTCAGCCTCCCAAAATGCTGGGATTACAGGCATGAATCACCGCACCCATCCTAGAAGGAACTTTAAATGGGAGTTGGAGGGGCATCTGGAGAGAAATCATGATTTAGATGGGCGGTGGGATGACCATTTGCAAGATCTCCTGGCTTTAGGTCAGTTCATCCAAATGGCTTGGTAAATAGTAAGGTGCATAATGCCACCATTACCTTCATGCTGCTTGGCACGTACTCACGGCTGCATTTTTTTTTTTTTTTTTTCAATTCTGCCAGACTTCTCAGTGACTAAGATTTGGTTTCTGGAATATGAGTAGATGGATAGATAAGTACAATTAGGGTAGATTCTTACCTAAGTGTAAGGATCTTGATACCTCTGCTTTTTGCATGGGTTTTGAGTGTTACATATCTGCAGGAAACCTGGATTATAGAAAATGCATTTCAATGCACTTCTTCAAGTTTAAGGATTTAGGAACTCCTTCTCTCCAGGGGATAATTTAGACAGAGATAAATATAGGTTGGCATTTTATCGCTTTTTTAACAGCTTTGTTTAGATATAATTCACATAACATACAATTCTCCCATTAGAAGTATATAATTTAATGTTTTTAATATATTCATGCATATCTGCAGCCACCATTACAGTCAATTTTAGAACATTTTCATCGCCTAAAAAAAAAACCCATACCCTTTAGCTAAGATAACCCCCTCCTTTTCTCCCCACTTCCCCTGGCCCCCCCATAACCTACTTTCTTTTTCTTTTCCTTTTTTTTTTTTGAGATGGAGTTTCTCTCTGTCGCCCAGGCTGGAATGCAGTGGTGCGATCTTGGCTCACTCCACCTCCCGGGTTCAAGCGATTCTCCTGCCTCAGCCTCCCGAGTAGCTGGGACTACAGGCGCCCACCACCACGCCCAGTTAATTTTTTGTATTTTTAGTAGAGACAGGGTGTCACTGTGTTAGCCAGGGTGGTCTTGAAATCCTGACCTCGTGTTCGGCCCGCCTCAGCCTCCCAAAGTGCTGGAATTACAGGTGTGAGTCACTGCGCCCAGCCTCTACTTTCTTTCTCTATAGATTTTCCTCTATAGATTTTCTGGATATTTTGTATAAATAGAATCATATAATATGTGGACTTCTGTGACTGGCTTTTTTCACTTAGCATAATGTTTTTGAGGTTCATTCAAGTGGCATGTATCAATACTTCATTTCTTTATATGACCGAATATTCTGTTATATGGATATACCACATTCTGTTTATACATTTGTCTGTGGATTCCTTAAGATTTTCTTTAAAAAAAAAAAAATGTTTTACCAAATACCCAGACTTCAAGGAGGAGGATTTTCCATATGTAAGACTGTGTTATCTGTGAACAGAGATATTTTCATTTCTTCCTTTCCAATCTGGATACCTTCTATTGCTTTTTCTTGACTATTTCCCTGGCTAGAACCTCCAGTACAATGTTGAACAGAAGTGGTGAGACCAGACATCTTCGTCGTGTTACTGATCCTAGGAAGAAAACATCTGCCTTTTACCATTTAGCATGATTGCTGTGGGTTTCTCATAAAGGCTCTTTGTCAGGTTGAGGAAGTTCTCTTCTGTTCCTAGTTTGTTGAGTGTTTTTATCATGAAAGAGTGTTTGATTTTGTCAAATGCTTTTTTTGCATCTATTGAGATCATCATGTGATTTAAAAAATTCTACTGGTACGATGTGTTACAAGAATTGATTTTCAGATGCTGAACTAATCTTGCTCTCGAGGGAGAAATCCAGCTTGGTTATGATGTATACTTATTTTTAGATACTGCTGGAATTGGTTTGCTAGTATTTTGTTGAGGATTCTTTATTCTTTTTCCACATACAATCATTCCTAATTGTTGAGGATTTTTGCGTCCATATTCATAAGAGATATTTTTTCTCTGGTTTTCTTTTCTTGTGATGTCCTTGTCTGGTTTTGACATCAGGGTAATATTTGCCTTATAAAATGAGTTGGGAAGTGTTTAGCCTCTTCTATTTTTTGGAAGAGTTTGTGAATAACTGATATTAATTCTTCTTTAAATGTTTGGCAGAATCAGTGGGAAAGCTAATTAGGCTTGGGTTTTTCTTGTGGGTATTATTTTTTATTGCTAGTTCAGCCTCTTTATTTGTTATACTTATTCAGATCATCTGTTTCTTCTTGAGTCAGTTTTGGTGGTTTGTGTATTTCTAGGAATCTGTCTATTTCATCTAAGTTATCTATTTTGTTGGTGTACAACTGTTCATTGTATTTCTTATTATGTTTGTTTCTGTAACGTTGACAACAATGTCCCCTCTTTCATTTCTGATTCTAGTAATTTGAGTCTTTTTTTTTCTTGGTTAACTTAGCTAAAGGTTTGTCAGTTTTGTTGATCTTATGCCAATTTTTTGTTTGTTAGTGTTCTCTATTGTTTATTTTCTATTTTATTAGTTTCCACTCTAAGCTTTATTTCCTTTCTTCTGCTTGCTGTAGTTGAGTTTGTCTTTCTTTCTCTCTCTCTCTTTTTTTTTTTTTTCATTTGTGACAGAGTCTCACTCTGTTGCCCAGGCTGGAGAGCAGTGGTGCAATCTTGGCTCACTGCAACCTCCACCTCCCAGGTTCAAGCTATTCTCCTGCTTCAGCCTCCCGAGTAGCTAGGATTACAGGCATCTGCCACCATGCCCAGCTAATTTTTGTATTTTTAGTAGGGACAGGGTTTCACCATGTTGGCCAGGCTGGTCTTGAACTCCCAACCTCAAGTGATCCACCGACTTCGGCCTCCCAAAGTGCTGGGGTTACAGGCATGATCCACTGTGCCCGGCCTGTGTTTCTTTCTCTAGCGTCTTAGAAGATTAACTGGAAGATTAGGCCATTGATGTGAGATCTTCCTTCATTCCTAAAGTAGGCATTTACAAATATAAATTTTTCTCTGATCATTGCATCCCACAAGTTTTGGTGTACCGGGTCTTTATTTTCATTCATCTCCAAGTTTTTTAAATTTCCCTTTTGATTTATTCCTTGATCCATTGGTTATAGGTCGTATTTAGGAGTGTGTTGTTTAATTTCCACATATTTGTAGAATTATTCCCATTTATTTTGCTATTGATTTCTAATTTTATTTCATTGTGGTCAGAGAATATACTTTGTATTATTTTTATTCTTTAAATTTTATTGAGGTTTGTTTTACGGCTTGGCATATGGTCTATCCAGGGGATGTTTTATGTACACTTGAATGCATATTTTGTTGTTGAGTGGAGTGTTTTACAGATGTCTGTTAGGTGTAGTTGGTCCGTAGTGTTGTTCAAATCTTCTATTTCCTTGATCTTCTATTGAGTTATTCTATCCAATATTAAAAGTGGAATTTTGAAGCTTTCACTTATTATTGTTGAGTTTTCTATTTCTCCCTTCATTTCTGCCAGTTTTTGCTTCATGTATTTTGATGCTTAATGTTTTAATTATTTTTTCACTATTTTTAAGTGGTTACTCTAGGATTTACCATGTACATCTTAGCTTACCAGAGGTCACTTCAGATAGCTTAATACCAGTGATGTATAGAAATATTACTCCTATGTAGCTCTAGTCTCTTCTCCTCTTTTGTGTATTATTGTTATATATGGTATACATTATATATTATTATATTATGCAATATATTTTTGTTATACATATGTCACATCTATTAATGTTACAAACTCAGCAATATATTGTTATAATTATTAGTTTATCAACTACAGTCATGTCCTTTGCTTATACTGCTTTGCTCCCATCCACCCCTTAGTGCTATTATTAACAAAAATATTACATTTGTATATGTTATAGGCCTAACCTTACATTATGTATTTTACATATATATAATTTTGTATGATTGCTTTTTAAATCAGTTATGAGGACAGAAATATGCACTTATACATTAAAAAAATTGTTACTAGTCACCTTTTTTTTGTGTGTGTACGTATTCAAATTAGCATGAGATCATTTGCTTTTAGCCTGATGGATGTCCTTTGGTATTTCTTGTAAGGTGAGTCTGCTAGCAACAAATTCCATCAGCATTTGTTTATCTGGGAAAGTCTTTAGTTTGCTTTCATTTTTGAAAGATAGCTTTGCTAAACGTAGGACTTTTGGTTGACAGTTCTTTTTCTTTGCGCATCACTCTCTGTGACCTATATGTTTTTGCTGAAAAGCCAAGTGCTAATCTTATGAAGGTCCTCTTACAAGTTCCCAATGCATTGTTTTTCTCTTGCTGCCTTCAAGGTATTCTCCTTGTCTTTTACTTTCAGCATTTTTTACTATTAAGTGTCTGTTTGCAAATCTCTTTTAGTTTTTCTTACTTGGAGATCATTTAGCTTCTGGATGTGGAGGTTATTTACTTATTTTTTTCTAAGACAGAGTCTTGCCCTGTTGCCCAGGCTGCAGTGCAGTGGCATGATCTCGGCTCACTGCAACCTCTGCCTCCTGGGTTTAAGCGATTCTCGTGCCTCAGCTTTCCAAGTAAGTGGGATTACAGGTGTGCACCATCATGCCCGGCTGATTTTTTTTTTTTTTTTTTTTTTGAGATAAGGTCTTGCTTTGTTACCCAGGCTAGAGTACAGTGGTGCAATCTCAGCTCACTGCAACCTCCATCTCCCTGGTTCAAGCGATCCTACCACCTCAGCCTCACTAGTAGCTGGGACTACAGGCCTGTGCCACCACACCCGGCTAATTTTTGTATTTTTAGTAGAGACGGGGCTTCACCATGTTGGCCAGGCTGGTCTCAAACTCCTTTTCTCGAGTCCCGCCTCGGCCTCCCAAATTGCTGGGATTACAGATGTGAGCCACTGCGCCTGGCCAGGTTATTGTTTCTCAATAAATTTGATAAGTTTTCTGCCATTATTATTATTATTATTTTGAGACAGGGTCTCGCTCTGTCACCCAGGCTGGAGTGCAGTGGTGTGGTCATGGCTCACTGCATCCTTGACCTCCTGGGCTCAAGTAATCCTCCCGCCTCAGCTTCCCAAGTAGCTGGGGCCACATGTGTGCACCACCACACCCGGCTAATTTTTGTATTTTTTGTAGAGATGGAGTTTTGCCATGTTTCCCAGGCTGGTCTTGAACTCCTGGGCTCAAATGATCTACCCACCTCAGCCTTCCAAAGTGCTGGGATTACAGGAGTGAGCCACCGTGCCAGGCCACTAGCTCCTCTATTCTTGTACAGCCCTAAAGAGGCCATTACAGAACTCCTGGGCCAGGGAAATAAAAATCTGTGTTGGTCTGATCCAGTTTCCTAATTAACTGAATATAAGCCTTAATGTTATACGTCTCCCACCAAAGCTACCTGTTGAGATAACTGGGTATTTGGTACTTATTCCATGTATTCCATGGCAGAGACAGTAATTCCTCAAGGTTAAGTCACCACCTTCTCTTGCCTCCCAGTTGGTCTTTCTCCCTTCATTTTTGCTCTGCTCTAATTTATTCTACACATGGCAGCCAGAGTTGTTTTAGAAAGGGCACATTTGGTCATGACGTTATACTGCTTCAATACTTGAGTGGTCTTCCATTTTTCTTATTATAAAGCCCCAAATCCCTAAAATGGATGATAAGACCCTGTTTATCTCTCCTGCTTCTTCTCATGCCCCTTTCTCTCTGTGCCCCACTCTCTGCTCCACCCCCTCTCCTCACTTCACACCTTCCATCCTTGCATGTAATCCAGCCACACATGAATCTTTCACATTTTTATTGTCTAAGTATCATGCTCTACCCTGTTTTGAGCCCTTTGCACATGTTGTTTGCTTTGCCTAAAATGTTATTATTGTTTTCTTTTCTGATTCCTATCATCTTTCAGGTCTTGCTTAAATGTCAGATTCAGGAAAGGCTTTCCTAACCTCTCAGAGTAGTTCAGGTCCCCTGTTTTTTTTTTTGTTTTTTTGCTTTCTGTTATGAAAACAAAACAAATGCCCCAGGAGAAGGGTCCATGATTACCAGAAACATCAAAGAGTGTTTTCTACCATTTTTATTCTGTTGTGTTGAGGCCAACATTGCAATAAACAAGCTAATACTACTTAAATTGGACTCATTTGCAGTAGCTGACATTTACAGGAATATACTAGAAATGGCACTAAAAAGTTTAAGAAAAGTTATGGCAAACTTGCTTGCACATCATATAGAAAAGTAACATTTTAAATATAAAAAAGAAAAACTTCCTGGAATTGTTATGCCAGTATTAAAGAACAGCGCTACACTGGATGTGACAAATTCTTTACGTGGGTGTTATTCTTTCCCAAAGACTGTCAAAGGTGTGAGTGCTGCAAAAGAACAAAAATGAAAACAAACACAAAAGAAAATGTGTCTTATAGTTTATAAGCAGGACGACACTGCCCAACACAAAGAGGGGTCTGGAGTTCAGTTCACGCCCGAAGCCTGCCCCCTCGGCCTCCAGGGGTCATTCAGAACATTCTCAAATCCATTTCTGACACACGACTTTTCACTGCTCCTCTCCCCTTGAAAAAAGCATGCTAGAAGCTGCCCTACAGGTCTGAGCAGTGGGACAATCTAATTGAATCACTGAGGGCTTTTAATACATAAGAAATGGACATGACCATCACCCTCAGCCCCACAGCAAGGGTTTGAGGAAGTCATCAGTCCTCCACAACTCTGAAAAGAAACCAGAGTTGAAGTCTGGACAGAAAGCTTTAAAAAAGTGACAGCACCAATGCAGCCACTCGGTGTGCCCTAGGTGTGCTGTCAGGGTCAGCAGCTTCTTTCTAGATGAAAGGAGCAGAGGCAACAATGAAAGAGTACCCATTCTTCCTTTTGTTATTGGAGCAGGAGTACTAGGCGGACTAGGTACTGGCATTGGCGGTATTACAACCTCTACTCAGTTCTACCACAAACTATCTCAAGAACTAAATGGTGACATGGAACAGGTCGCCGACTCCCTGGTCACCTTGCAAGATCAACTTAACTCCTTAGCAGCAGTAGTCCTTCAAAATCGAAGAGCTTTAAACTTGCTAACCGCCGAAAGAGGGGGAACTTGTTTATCTTTAGGGGAAAGATGCTGTTATTATGTTAATCAATCCAGAATCGTCACTGAGAAGAAATTTAAAAAAATTCGAGATCGCATACAACGTAGAGCAGGGGAGCTTCAAAACACCGGACCCTGGGGCCCCCTCAGCCAATGGATGCCCTGGATTCTCCCCTTCTTAGGACCTCTAGCAGCTATAATATTGTTACTCCTCTTTGGACCCTGTATCTTAACCTCCTTGTTAAGTTTGTCTCTTCCAGAATCAAAGCTGTAAAGCTACAAATGGTTCTTCAAATGGAGCCCCAGATGCAGTCCATGGACCCCTGGACCGGCCTGCTAGCCTATGCTCTGATGTTAATGACATCGAAGGCATCCTCCTGAGAAAATCTCAACTGCACAACCGCTACTACACCCCAGTTCAGCAGGAAGCAGTTAGAGTGGTCGCTGGCCAACCTCCCCAACAGCACTTGGGTTTTCCTGTTGAGAGGGGGGACTGAGAGACAGGACTAGCTGGATTTCCTAAGCCAACTAAGAATCCCTAAGCCTACCTGGGAAGGTGACCACATCCACCTTTAAACATGGGGCTTGCAACTTAGCTCACACCCAACCAGTAAGGAGAGCTCACTAAAATGCTAATTAGGCAAAAACAGGAGGTAAAGAAATAGCCAATCATCTATTGCCTGAGAGCACAGCAGAAGAGACAATGATCGAGATATAAACCCAAGCATTCGAGCCAGCAATGGCTACCTTCTTTGGGTCCCCTCCCTTTGTATGGGAGCTCTGTTTTCACTCTATTAAATCTTGCAATTGCAAAAAGAAAAAAAAGAAAAAAAGGAGCAGAGGCAAGCATGACACCACCATCGCAGAGAACCAGCCCAGATGGAAAGGCCCCATGATGCTCCTGCTACCCTCTGCCCCCATGGCCAGCTGCCTCCCTGATGGCTCACACAAGTGGCACCTCACTGCCCTGCAGCTGGAGGGGCACTCCAAGGAGCGCCCTTCTCCCCAGGCACCCCCAGCTTAGGGTGTATGCATCACCCAGCCCTGTGCTGGCAGCACGTTACCAATCAGCCTGCATGAAGACCTGTCAGCTGTCATGTGTGAATTCCTTAAATTCAGTTAAATAGTCCATTAAAGATGTGTTTAGAAAATACCTTTGTAAAACAAAGGTAACTTAAAAAAATGGAAACTTTCAAATCCATTTATATTTTTATTATAAACAAAACTTAATTAAAAGTTTAACAAACTGGCTGAAAACTCACCAAGTGTCAGACTCACCAGCAATTAGAAAAATGGTAATTTACCAGCATTTCCTCATCAGAGTTCTCTCTCTGGTAAGGGTATATCTAGATCTGTAAGGGTCAGTGGACTGTGAATCAATTTTATGGTTTTTTAAAAATCACCACGTATTGGCCAGGCATGGTGGCTCATGCCTGTAATCCCAGCACTTTGGGAGGCCGAGGCGGGTGGATCACTTGAGGTCAGGAGTTTGAGACCAGCCAGGCCAACATGGTGAAACCCCATCTCTACTAAAATACAAAAATTAGCCAGGCATGGTGGCAGGTGCCTGTAATCCCAGCAACTTGGGAGGCTGAGACAGAAGAATCGCTGGAACCCAGGAGGCGAAGGTTGTAGTGAGCCGAGACTGTGCCACTGCACTCCAGCCTGGGCGATAGAGCGAGACTCGACTCTGTCAAACAAACAAACAAACAAACACCACATATTAGGATACTAATGATAGTCCCTATATCCATCCAGAAGTTCCAGAAGTGCTGGCATAAAGCACTGACCACCCCACGGCTGCACACTTAGCACCTGCCTGGAGGATCCCCCATGCTGAGGTCCAGGAGAATGCTTTGTTTCAGTCATTTCTGGGCTGTGACAACACGTGAGCAGGGAGCACTGTGTGAGTCTCCAGGAGGGAATCCTCCTGGGGCCCAGAGACTCCTCCACACCTGAGGAGGGCAGACTGGCTGGGGAGAGCCTGGCCAGGCCCCTAGAGACTGGCAGGGGCAGGCATGCCCCACCCACGCAGGTCCTTCTGTTCTGATGGCACCTGGACCCCCTGTACTTTTTCATAGAACATACGTTTTTGAGCAACCGATTATTAGGGTGCTGATCTGTTGAACATACCTCCTCATAGAACATGAGCTCCATGAAGGCAGCGCTCCTATGTGCCTTGACCACTCTATGCCCAGTGTCTAGTACAGGGCCTGGCACACAGTAAGAACTCCATAAATCCTTGTTGAGTATGGAAATTAATGCTCTTTGGGGCACAGAATTCAAGGGCTGGCATGAGAGGTGGGCAGGGAGAAAGTCCTGGGGCTCTACTTAGAGCTAATGTGGAACTGGTGGAAAAGTTGTTTAAATTTCAGACGGGCACTTTGGGAGGCTGAGGCGGGTGGATCACTTGTGGTCAGGAGTTCAAAAACAGCCTGGTCAACATGGTGAAACTCCGTCTCTACTAAAAATACAAAAATTAGCTGGGCACAATGGCGGATGCCTACGGTCCCAGCTACTCAGGAGGCGGAGGCACCAGAATCGCTTGAACCCAGGAGTTGGAGGTTGCAGTGAGCTGAGATTGTGCCACTGCACTCCAGCCTGGGCGACAGAGTGAAACTCTGTCAAAAAAAAAAAAAAATTCAGAAGGAAACTCCTCACCACTTATATTCATAACCGCAATTTGGACTTACTAACTGGCAAGTCTAATGGACACATATTCCAAGGGGAGCTTCCCTGAGAGTTCCATCCTGGGCTGGTGTTATAATAAGGTGGTTGGCTCCTCGTCCCCCTTGTCATTCTTTGGGTGAATAGCTTGGTGCATATAGAAAGCAGCCATTTCCCTCCTACTTTCACCCTTCACATTGTGGACACTGAGCCTGTTTGTTTGTTTTGAGACAGGATCTCGCTCTGTCACCCATGCTGGAGTGCAGTGGCACAATCTTAGCTCACTGCAACCTCTGCCTCCCAGGCGATTCTCCAAGTAGCTGGGACTACAGATGTGAACCACCACGCCCAGCTAATTTTTGTATTTTTTGTAGAGATGGGGGTCTTGCCATGTTGCCCAGGCTGGTCTTGAACTCCTGAGCTCAAGCTATCTGCCTGCCTCGGCCTCCCAAAGTGCTGGGATTACAGGCATGAGCCACTGGGCTGAGCCCCCTAAGCCTATTGTAACCCATAATTGGAATGGTGAGTTTTTGGAATATAAATTGAGACAGTGACAATTTTTTAAAAAAGTAATCAACAACTAATATTTATTAAGTGCTTTATTTGTAGTAGACATGTATTATTTTATTTTATTTCTTTTTTTGTGTGTGTGTGAGATGGAGTCTCACTGTTATTGCCCAGCCTGGAGTGCAATGAATGGCACGATCTCAGATCACTGCAACCTCCATCCATCTACTGGTTTCAAGCGATTCTCCTACCCCAGCCTCCTGAATAGCTGGGATTACAGGTGCTTGTCATCATGCCTGGGCTAATTTTTGTATTTTTAGGAGAGATGGGGTTTCACCATGTTGGTCAGGCTGGTCTTGAACTCCTGACCTCAGGTCATCTGCCCGCCTCGGCCTCCCAAAGTGTAGGGATTACAGGAGTGAGACACTGCGCCTGGCCTATTTTAAATAAATCTATGGTAATTCCAGGCGTTAGGGTACTTTTATTATTTCCATTTCATAGACAAATGAACTGGGTTTCGGAGAAATTAAGTATCTTGCTCATGGACACATTGTAAGTAACTGGTAAAACTGAGATTCAAGTTCACATCTGTTTGGCACAAGCACCCAAACACTTAACTTTTGTTCTATATTGCCAAAGGATTGTAGAATTCTATGAATGATTTCTTACTGACTGATGGTCTTTTGAAATTTCATTTACACTTTCACCTGAAGTGCCTTTTGAAACTGTCATCTTGAAGTGCCCCCGAGGGAGGGAGGCACTTTTCTTTCGGTATCAGGAGATCACTGAAACCCAAAATCTGCGTTCACCCTTCCATGTTTGAGTAAGTGCAGGCCTTGCCCTAAACTTTCTTGATTTTACAGGGACATTTTCTGGAAGCCAAAGCAACAACAACAACAACAAAACAGAAAAAACCCCTTGACTATACAGAGAAGGCAGTTTGTAAAGAAATAGGAAAAAAAATACACAGGAATTTATCGAATTTAAATTCTATTTAAACTGTGTTGAAAGCCTCTAAGTCTGATGCTTGTCAAAGGACTTTGACCAAAACAGAAGGGTAGATTTTAAAAAGTATTCCACAGGGTAAGGTTTGGGTGAGAAAAAAGTCATCGAAACGTAGACCTAAATTAATAAACAAGAGGCTTTTCTCAGCTACATGGTCCTGACAAAACTGTTTTGAAGTCTGTCTATGTGTTCTAGAATCCTTGTTAATCGCTAATCAAGAACAATCCCTCATACAGATCTTTAAATTAAAAAGCCTGAATTAAATAAAACACCAGGTAAAGACTTTCTGCTACCAAAATTGTTCAAAGCCTGACTTAATTGATGAGAGCTGATCCTTATTCACTTTTTGCCTTAACTGTAGAGAGAAAAATAAAAATTTCCATGCGTGTGCATGCAAATGTCTAACATTATTATGTATTAGTTTTTTGAATGTAAAAAAATAAGAAAAACAGAAATGACACATAATCTCACTCTCCAGAAAACTCCTTTTTTTGTTGTTGTTTTTTGTTTTGAGACAGAGTCTCATTCTGTTGCCCAGGCTGAAGTGCAGTGGCATGGTATCGGCTCACTGCAACCTCCACCTCCTGAGTTCAAGTGATTCTCGTGCCTCAGCCTCCTGAGTAGGTGGGACTATAGGCGCCTGCCACCACGCCTGGATAATTTTTGTATTTTTTGGTAGAGACGGGGTTTCACCATGTTGACCAGGCTGGTCTCAAACTCCTGACCGCAAGTGATCCCCACATCTCGGCCTCTCAAAGGCTGGGATTACAGGTGTGAGCCACAATGCCCAGCCTCCTGTATTTGTTTTTATTAGAGTAATACATGTACCTGGCAAAAAAAAATAAACTATGCAGGAAGATATAAAATGAAAAACAAAAGCTCTTTCCTACCACCACCCAGTTCCTCTCCCAGATCATCACATTACTTTTCTTCTGCATCTGTCCAGAAGAATAAGGTGTATATATACATTAAAATGCATATCATGAAATATATAGTCTTTTAAAAGAATTTTACTATATCCACTTAAACTTTGCTTTTTCATATATAATTATTCGTATTACTCTAGAATGTATTTCCTACAGACATTTCCCTACATAACCATGACACAGTGATCAAAATCAGAAAATTAATAACAATACACTACTCCCATCTAATTCTCACATTACTCAAGTTTTGTCAGTTGCCCCGATAGTGGCTTTTACAGCAAAAGGATACAATTCAGAATCACAAGTTGCATTTAGTTGTCATGTCTTTTTATTCTGCTTCAGTCTGGAGCATTTTCTCAATCTTCTCTTGAATGATCTTTATACTCAGGCTGGAGTACAGTGGTGTGATCTTGGCTCACTGTAATCTCTGTCTCCTGGGCTCAAACCATCCTCCCACGTAGCTGGGACCACAGGCACGCACCACCACACCCAGCTAATTTTTTTTTTTGTATTTTTTTGTTAGAGACGGGGTGTCGCCATTTGCCCAGGCTGGTCTCGGACTCCTGGCCTCAAGAGATCCTCCTGTCTCAGCCTCCCAAAGCACTAGGATTACTGGCATGGGCCACCATGCCTGGCCGATGCTGGTTTCTTCTCCTCGCCTCCCCTCAGGTGGTATGCCATTTCTGTTTGTCTCATTACTGATGAAGCTCACTCTGGTCACTTGATTAAGGTGGTGTTTGCCAAGCTTCCCATCTGTAAAGTTATTATTTTTTTCTCTTTGTAATTAATAAGTACTTTGTGGAGAGGAATTTGAAACTAAGTATGCCATTGTGCAGTAAACTTTTAATTAATTAATTAATTAATGTCTTTTGGACTCATGGTTTCTATTTTATTCAGTGGGTTGTTCCCGCCATCACTTATTTTGATACTCAAATATCAAATCAAATTTTGATACTCTCGCCTTCCCTTGAAAACTTAACAGCCATTGCTTTGTCCAATAGAAGCTAGCTTATATGTCATTTGACATGCTCCTATTGTATTTTAGGACCTTCCTTATTGTTGCTGTGGCACAGAAAGATGATTCAAATTCATCTTTTACTTTCCCTGCTGGTACTGAAATCAGCCATTTCTCCAAGGGACCCTGGTTCCTTTGAGTGGAAAATGGCATTCAGAAGCCAAGATCTTAGTGGTAGATGTGTCTGTTGATATTGGGACATTGCTGCCTCAAGCCCTCCTAGTGGACAAAGCTACATACATCCATACAGGTCTATGTCCGTTTCTATATCTATTTATATGTGTATTAAACTGTAGTTCACACCAATAACTTCAATTCCAATCTAACACCACGAAATTTATTCTAGGTGTCTCTCTTTTTGTATTTGTAACTCTTTTTTCCAACAGTGTGAAGTCTGGCGTCCATTAGTCTTAACATACTACTTAATTAATCCTTTGTATGTAATCAACATCGATATTGATATTGATTGATCAGTATCAATCAATATCCAATCTCTGCTGCCATGTCCTCTCTAGCACTAATGTCTGTCTTCTTCTACTTGGGCTCTGATACTTCATGCTGGGCTGCACCATCATGGCCTTTCTTTTTGCCCTGTTGGGCTCTGACTCCACTTGGTGGGCCATAACCCCTAACACTGCCATGGATGCCCTCCTAATCCCATTCAGGCTTTGACTCCACATACCAGGCTATCCTCCACCTAGAACCCTCCTCATCCTGCTTTGGCTCTGATGCTCCAGGTTAGACTACCTCATTCCCTATGCCTTCCTCTTCCTGCTCAGCCCTGACTCCCCACACCAGGCTTCCCATCTTTATGGATACCCTCCTCCCCCAGCTTGGGATCAGGCATCTCGTGCTAAGCAGCCCTTCTCCATGGACCCCGCTTCACGCTGCTCAGGACCACCATAGTGCCACTCCACCACCAATGGCGGCTGGGCCCAAGAAAGAACATGCAGATATTCTATTCTTTAAGTTCTTTTATATTTGAAAATGTCTGTCTTTTATCTTTATATTTGAACATCTTGGGTTGTTAAAATATTTTTGGTTTTCACTTTCTTTCTCTTAGAACCTTGTAGATTGTGCTCTATTGTCTCCCAGCATTACGTTTCTGTGAAGAAGCCTGAGCCCAACATAAATTATGTTGCAAGTTGGGTGCGATGGCTCACACCTGTAATCCCAACACTTTAGGTGGCTGAGGCGGGTGGATCACTTGAGGTCAGGGGTTCAAAACCAGCCTGGCCAACATGGCGAAACCCCATCTCTACTAAAAATACAAAAATTAGCTGGGTGTGGTGATGCATGCCTGTAATCCCAGCTACTCGGGAGGCTGAGGTGGAAGAATCACTTGAACCTGGGAGACAGAGTTTGCAGTGAGCCGAGATCACGCCACTGCACTCCAGCCTGGGCGACAGAGTGAGACATTGTCTCAAAAAAAAAAAAGTTATATCCCCCTGCCCATTCCCCAAGATATTTTCATATTTCTGCATGGATAACCAGGCTCTAGTTAGGAAACATAAGCCACAACAATCATTTTACCAGAGAGAATTTATTCTAGAGAGCTGTTAACTAGGTAACTGAAAAGACAGATAAAGAACACTTGGTGATGTGGAGGTAGCAATGCAGGAGGCAGATGCTAGCATTAAGACTGCGGAAACAAAGGGAAGAACTTGGAAGTATCAAAACATAGAGCCTGGGGGAGGACCTCAGACCTCTGGGAAAGGGGGCTTTGGCAGTCTGGTGCTGGTGTTTCTGGGGCAGAGGGTAGGGTGTAACGAGACTGGTTCCATGAATTTGGAAAAACTGCAAACTAGACCCAACTGATGCTAGAAGAAACTGCTGGGGTGAAAAAGAAACACTGGGTGATGCTGACAGTGATATGACAATAAGAAGCAGACAGGGGGTAAGTCCCCTCTTCATCCTCCAGCCTTGTAGCCTCTCTCTATTGCCTCCTATTGGCAGAACTTCCCCCAGCTGGCAAGAAGAAACTTTTGCAGAGTCCTCATTGTAACATCACAAAGCCAAATAGAGAGAGTGGGTTTGAAACTGAGAAACAACAGCTTAACTGGAACAACACTTTAACTAAACTATATCTTGGTCTTGAGTATTAAGCTAACCTCCCACCTCAGTCTCCTGAGTAGCTGGGGCTACATGCGTGTGCCACCATGCCTAGCTACTTTTTGTATTTTTGTAGAGACGGCGTTTCGTTGGCCAGGCTGGTCTTGAATTCCTGACCTCAAGTAATCCGCCTGCCTCGGCCTCCCAAAGTGCTGGGATTATAGGTGTAAGCCACTGCCCTGGCCTCTTGAGTAACATTTTATTGTAGGTCAGAATCTTTGTCCCTCTTTTGCATTCGGTTTTATTTATTTATGCTATACTTCAAGCGTGTGATTGCCATGTCCTTTATTTGAGTGACTCAGTGCAGACATTCTATTTGTCTGACATTGATGACAGACTATTCTCCTGTATCTTGATTCTATTTTCAAAAAGTGAAATGACTATTTTTACCCGAAACAACATAGCCACGAATTTCTCCTCCTCCTCCTCTTCCTCTTATTTTTCCCCTCCTCCTCCTCCTGTCCTCCTTCCCCTCCTCCTTCTTCTCCCCCAACTTTTTTCTTCTTCTTCCTCCTCCTTTTTCTTCTCCTTTTCCCCTTCTACTTCTCCTCTTGTTTCTCCTTGTTTTTTCTCTTCCTCCTCCTCCTTTTGCTTCTCAGTTTCTCTTCTTCCATCTTCTTCCCCAACCTCCTAATTTACCCCTTGACCTTACTTTGTTTTTAGACTTTTTTCCTCTCCACCTTCTCCTCTTTCTTCCTCATCATTCTAAGTAAATTTTATGCCAATTTTCTTCTTTACGAACTGAAAACCCAAGTTTCCCATGTCAACATTTTATATACGAATAAGCATAGTTTTATTTGTAAAATCAATTTGTAATTTTTTTAAAAGGGGTTTTTATAGAATTAAGATAGTATTTTGGCCAGACCCAGGACTACTGGAATCCTGTCATCAACTACACAAAATCTCTAAGGGAGAGACACATAAAGAAACAGGAGATAAATGTCAAAGAAAAAATAACATATCATAGGACTTATATCCCAAGTCCCCACAGGCCTGTCTTGTAAACTTGACTGGAGCAATGACCAAGGCTAAAGAGCCTTAGGGCATGTTTTTCTCCTCCTTAGCCCAACACCAAATCCTGGGTCTCACCACGCTTTGGTCCACAGGAGCAGGAAACTGTCATAATGAGCATGCCTGTGTGTAAATGCGGGGAGACGATGTTGTCTACACTGACTCCCTACTGCTCCAGTCATATGGAAGGAAGCAATGGAATAGAAGGGCCATAGTTACGACCTCTGAATATATGTTGATCCTGCCCATCAGTAAACTTGGCCCAATTGGCATGACTCCAGAGGGACAGCGAAGCAGGGAGGAAAAGGGGATGTAAAGGATTGTCTTGAATGCATATCTTGCCCTAGAGCCCCATGCTGCTTTCTGGGATCAGGACTAATAGAAGATCACAATTATATTGACTCTTCATGAGCCTTTGACTACATGGTTACGGATCCACATGCAACACTTGCATCTTAATGGTAAGAGTGGAGGCTGGGAGAAATGGCTCCCCCTAGGCCAAATACTACTGTGAGTGACACAAAACAGGACTCCGTTTTGAAGAGCCTCATTCTCTCAAACACCTTTGTGGTCTGAAACTGCTTTTGGATAATGTGGATGTGTGCCTCCCTGCCACAGGTGTTGGAAGTGTGAGTACTTACGTAGGCTGATGGCAATGGGTGGATTGGATGAGGGGCGTCTTCAGGAATCAGTTGATATGGTTATCTAACTGCTAACATAAAGAAGCTCCACATAGCCTGCTCTAAAAGTTATAGCATAGTTCTGGAGATGCCTTTTAAAATTTGTTTATTTCTGTATAATTGTTTTATAGAACAAGTAATTTTAAGCAATAAAGAATAATGGAAAGGACATGGGTTTTGGTGCCAGAAAGAACTGAGTTCTCACTGTGGCTTTGGCATATACAGCTCTGTGAACTGGGTGATTACTTAACTATTAGGAGCTCTAATTACAGTTTCTTTAACTGCAAAATGATGGGCAATAATAATGTAGTCTAAAAAACTAAAATCTACCACGCAAAAAAAAAAGTGGGCCGGGCGCGGTGGCTCACGCCTGTAATCCCAGCACTTTGGGAGGCCGAGGCGGGTGGATCATGAGGTCAGGAGATCGAGACCATCCTGGCTAACAAGGTGAAACCCCGTCTCTACTGAAAATACAAAAAATTAGCCGGGCGCAGTGGCGGGCGCCTGTAGTCCCAGCTACTCGGGAGGCTGAGGCAGGAGAATGGCGTGAACCCGGGAAGCGGAGCTTGCAGTGAGCCGAGATTGCGCCACTGCAGTCCGCAGTCCGGCCTGGGCGACAGAGCGAGACTCCGTCTCAAAAAAAAAAAAAAAAAAAAAAGTGGTGGTGGTGGATTTTTAAAAAATTCACATAGCTGACAGCCTGTTGGAGAAACATCTGAGAATTTTCACCTGTAGCAACATATGTGGGGCAAAAGTTGTATTGACCTTTTCTTAAATTTGGATTTTGTGAAGAGGCATATCAGTTTACCATAGATTCTTGGCTACCGAGACTTATATAAGACCTGCATTTTATATTTTTATTTTTTAAAAAAAGAAACAGGGTCTCACTGTGTTGCTCAGGCTGGTCTCAAATTCCTGGGCTCAAGCAATTCTCCTGCCTCAGTCTCCCAAAGTGCTGAGGATTACAGGCATGAGCCACCACGCCCAGCCTAAGACCTGCATCTTAATGAATGCAGAGTTGGTAGATACATTATTTCCCTCTGTAAAATCCTAGGTAAGGGTTCATGTGCCCATCTGATGTCCCAATTATTTTGGCCAGTAATTAGAATATATTAATTAATCAAGCAAGAAATTTATTCTGGCAAGATCACCAAGAGTGATTTTTCTAAAGCCAGATGTTCTAGTGGGAGCCCCAAGATAATATATCTGTTTGGAATATATTAGCCACAGAGAAATCACCTTTAATTATTCATATAGTAGAGATATCCTAGACCTATTTCTGAGAAAAACTGTGGCTGTGCCTGAAGATTGGCCCACCTCAGTATAGGCATTGACCAGGAGAGAAAAAGGGTCAGGCTTCTCCATTTCTATTGAGGAAATACTCCCTCATCCCCAGCTTTTTCATTTTCTATGTTTAGTTCTAAAATATGTGGCTTTACCACAGGCATCACATTACCCAACTTCAAACTATACTACAAGGCTACAGTAACCAAAACAGCATGGTACTGATACAAGGAGACACATTAGACCAATGGAACAGAATAGAGAACCCAGAAATAAAGCTGCACACCTACAACCATTGGATCTTTGACAAAGGCTACAATAATAAGAAATGGGGAAAGGAGTCCCTATTCAAAAAATGGTGCTGGGATAGCTGGCTAACCCTATGCAGAAGATTGAAACTGGACCCCTAACTTTCACCATATACAAAAGTTAACTCAAGATAAATTAAAGACTTAAATGTAAGACCTAAAACTGTAAAAATCCTAGAAGAAAAGCTAGAAAATACCATTCTGGACATTGGCCTTGGCAAAGAATTTATGACTAAGTTTCCAAAAGCAGTTACGACAAAAATAAAAACTGACAAAAGGGACCTGATTAAACTAAAGGGCTTCTGCACAGCAAAAGAAACTATCAACAGAACAAACAGACAACCTATAGAATGGGAGAAAATATTCACAAACTATGCATCCAACAAGGGTCTAATATCTAGAATCTATAAGGAACTTGGGCAATCTGACAAGCAAAGACCAAATAACCCCATTAAAAAGTGGGCAAAGGACATGAACAGACACTTCTCAAAAGAAGACATACAAGTGGCCAACAAACACGAAAAAATGCTCTCAACATCACTAATCATTGGAAAAATGCAAATCAAAACCACAGTGAGATACCATCTCATGCCAGCAAGGAAAGCTACTATTAAGAAGTCAGAAAATAACAGATGTTGGCAAGGCTGCAGAGGAAAGGGAACGTTTACACACTGTTGGTCGAAATGTAAATTAAAATGTAAATGTAAAATGTAAAGTTCAGTCACTGTGGAAAGCAGTTTGGAGATTTTTCAAGGAACTCAAAACACAACTACCATTTGACTGCACAATCTTATTACTGGGTATATACCCAAAAGAAAATAAGCAGTTCTACCAAAAAGTCACATGCACTCATATGTTCATTGCAGCACTATTCACAACAGCAAAGACTTAGAATCAACCTAGGTGCCCATCAACAGTGGAGTGGATGAAGAAAATGTGGTACATATACACCATGAAATACTACACAGCCATAAGAAAGAACAAAATCTTCTCCTTTGCAGCAAAATTGATGAAGCTAGAGGTCATTATCCTACGTAGATTAACACCAGAACAGAAAACCAAATACCACATGTTTTCCGTTACAAGTGAAAGCTTAACACTGGGTACATATGGACAGGGAAAAATAGACACTGGGGACCACTAGATCGGGGAGAGAGGGAGAGGAGCAAGGGTTGAAGAACTAACTATTGGTAATAGTAATGCTCACTACCCGGGTAATGGGATCATTTGTATCCCAAACCTCAGCATCATTCAATATACTCATTTAACAAACCTGTACATCTACTTCCTGAATCTAAAATAAAAGTTGAGGCTGGGCACGGTGGCTCATGTCTGTAATCCCAGCACTTTGAGAGGCTGAGGTGGGCAGATCACCTGAGGTCAGGAGTTCGACACCAGCCTGGTCAACATGGTGAAACCCCACCTCTACCAAAAATACAAAAATTAGCCAGGCATGGTGGCGGGCAGCTGTAATCCCAGCTACTTGGGAGGCTGAGACAGAAGAATTGCTTAAACCTGGGAGGTCGAGGTTGCAGTGAGCCGAGATCACACCATTGCACTCCAGCCTGGATAACAGAGCGAGACTCTGCCAAAAACAAAACAAAACAAAACAGAACAAAACAAAACTGGCCTCACCCTTTATAAGCAATACAGTGAACATGTAGCTCAGGACCTTACTAGACACCATACCCTTGACCTGTATATTTTCCAACCTATACATATGGTTTAGTTAAAAAGAATGATTCTTACGGAGGGTCGGTTGAAAGGAAATGTAGTCTATTTCTTCCTAAGGATAGTTTAGGCCTTCCTTGATGTAATAAAAAAAGAGTTATGATATCAACCATGGGCACCAGAATTCCTCATAGGAAAAGAAATGTCTTGTTTGAACAAATAACTTGACAGGTTCTTCAAAATTGGAAAATTGTTGGCCATATCTCATCAAAATTTTTTTTTCTGTTTTCCCTCGTTTTCTCCTTCAGGGAATCTAATTACACATATATTAGGTGGCTTGAAGTTGTCCTGCACCTCACTAATACTCTTTTCTTTCTTTCTTTCTTTTTTTTTTTTGGAGAAGGCATCTCACTCTATCACCCAGGCTGAAGTGCAGTGCAACCTCCACCACCCAGGTTCAAGCATTCTCCTTCCTCAGCCTCCCGAGTTGCTGGTATTACAGGCACACGCCACCACACCTGGCTAATTTTTTTATATTTTTGGTAGAGATGGTGTTTCACTATTTTGGCCAGGCTCGTCTGGAACTCCTGACCTCAAGTGATCCATCCACCTTGGCCTCCCAAAGTGCTGGGATTACAGGCGTGAGCCACCACGCCCAGCTTTTTCATTTGTTTTATTACTTTTTTTCCCCTCTATGTCTCACCTTGGATAGTTCCTATTGCTATGCCTTCAAGTGCACTACTTTTTTCTTCTGTGATGCCTAGTGTGCTGTTAATTCCATTCAATGTAATTTTCATCTCAGATGTTGTAGTTTTCATCCCTGGAAATAATTTGGGTCTTAAAAAATGGGGTCTTTTACACAAGAAGGGGAACATCACACTCTGGGGACTGTTGTGGGGTGGGGGGAGGGTGGAGGGATAGCATTAGGAGATATACCTAATGCTAACTGACGAGTTAATGGGTGCAGCACACCAGTATGGCACATGTATACATATGTAACTAATCTGCACATTGTGCACATGTACCCTAAAACTTAAAGTATAATAATAATAAAATAGAAAAAAAGGGTCTTTTATAATTTGAGACTTATTGAATCTCTCTTTCTCCCTCTCCCTCTTTTTCACACACACATGAAATTGAGGCTTTTGGTGGTTAAATAACTTGCTGAAGGCCTCAGACTGATGAGTGAATAGGATTCAGACCCAGGCTGCAGGATTCCAAGGCCTGTGCTCTGTTGGTTGTTCTGTTCATTATGGGTCATTTTGCTCTGCCTCTCTGAGTGCCTGGTAATATTTGACTGAATGAGGATATTGTGAATTTTACTTTGCTGAGTGGTAGATATTTTTGTTTGCCTATAAATATATTGGGAAGCAGTTAAGTTAGTTGGAAGCAGTTTGACCTTTTTGGGTCTTGGTTTTATGATTTGTTAGATGGGTTCGGAGCAGTAGACAAATCATAAAACCAAGACCCAGTGTAGTGGAAATAATTAGCCTTAGGCTGAACAGTCTAAGGCTAATTATTCTCACCACTAAGGCAAGAACTTCCTGAGTTCCCTATCCAATACCCTGTGAATTACGAGTTTTTCTAGTCTGGTTTATGGGAATAGGCCCTGCTTCTAGCCCTATTTGAATGCTAGACACTGTTTCCCACGAATGCTTTCAGATGATTCTCTGGCCTCAGGTAGCTCCTTTATACACAGGCACTCATTACTTATTGAATACTTGAGGGGGTCCCTCTGCACATAGCTGGATTCTTTACCTGATGTAGCTCTTTCCTCTGTCTTGTGAACTTTAGCTGCCTTGGACTGTCTCCTCAACTTACATTTTTGCTATGTTGTGTTTTCAATATCATTCAGATCTAAGTATTTTCTAATTTCCCTTGTGATATCTTCTTTTACCCAGGATGTTTTTAGAAGTGTGTTGTTTAATTTCCAAATATTGGGATGTTTTCCAGATATCTTTTTGTCTTTATTTTCCAATATAATTCTGTGGTCAGGGAACATATTGTATATTATTTTAACTTTTAAAAATTTATTGAGATTTACTTACTAAGACTTATTGTTGGGCCAGGGGCGGTGGCTCACGCCTGTAATCCCAGCACTTTGGGAGGCCAAGGCAGGCGGATCATGAGGTCAAGAGATCAAGACCATCCTGGCCAACATGGTGAAACCCTGTCTCTACTAAAATTACAAAAATTATCTGGGCATGGTGGCAGGCACCTGTAGTCCCAGCTACTCGGGAGGCTGAGGCAGGAGAATCACTTGAACCTCACTTGAACCAGGGAGGTGGAGGTTGTTGTGAGCTGAGATTGCACCACTGCACTCCAGCCTGGTGACAGAGCAAAACTCCATCTCCATCTCAAAAAAAAAAAAAAAAAAAAGACTTATTGTTTTATGGTTTAGCATATGATCTGTCTTGATGAATGCTCCATATATACTTGAGAACAATGTGTATTCCCCAGATGTTGGATGTAGTGTTCTGTAAATGTCTACAAGGTCAAGTTAGCTGGCAGTGTTGTTTGTGTCCTCTATATCCTTAGCTGATTTCCTGTTCTATCAATTGCTGAGAGAGAAGAGTTGAATTCTCTAATAATAATTATGAATTTTTAAAGTTTGTCTTTCAGTTCTACTCATTTTTTCTTTTTATATTTTAAAGCTATATAATGAAATGTCCTCTTGATGAGTTGTCCCTCTTATCATTATGAAATGTCCTTCTTCATCCTTGGTAATATTTCTTGTTTTAAAATCGTTTTTGTCTGATATCCACAGAGCCACTTCAGCTTTCCTTTGATTAGTTTTTATATGGTATATCTTTATTTTCCCTTTTATATGTGACTGTGATAAGTTAAAGATACATTTTATAAACCCTAGAATAATGAATAAAAACTATAGGAAAGATGTATAGCAAATGATATAAAATTAGACATAACGGAAAAATTTAATAAATAATTGGAAATTATAAAAAGAATTAAGTTAAAATTATGGAAATGAAAAACACCATAACAAATTAAAACACTAAGGATGATTAATAGCAGATTAGACACAGCTGAAGAAAGAATTAGTCAGCTAGAAGATAGGCCCAGAAAAAAATATCTAAGACTGAAGTTTAGAGTGACAAAAGTAAGTAAAAAGAAAAAACAATTTTATTGTTAATGTCAAACTTTTAAACTGAATTTTCAGTAACATTCACAATAATTTCCAATGTTTTACCTCCTACAGAGTAAGCTTCTAAAAGCTTTACTTTGACTTCATGAGTTAGATGAAAACATTGAGCTAGTATTAAAATTAAATTAACTGTTACTCTTTTCTTATACCAGCCATAATTCTATAACTCATGTCCATCTTAATAAATAGTAAAAAAAAAAACCTTACCCTGTGAATTTGGAAACTAAAAACGCACTGCCAAATACCTCAAGGGTTAAAGAAGATATCCCAGTGGAAATTAAAAAACATTTAGATCAGACAAAGGTAAAAATATTACGTATCAAGTCTTATAAAATGAAGCTAAAGTGATGCTTAGGGGTAAATTTAGAGCATCAAATACATATATCAAGGTACATTATACTGGAAGTTCTAACCAATACAATTAGACAAGAAAAATAAACTGAGACATATAAGAACAGAAAGTAAGAAAGCAAATGGCCTTTATTTGCGGACAATATAATAGTCTACATATCCAAGGAAGACCAGAAGAAAATGATTAGAATGAGAGAATTCAGCAACACTATTACATGGAAAACCAATATACACAAAACAAGCTCCTGTTCACACTTACAACAACATTATAAAGTACTGAGGAATAAATCTAGCAAGAAGAGTACCAAACCTTTAAGGGACAAATTATAAAACATATGACAGTCTATAAAAGATGACCCAAAATAAATGAAAACATTTGCCATACTTGTAAGTTTGTAGACTCAGTATCTCAAATATATAAGTTTTATCCAAATAAACCTATACATTTACTGTTATCTCAATCAAATTCTAATAGAGATTTTCACTGACCTTGAAAAACGAATTCCCAAATTCACAAGAAAGAGAAAAGTACTCAGAATAACTAACATGCTTATGAGGGAGGATAGAGTGGAGCGTTTATTTTACCAGCTATCAAGATTTATTTATATATTTATTTATTTAGTCAGTTAGTTATGATGGAGTCTCGCTCTCTCACCCAGGCTGGAGTGCACTAGTGCGATCTTGGCTCACTGCAACCTCTGCTGCCTGGGTTCAAGTAATTCTCCTGCCTTAGCCTCCTGAGTAGCTGGGATTACCTTTGCCCGCTACCACACCTGGCTAATTTTTGTATTTTTAGTAGAGATGGGGTTTCACCATGTTGACCAGGCTGGTCGTCTTGAACTCCTGACCTCAGTTGATCCGACAACCTTGGCCTCCCAAATGCTGGGATTACAGGCGTGAGACACCATGCCCAGCCGAGATTTATTATGAGACCATAGTAATTAAGATAATGTAGCAGTGTTTGTCATTACATGTCTAGTGTCCAGTGACAGACACGTAGACCAATAGAATACAGTTGAAAGCCCAGAAAAAGAAGCAGGCACATCTGTTTAACTTGATATATGAAAGCAGCAGCAATGAAGGGGAAAAGGATGGAAAATTAATTTCCATACAAAAATTATGGAGATAATGTATACAAAAATGAATTCCAGGTTGATTAAAGTCCGAAACTGTAAAAAACAAAACGTTAAAACTTCTAGAAAAAAAATAAGGAGTATGTCTCGGAGGAGAGATGGATGTCTTAAATAAGATTTTTAAAAAGCACAAATAGATAAATTTGATTAAAATATTAGTTAAAATTCTGCTCAAAAAAGACACTATAGGCAAACTTAAGAGGCAAACCACAGCCAAAGACTTTGGGGGACCCCTTTGCAGATCTCTGAGAGTCCTTGTCTCTGTCCAGCTCCCTTCTCTCTGGTATTTTGTCCGTAAATTCTAGCTTCCTGGGCTTCCCTGAACTTAAATTCTGACTCCTCAATTTGACTGCTGGGCTCTTTCTGGGTTTTCCCTCCTGTGCTGGAACTCGGGGAACTCACCCAGGCAATAAGCCAGGCAATCCTAGAGAGCTCTTCATTTTACTTCCTTCCTTCAGGGATCACTATTCTGTACTACCTTTGCCCATTGTTTTAGATGGTTTGTTGGTTTTCTAGTTATGAAAGTAGGAAAGTAAACCTGGTCCCTATTATTCCACCATGGCCAGAAGTGGAAGTGGTCCTAACATAATTTTCATAAAGTTTGAAAACATGTAAAACAATGCTATATATCTCTATATCTACATAGATATATAGAATTTGTTAAAAATATGAAGTAATGGTATAAAAAAGGTGTACAGCAGAGATAAACACCAAATTTGGGAGGGTATTTACTTGGAGGGAGAGATAGGAGAGGACTACTCTGAAATTGAGCTACTTTATAAGTAAGAAAGGCAGCATTTTAGAATTCTTTGAAAAATTACTAGTAGGCACATGGCTGTTCTTCATGCTATTTTATGTACTTCTTGTATGCATGAAATATTTTATAATAAAAATTTAAAAGTATTAAAAAAAAGACTAAAGAATATTAGGTAAAGGAGCATCCCAGAAAGATCAAAAGGTAAAATAGAGTAATTGTTTCTGCAACCTGCCTAAGTCAGAAGGCACTGTGTAGAAGACACAAAAAAGTAACAGTGGAGACATAACATCTCCTTCCCTCACCTCAGGGTCTCTGGAAGGCCTGTGATTTCCCTGCTGGTGCTTTCCTACTGGTATTTCCTACTTTTGGACAGACTTTTCTTTGATGAAACCCTTCAAACCCCAGCTTCCACAAACACCACCAGTATCACTATGACGCTGTGTTGACATCTGTCCGTCCACCTGTGAGTCACTAACCCTTAGTTCTTGAAGATTTGAGTCCTTGGGTCACTGTCCCTCTCTCTGTCATCCACAGAGATGATCTTCTTTGACCTTGGCCTCTTAGTTCCTTGCACTCCTTTCCTCTAATTACTGTCTCTTGCTTGGATATTGCAGTAGCCTCCTGACTGGTCCCCCTTCTCCAGCATCATTCCCTACTTCGTCAATTCTTAACACAGTAGCCAGCCAGAGACATCCTTTTAAAACATTGGGTCATGCCCTTTATCTGCTCCAAGTCCTCAAGTGACTCCCCATCTCACTCAGAGGAAAAGCCAAGCTCCCCTCATTGTCTTCAGAGCACTACATTATTTGGCTCCTGGTACCTCCTCTCCTGCTGCCTTCCTGCTCATGACCCAGGGCTCCTGGATGCTTCTGGAACCTGCTAGGCATGCTCCTGCCTCATTTGTACCTACTGCTCCCTCTGCCTAGACATTTTCACTCTAGATACCTCTAAGGCTTGTTTCTTCTCTCACCTCCTGGTATGGTTTGGCTGTGTCTTCACCCAGATCTCATCTTGAATTGTAGTTCCCATAATCCCCATGTGTTGTGGGAAGGACCTGGTGGGAGGTGATTTAATCATGGGGGTGGGTACCCTCTTGCTGTTCTCCTGATAGTTAGTAAGTTCTCATGAGATTTGATGGTTTAATAAGGGACTTTCCCCGCTTTTGCTTGGCACTCTTCTCCTTCCTGCCGTCATGTGAAGAAGGACGTGTTTGTTTCCCCTTCCACCCTGACTGTAAGTTTCCTGAGGCCTCCCCAGCCATGCTGAACTGTGAGTCAATTAAACCTCTTTCCTTTATAAATTACCCAGTCTCAGGTACGTTTTTATTAGTAGTGTGAGAATAAACTAATACACCTCCTTTAGGTCTTCTCAATTGTCACATTTGTCATAAGACCTTCCTTGACCACTTTATTTAAAACTGCTCTCTCCCTTCACAATGCTTTCTTTCTGCTTAATTTTTTTCTCTAGCATTTACCACCCTCTAATATGGTATATAATTAATTTCTTTATTTAGTTTATTGCCTGTCTCCCTTCACTGGAGGGGCTCTCTATGACTTCCCTGTCTCTCTTGTGGATACAGGAATCATTTGGTTACTCTCATGCCATGACAGCAACTCTTCAAGGTTGTGTGAGGCTCCATGTGGCAAGGCATCCATATGCAATTATTCTTATCTGGGCTCTTGCTGTCTTGGAGCTCAGCCCAGCTCTTGGATCCCACAACTCCATCTGGGAATTCTATTGCCTTCCCGGGGCTCGACTTTGGAGCAGGGAACAAGGTTGCTCTCTCTGGGACCCATCGGCATCTTTGTAACCTGGCCTTTTTCTTTATCTCTTTCATCTCTCTGGGCTGGAGATTTTTTCCTAGTATGATGAGGAGGGTAATTCTTGTTCTGGCTCACTTCTTGTCTATGCTGTGAATTCTTTCCCTTTCTCTAAGGGCCTGGGTTTTTGTAACTTAAAACTGAAGGGAGAGACCCCTTCCCTCTGCATTTGGCTGTCACATTCTGTTCACTGAGTAAATAACCTGGTTGCTAGTGAGAGGAAGGACCAAGAGGCATAGCATGGGCATACCGTTTTTAATGGGAGAATTGTGAAATACTTAAAAAATACAGTTGCACCATTTGATAATACTAATGACAACAACAACAATAATGATATAATTTACATCTATTGAGCATTTAGTGTATGTCAGATCCTCTCCTAAGTGCTCTCTACATGTGGTATCTCTTTTAATTGTCACAACAATCTATGTGTATTTAATATTAGTCTTATTTTCCATCAGAGCAGTTGAAGTTCAGCAAGGTAAAGGGACTTGTGTGTGTCAGGGTCTCACAGCTTGCAAATAGTGGATCTAGGCTTCAGATGCTAGCCTGCACCTAAAGTCTGAGTTCAACCACTGCACCTCCTGGCCTCTTGGCAGTATCCCTGGAGCCTCAGGACACCAAATGGGGAATCACTCCATTCTTCCACACTCCTGGTACCTCATCGGGCAGGAGTGGGGCTGGCCTTCCTGATTCCCTGCCCCGGCAGAGGTGGGTTGTCCGTAGGGTGCCCCCACTGTCAGCCTCTTCCTCAGAACCTGGTTGTCCTTTCTGCTTCTACCATGGCCTATCTCATCTCCTGCAGGTTTCCAACCTCTCTCTCTCTCTCTTTCTTGGTTTGACTTTACAAATAAAATATAAATTTAGCTAAGAGCTCATACCACAAAAAGGGAAGAAGTGGTAAGTACAGGCAGCAAACAGAGCCCAAGGGTTAACACCCTGCTGCCACTGGGTGCATGAGCTTTGCAAAGGGGTGGGGGGACTGAGGGTCCCCGGTCTGTGTTCTTGGACCCTCCAGGTGGCCCCTGACCACCTGGCTCATGCTGAGGCTGGACCTCCCAGGCTCACCCCGACACAGGTAGAGCTTTTTCCAGGTAGAATATGCCTGTGGCTTCAAAAAGACCTCAAACAATCTCTACTATCAGAGGACTATTCCTTTGGATTAACAAGCTCCAAATACCGATAGGCTCACTCTAAAAATTCAGGTGTCAGACATTTTCATCTTAGTATAGCTGGGCTGAATCACTGGGCTCAGAGCAAGGCTCCCAGGGGACAGTTATGTTGGTAGGCAGTGGGAAGGGAGGAGAACTTTGGAACGTGGTGCAGGTGGGTTGATGCAGGGGGCTGTGGGAGGGTGCACAGCTGCATGTCTCTGCAGGTGAGGACTCCATCAGCACCTTGGGCCTGATCCTTGGCGTGGGGCTCTTGCTGCTGCTCGTGTCCATCCTCGGCTACAGCCTGGCCAAGTGGTACCAGCGCGGGTACTGCTGGGAGGGTGAGTGTGCACTGGGCCCTGTAGCCCCGGTTCTGCGCAGCTCCTCCTCTCCCATAGCAGTTGGCAATGCCCGGCAGGGCTGCAAACTCTTCAGCATGGTGGGATGAAAAATATTTCCTGTGGTGGTTGCAGTGGTTGAAGACTTGAGTGGGTGGCTGAGCAGTTGAGGTGGTGAGGTGGGGCAATGGTACTTTTATCGAGGGAATGGGGGCTCCTCCCACCCCAGCAAGCAGCCAGCTTCCTCCTCCCTCAGAGCCCATAGACGTCCATGCCAGCGGTCTCTGTGGGCCCCCAAGGCCAAGATCAATGGGCTAGACAGGCCAAGCTCCAACAGGCTCCTTGTGTGTCTCTGCCCCTGCCTGTGGGTCTTAGGGCCCTCTCCTAAGCTTGTGGAGGTATCAGCTTCACTGGGAGTCTCCTGGAATTTGCTGTGGTGTTCTCAACTCTGAGACATAGCTGCACTTTTCACTGGTATCTGGGAAAACTGGAAGGGTGTGCTGGAATGCCAAGGGGTAGAAACTATTTCCTAGATCTGCACTTAACTTTAACAGAGTCCATGGATATTTGTTGAGCACCTACTATGTGCCAATGCACTTTTGTCTAATATGATTTTCTTTAAAATTCCACATGAGGAAGACATTATTATAGCCTTCATTTTTATAGATGGAGACATGAGGCTAAAGTCGTGGAGTTAGAATGAGGTGGAGTCTGAATCCAAGCTGAGGTCTGGTTCTTTTGGGCTCCAGGCTAGGACTGCCTTCATCCCAGGATAATCAGGACCGTTAATGGGGGGCCCTGAAGGAGGCTGGAATGCTCCCACACCATCCTGAGGTCCAGCCCAGCCACCCTACTCCTCCAGACAGGGGTGAGGGAGCACCAGACGTTCTTAGAAGGGTGGCGGACTGCTTCCCCTGGAGGTGCTAACCCTCTCTTTTTGGATTGTCTTCCTAGGGCCTAATTTTGTCTTCAACTTATATCAAATCCGGTGAGTAAATTCAGGGAATATCTGGGTGAGGTGGGGGTTGGGGGTAGATATAATGGAAAAAGAATCAAAGATAGATTAAGAACTGACTGGTTCCCTTTCCTGTCTTCTGTTCATGCCCCTAAGAAAATAAAAGAAGGGCACGAGAATCCATTTAGAAAAGTCCCATGAATTAAAATTTGAACACAGACAGGACTATGTGAAACCCTGATGACAATGATCTCCTTAACACTCACCCTTAGGCAGGGAACATCCATCCACCCATCCATCCATCCATTCATCCATCCATCCATCCATCCATCCATCCATCCATCCATCCATCCATCTCTCCCCCAAGCAGACAGAGCTGCCTTCCTTTCTTCCTTCCTTTCCTTTCCTTCCCTTCCCTTCCTTCCTTCCTTCTTTCCTTCCTTATCATTTATTCAGAAAGATGCTATCATAACCACCACTACTGCCGTATTAGTTTCAAAGAGTACAAAGATGACTGGGCATAGTCTCTGTCTTCAAGCATTTCATGTCTCTGCTGGAGACAGGTCTGATTACAAATAATGTAATCTCAGGCACAAGATGGTATCAGAAAGAAGAGCATATCAGAAAATCAGGGATTCAGGGAGTGCGAGCTGGAAGTCCTCTTGGCGTTGGTCATCTCATCTACTTGCCACAGGCAGGGCTGTACCTCCTTTGGCCCTGAGAGATGATTATGGTAAGTGGCCCACTTCCTTTTCTGGAAGACAAGTCAGTGAGTTGGTGCCCTGGAGTCAAGGGAGATGGGGACCCAGGGAGAGGCTAGGTTATCAGCTCCAGTAGCCTGATTGGATCATCTTTTTCAGGAACCTGAAGGATCTGGAGATGGGTCCACCCTTCACCATCAGTGGTCACATCAGCAGCACAGATGGTGGCTACATGAAGTTCTCCAACGGGCTAGTCTGATGCAGAGACAGCAACTTGTGAAGCCCTGGGGAGGTGAGTTGGAGTTGGGAGAGCTGCCGAGTGAGCCTGATGTCCAAGTAAGGTCCTAAGAGGGTCCAGTCACCCAAGCCTCGCACCAAGGACCACTTGGAACCCAAAGAGATTATTTGGTTCATCCCCTGTCTTCTGGTGCCGATCTCAGGCTTGGGTCATGTTTTCCCCCACCCGCTTCTGGCACTGGGCCTGCCCTGTTTCCTCCTGTCCACCCAATCCATGCCCGGCCTTTCCTTCCTGGGAAGGTTCTGTTTGCATTCAAGGTGGAAGCTTCTAGAGCACAGCTTTTTATCTTAACTCTTGCTCTGAGATAAAATTTCCAGATGGCCAATATCTCCAAGAAGCATCACTCTAGCACTTCAGTTCTGAGCTTTCTGAGCCCAGGAGCCTCCCCTGCTTCATGGCCCGCCAACTCTGGCCACACGTTCCCTTGCCTGCCTTTAAGCCCATCCCTTCCCCACATCTCAGTTGCTTTTTCCCATTCAAACCATTTCTCTCTTGGGCAGTTCTTGCCCCTCCCAGGCTCCCCTGGACTGCCCTCATCCCCTCGGATCTTCAAGGCCTGGCCTGGCCCCTCATTGTGGAGAATGAGGGGGTCTCCTCTGGATACGCCACCAGCCTATGGTATGGGAGTCCTGGGGAGTCAGGCCTCTGGGAATGGAGTCTGGCTGGGCAGCAGCGGCTTTCTCTCAGAACTAAAAGAGGCCACCATTCCTCAGGAGGAATCTAGATCCCAGGAAGCCCCTGAGCCTGTAGGAGGGGTCACAGATGTCCTGGAGAACCAGCCCTGCCCAGTGCAGTCCAGTGTGGGCAAGGCCTCCAGACACCAGCAGGGAGCTTCTTTATGTAGTATCTCCAGTTACCTGCCCTTGTAGGGTTGACCAGGGGCCAGAAAGCCACTCATAGCTTCAATAAGCAAAGTTATACAGAGGTGATTCCAGACATGGTTTTAACATTCCCACCTGAGGCCAACTTCCCTGAAGACTGAGCTGGGCCTCGACTCTGCCCTGCCCCCTCTGTACTTGATTCCAGCACTTTCAACCCTCCCCCTGCCCCATCCCCAATCTGGGCCTGTTCTCTTACTGCTCAAGGCCTCAGTGCCTCCCAAACATGGCCAACTCCCAATTTTGATGTGCAGTGCTGAGAACAGTCTAGAAACATGTTCTTGTCGCCTAGGCTCCTGCAATGGGCTGGGCACGGGGGAGTGGGTGAGTTCTACATTACAGTGTTCTGCATTTCTTGTGCAAAGCCTGTCCTGTGGCAAAAGTGGGCCAGAAATGGTGGGAGTGTGAAGAGGAACCCAGGCGAGGCTGAACAAACCAGATAATGCACCAGGGAAACCAGGAATCCACTGTAGTTTGGTAGACAGCAGGGCAGTTCCCCTCGTGAGTCATCACTCCTTTCTCCGGTCTGTGCCCTGCTGGACTGGAGGCAGAGTGTGCACAGGACGTCAGCTTAGAAGGTGCTTAGTGCAGACTTGTTCAAACCAGAGAGGCAGAGTCCTCGGGGCTCCTGTGGATGGAGTAGGGCAAGAGAAGGGAGCCTGTCACTGCTGAAACCTGCAGTTAGAACAGCCAGCTGCCAGCCTCTCTGCTAGCAGCCCAGCAACAGATGCAGGAGCCCAATAGAGCAAGTGGGAGGAGGAGGGAAGCTGTGTGATTTCTCTTCCTGTGCTCCCTTTCCCAAAGCCTCATTTCTCGTTTTGGGTTCTAGCAGATTGTAGAGGAAGGAAGGTGGGGAGCCTCACCAGCCCTTACCCCATTTTCTGCCAGGGTCTGGAGGCCATTCTCCCAGCATAGCCAGGCTTTGACTTAATTACCAAGTCTCTGGATTTGGAGGTCTTCAACTGAGTCTTCTGCCCCTGAGTAAGTGGGAGTGAGGAAGGCCCCTTAGTGGTTCTGAGACCCCTCCCTTCCTTGAAGGCCTCTTGGAATAGCAGGGAGGGGAGATGAGTTGTCTTCGGCTTCCTTCCTTGGATTTCAATTCTGAGGACTGGGGCCTCTTTCCTAACCCCTGAGGTTTGGGCCCCAGTAAAACTTTCTTTCTTTCTTTTTTTGAGATGGAGTCTTGCCCTGTTGCCCAGGCTGGAGTGCAGTGGCGGGATCTTGGCTCACTGCAACCTCCGTCTCCCAGGTTCAAAGGATCCTCCTGCCTCAGCCTCCCAAGTAGCTGGGGTTACAGGTGTGCGCCATCATGCCCGACTAACTTTTATATTTTTAGTACAGATGGGGTTTCACTATGTTGGCCAGGCTGGTCCCGAACTCCTAACCTCAAGTGAGCCACCCGCCTCGGCCTCCCAAAGTGCTGGGATTATAGGTGTCAGCTGCTGCACCTGGCCCGGCCCCAATAAAACTCTGTACCCGCACCCTGCCTAGCAGGGATCCTGGGTCTGCAGTCCATGCCCGGCCACCCTAGGCCCCCGGAAGTGCTCAGAACTCAGTAGCCTTGGGGAATCTTGAAAGGGAGGATGGGACCCAGGACCCAGGTGGCCCTGGCCCCAGGTCTGTGGCTTCAGGTGAGGAGACGGGGACAGCTGCCCGGGGCTGGGAGCACGGAGGGTATTTCCCATCCTCGGGAGCAGAACTGATACTGGGCGACTTCCTCTTTTAGGGCCCTCTGACGCACCCTCTGTCCCCTCAGCCTCCCCCTCTTTTCCTTACTTCCGCAGGCTACTGGCGAGCACAGCTTTCTTCACCCTTGGGGCCTGGGCCTTACCCCTGGACTTTGCGTGTTTCTGTTGAGGGCTCTAAAGGGCAGATTCCAGCTTGTTTAGAAACGATTCGGGAGCAGATGCCTGGAAACCCAGCCACAGGTTTGGCTGAGCCAGGCACTGGCTGGGACCCAGATCATAGCAGTGCCAGAGCCTCTCCCAACACCTTCCCGCTACCTTTTTACGGTTCTTCTTTCCACTGGCCCTAAGAGCCCAGAGGCAGTCACGGGGGCTGGGGGTCCAAGGGCTGGCTGGTCCGGGTTCCCCTGCCACGCTTTGGTGCCTTCTCTGGGGCTATTCTCCAGCCTGGGTGGCCTCTTGTCCCTGCAGCCCCTCCCCTCCTGGCCATATCTAGTCTCTGTGAGATGGCCCAAGTCCGTCTTTGCTGTGACTTCGCTCAGGGCTTGAGACTTGACACCAACCATTTTGATCTGAATTGCAGGTGGCCACATTTCCTCCATTTGTGCTGTTCCTCAACCAGGCTGAACCCTCTGCCAACAAAGTTATGTTCCATAGGTCTTTAGTAACTCCTAAAACTGGAGCGTGCTGGAGGAGGTCAGTGACTACTTGCCGAGTAGAGAAGAGACACCCAATGTAGCCACAGAAGGCTGCTTTGTCCTAGAAAATTGATCAAAATCATGATGAGGCTGGGAGGCGAAGAGGGAGCTTTTCTCTCCTCTAAGTTCTCCTTGAAGTCTTAATGATCTCGTCCCATGCCAGTGGCATTGGAGGGGGCCAGGTGCCAGGAGCCAGGAGGGCAGTGTCTCTGGTGCCCCTCTCTCTGCTTCAGGAGTCTGAGAAACTCAAAGTAGGAGCAGATGGGAGGATCATTATTATCTTTTTAAAAACTGCTTAGTGATCAAAAGGAGGAGCAGAGACTGTTTGCACAGTTCACAGTCCACAGAACACAAAGCCTTTTCTTGCATGGTACTGCATTTTGAGCCTTATGTCAAGCTTGAGACACAGGGATTATTCTTGGTCCCGTTTTACATATGGGGGCACTTGGGTCAGAAAAGCAGCATGCTTTACCCAAGTTCCACAACTGGCTACTGGCTGCACCAGAGCTGAGCAGAGTCTGCACCCTCACGGATGTAGCTGACATCAGGGCGTAAGGATGAGAACTGAATGTAGTATAAGGTCTGGTTCTGACCCTGCCCTGATGTGCTGTGTGGTCATGGGCTACTTACTCCACCTCTTTGGACATCTATTTCAGCATCTGGAATCAAAAGATTGGACTATTTTTCCAAGGCTTCTCCTGGTTCTTACCTGTAGGAGAGCAAAGACCTCATCTACTTTTTTTTTTTTTTTTTTTAAAGCGTCTGCATTCTCAGTTCTTAGCGTATAGCCTGGTCCATAGTAGGTGCTCAGTAAACAATTAAAAGATGCAAGTACAAAGTGTCAATATATCTTTCTAATTTAGGAGATGGCAGTTGAAAGGTGATGGCTGCAGTTCCCTAGTGGTCTAGGATTCTAAGCATTACTTAGCCTTTCCTTGACTCTGCGTGTGTCTGACCAGGTTCCAAGTCTGGCCCATTCCCAACCAACTTTACCTGTAGGGTGAAACGCTAACATTTGCTGAGCACATATCAGTGCAGGGCAGAGGCTTATGATGCGCGTCTTCATCCTCACAGCCTCACAGGTGAGGGAACAGAGGCCCAGAGTGCCGTGAAGTGATTTGTTCAAGGCCAAGCAAGAATCTATTTTCTTTATAGTCCTTTGTCACCCACTTCTAGCCTCAGTCCAAACTGGCAGCTATCCTAACATCCTTGGCCCCCAAGAACATACTCCTCCCTCCAGATGGTCTCTAATCTCTTTTTGGGGTCTCCTTGTGTGGTGAGAAGGGCGCTCAGGAGCCCAGTCCTCCCCAGGCCCCATCCTCAGCTCTGAGCTTCCCACTGACCCACTCCTCTTTCTTCCTTTTGTTTTTTTAGAACTTCCTTGACCTCCAAATCACCAAATTCTGCCCATTCTTCATGCCAGCTCAAATTTCCCTTCTCCAGGGAGACTTCTGTAAGACCCATGGATCTTGTGCTCTGCTGATTTTAAATACAGATAGTCTCAGGCCCCCATAACTTTATTATTGATTATTTCTTTGCATTCATTTATTCACGCTGCTTCCATAACATGCCAGGAACTATGCTAGGCACCATGGGGGCATCCAGTCTCCCTGAAATTAACCTTGCTTTCTCCTATTTGATGGGCATTTCTTGCAGGCAGAATCAGGTTTTAAACCTCTTCTGAGTTCTCCACGGTACTTTGCATGGCTCTGGCCATAGCCAGGAACTTCTCAGGAAATTGTGTTGAAATCTCTCTTCAGAACATCTTGGGCATTGCTTCATCCCTGGTGCAATCCTAGGTGCTCTGAAAACCAAAACTTTTGATCTCTCCCCATCCTTGACTACATTCAACCTTGTGCTCATGATCAGTTACATTTCTGAGAGAGAGCACACAGATGACGATTTTTCTATCTTAAAGGATAACCTAAGGAATGATCAAAACCGTGACAAGGCTGGCAGGTGAAGAGGGAGCTTTTCTCTCCTCTAGGTTCTTCTTCAAATCTTAATGGTCTTGTCCCATGCCAGTGGCATTGGAGGGGGCCTGGTGCCAGGAGCCAGGAGGCCAGAGTCTCTGGTGCTCCACTCTCTGCTCCAGGGGTCTGAGAAACTCAAAGTGGGAGCAGATGGGAGGATCATTATTATATTTCTAAAAACTGCTTAGTGATCTAAAACCATCTAGAAGCCGTGATATTTAAACAGATCTGGTACAAAACAGGAAGCCAGTGGCCTGGTGAATTCTCACACTTGGAGACCAGAAGTGAAAATGTTCTGCCTGCCCAGAGTAGCAGCAGGCCAGCAAAACAACAGGTGTGGCCGGGCACGGTGGCTCACGCCTGTAATCCTAGCACTTTGGGAAGCCAAGGCGGGTGGATCACTTGAGGTCAGGAGTTCAAGATCAGCCTGGCCAACATAGTGAAAACCCATCTCTGCTAAAACTACAAAAATTAGCCGAGCGTGGTGGCTCGTGCCTATAATCCTAGCTACTAGGGAGGCTGAGGCAAGGGAATTGCTTGAATCTGGGAGGCAGATGTTGCAGAGAGCTGAGATTGTGCCACTGGACTCCAGCCTGGAGACAGAGCAAGACTGTCAAAAGAAAAAAAAAAAAAGAAAGCAAGAAGTTGAAAAACAAATCAAGAAAAAACAGGTTGGGCAGTGCTGGAAGTGAGTTTTTATCTGCAGAGCTATTGGGTTGGTCTACTCCTCCCTAATCAGGAGGATGCGGTTTCTCATGATAAGCAGAGAACCACTGGGGGGATGATGGTGAGCAGTATAAGAAGTCACATCTTCGGCCGGGCACAGTGGCTCACACCTATAATCCCAGCACTTTGGGAGGCCAAGGCGGGTGGATCACAAGGTCAAGAGTTTGAGACCATCCTGGCCAACATGGTGAAACCCTGTCTCTACTAAAAATACAAAAGTTAGCTGGGCATGGTGGTGCCTGACTGTAGCCCCCACTATTTGGGAGGCTGAGGCAGGGGAATCTCTTGAACCCAGGAGGCAGAGGTTGCAGTGAGCCAAGATTGCACCACTGCACTCCAGCCTGGCAACAGAGCGAGTCTCAGTCTCAAAAAAAAAAAGAAGTTACATCTTCTATTCTAGTCCCATTTCCTCCCCTTGTAGCTGGTGAGCGCAAGCTCTCTGAGCCCCTGATGCTGTGTTTGTTTGTATAAGGCTGCCATTGGACCTGAGGACTCTGAGGTCCCTTCCAGCTGGGAGGCTATTTCAGAGCTCAGGTAACTCGGAATAATCCTTTTTCACCCACTTCTAGCCTCAGTCCAAACTGGCAGCTACTCTGACATCTTTGGCCCCCAAGAACCTACTTCTCCCTCCAGATGGACTCTAATCAGTTCCACAGTGCTGGGTGGGGGTGGGGAGTGGAGAAGGAGGTGGGTGGAGACACCCCTGTGTGTGTGTGCGTGTGCGTGTGTGTGTGTATGTACTACACAACTGAGCCAAGAAGGAGAAGGATCATGTCTGATGCCTTTTGTATTTCCAGAGGGCCTGCCCATGACAGAGGCTCAATGAATGTTTGCCCAAAGAGTGAATGCATGTTGAATGTTTTCATGGTCCTTTGCCTTGTCTCTTGACCACATCCCCTTGCCTTCCCATTTGGTCTATAGCCCTGAGTTCCTACAACACCCAAGAGTTGTAGGGTGAAAATTGCAGGGAAGGGATCCAGCATGATATGACTCAGCTAGGAAGATGACAAGCCTGAAGATAAAATTTAAAATAATAGATATATACAGGCTGCTTTTCTTTAGGCTCAGTCTAAATGCCTCCCAAGTATCTGTTCAGCCACAAGCTACCATCACCACTGTTGCCTTCTCATGTTTGGATACTATGCTTCTTCAAGTTCCTTACCACGAATGGAAGAAATTCATTCATCCATGCACTCATTTATTCATCAAAATTTATTGAGTATTGAGCACCCATTGCGATGTGTTAGGCATTGATTGGGTGCAAAGGACACAGAGAGAAATCAGAGGGGTTTTTGCTGCCCAGGAGCCTACAGTCAGTACTGCATGTAGCACACTCAGGGGTAGCAATGTGCCCAGGGCACTAATTAAAGAAGTCAACTTGAAGACTACTGTGTCCATTTCACAGATGAGAAGACTGAGGCCCAGAACTGACATGACAGTTTCATGTGGAGAGAACAGAAAGTGGCTGAGCATTCTTTCTACTCCCTGGGGCTGTTGCCTCTTCCTCTTTGCCTTTGGAGCATTTCCAGACCAACAAGCTTGCTGCGGCAGTCCATCCGGCCATTCGCATATTATAGCATACCATGTGCGGGGTGTCCCTGGAGCTGTCAGTGCTGCAGAAGCAGTTGGAAGTGGAGTCAGTGAGTCTTTCAATTCTTTCAAAAAGTTGATTGTGAAGGATGGGAGAGAAGGTGGTGCTGGCCAGTAAGTTTTCAGAACCTTTGTCTTGTCTTCCCCAAGGAGGCCTCCCAGAAAGCGCCAGCTGGGCCAAATGCCCGCTCTCCACACGCCATCGACCCCTGTGCACATCCCCATGACAGCCCATACAGTCGGTGCCTCCCGTCCTCCTGGCCTGACAAAGTCTCGTCTGCAGTGCCCACTGCCTGCCATCTGCTTACTGCCCAGCTCCTCCAGTTCTGGGGGAGCCCATGCAGCTCTGTGCACTGCATCAGGAGGACTGCGGTATGGAGATTAGACTGAGGGAGCAGGAGTGGATGCAGAGGAGCAGGACAGAGCCTCATGGTGGTCCAGGGGAGAGGTGAAGATGAATTTGACCAGATGACAGTGGGAGGTGGTGACAAGTGATTGGATTCACCATCTATCTGGAAGGTAGAGCTGATAGGACTTACTAAGGAGTTTGATGGGGCAGAAAGGGCTGACTCCTGGATTTTTGGCCTGAACTAGGGGAAAGGTGGTGCCATTTATCAGGTGGGGAAGACTAGGGGAGGAAGGAGTGTCAGGGGAATCATGAGCTCTGTTGTAGACACTATAATTTTGAGATGTATGCTGGACGGAGCTGCTGATGAGGCAGCTGGATAGAGTTCTGGAGAGAAACCCTGTTTGGACATTTGGAAGCCACCAGCATCCAGATAACACTTAAAGGTGTGGACTGGGTGATAACAAGTAGGGGGCAGTGAGGAGAAAAAGGACTGATTTTAATAGAACAAGCAGCGAATCAACAAGTTGTTCCTTAAAGAGGTGACTCAGTGTGTGCTGGAATCACCTGCAATGTGGTCGCTATAAGTTGTTTCCCTAGCAGGTCCTTGGGAACCGGTATTCAGAAATTCTGGGCCTTGGGGAGCAGCTTAGGAAGACAAATACTCCCATGTAATTCTGATAGAGGCAATCTTCTGAGAAACTCTGCCTTAGGGGACAGGTAGAGGGGATGTGGGGAGGTGGAGGGCAAGGGTCACTTCCAGGGCTGGGGTGACCAGATAGTAGGATTCTGAAGAATGTTCCTGTTCTCTCCAGGGTCACTGTGAGGTCTTAATCTCCACCACGCCCTTCTGCCCCATGTGGGTAGAGGTAGACAGGTGTGGCACCCTACACCCAGGCCTTTGCAGATCATGTACTAGTCTGTACCCCTCCCTGAGCCTCTCAGCTCTACAGATTAGACAACTTACTAAAGGGAGCCCTCAGCTGCACCCTTGATGATGGGCTGTGATTGACCAAGGAGCCCCAGTGAGGCTCCTGGCTGGGCTCTGCAAGACAGATGCCAAACACAGCCGTGGCTCCTGTGACTCGATGAGTTGAAGGGATGGCAGCCTGCTTTTCCTCAAGGCAGGAAGTCATCGCGTGAATATTCTAACTGTATTGGCTGCAGGGGTTTGGGGATCTTCTCCAAGCCGGCGTCCTTACCTTCACACTAAGGGCTATGAGCTCATTCACTCTCACATGGGAATCCCTAACCCTGAGCCTCACAGATCCAGGCCAGCCTTGCCAATTGCTGAAAGACCTTTTCTTGGATGACTTGTCATTATTAAGCCAGAACTCATCATCTCCCCTCTCCCTCCACACCTCTGTCTCCCTTCCATGTCCATATTTCGCTTTTCTCATCATCGGGTTCAAGTGTGACTAGCACTTCTGAGACCTCCTTCTTTCACTCCAGCCTGTTGCCCCATCTTGATAATGCTTCCTTTAAAATGTCTTTGAGTCTGTCCCTTTCTCTCTGTTCCCACTGCCCCTGCTCAATACTGTCATTTGATTAGACTATTGTATAAGCCTCTCTTATGAACTGAATATTTTTGTCTTCCCCAAATTCATGTTGAAGCTGTCACTCCCAATGTGACGGTATTTGGAGGTAAAGCCTCTGGGAGGTAATTGGTTTAGATGAGGTCATGAGGATGGGGCCTCCATGATGGGATTAGTGCCCTTGTAAGAAAGTGGAAGAGAGACCAGAGTTCTTTATCTCCACCGTGTAAGGCCACAGCAAGAAGGAGGCCGTCTCCAAGCCAGGAAGAGAGCCCTCCCAGGGAACTCACTCAGCTGGCACCTTGATCCTGCACTTCCCCACCTCCAGAACTGTGAGAGATAAATGTCTGTTGTTTAAGCCACCCAGTCCATGGTGTTTTGTTATAGTAGCCCAGCCTAAGACAGCCTCCTACCCTGTTTCTCTGCCTCCTGCCTCATCCTTCATGTGGAATACTAGTTTCTTTCACATCACTTATCACTGATTGTAGTAATACGTTTGTTGTGTTTATTTGCTTGGTGTTTATCTTCATAACCAGATGACAGGCTCCATGAAGCCACACTTGTTTGGTTCACCACTCTGTACCCAGGGCTGCACACCATGTCCAACACATAACAAGTGCTTCGTAATGTTTTTTGACAAAATGAAATGCTGACTACAATAAAAGTCTCCAGCCAGGTCTCTTTGCCTCCTGCCCCATCCTTTCTGATTCATGTCTGATGCTTTGGATAGAGCCATATTCTTAAAACACAAGTTTTATCCTACCCAGTCCTTCTTCGGCAGAGTGTTTATTGGGTCCCACAACCCTTTTTGGAGGTTTATGGGAAATTAAGTGAAGTTAGGATCGAGATGATAGTGGGAAAATGTGCTGTGTGTCATTAATAACAATGCATTTAATTTTAAATTGGGGTTTACTTCAAACCCAAAACTGTGGGTTTGCTTTTTTAACCCATGAGCACAACAGGAAATGAATGAGTCAAGCTTCCTAGTATCTAGGGTCCTCTAGGTTGAGGCTTGATCAAATCAGCCCTGACTGCCCAGACCTGCCACTTAGGCAGCAGACCTGTCAGTGGTCCCAGGTGGTCACAGCCTACAGCTTCCCTTGCTGTGCTGTTCCCATGTGGGGCTCAGAGACCTTCCACCCAGCAGAGCAGCATGGGCTCTGGGGGTGGGACCCAGCTTCCTAGGGACTGTGTGTCTTCTGTGAAAGTGTGAACACTGAGGCCGGGGGATGAATATATGCTGGGTAGACAAGGCACACCCTGACTATAGCTATTTACAAAGTTGGGAAAACACAGTTTATTGAATTTCCTCTTCACTCAATGGTGGCCCATTTACCCCCTCTCTGTACTAAGAGGAAGTTCCATTAGCTCACACAAAGACAGCATTACGCATTCCTCAGCTTGGAAAAGCCCTTGAAGGAGATTGCTCAGTTGAAGAACAGCTGGGGCCTTCTGTTGGGGGCTGTAATCCAAATTCCCAAGAAATCTGCAAGTGTCTCATCAGCCCCGGCTGCTTGGAAGGACTCGCTCAGTTTCTCCCAAGGGCCTGTCTGTGGTGAGTGGTTACAGAGCAGCCTCAAAGCAGAGATGAACCAGCGCAAACTCCTACTCATTCCACAGAAACGGAGCAGGCAGGGCCTGCACCAAGGGCTGTGTCTTCTGACTTCCTTCTGTCCTGCAAGCTGCTCTTTGATCTGTCGTATCCAACCAAACTGGCTGCAGTTCCTTGAATGTAATTCCTTTTACTCTCTGAATCTTTATATTTAGACCTTAGGGGCCTTTTCCATGGGGAATAAGCCATCGCTAACACCTCATTTCCAGGAGAAAGTGACCAACACTACTTTTCTTTCCAATATTGACAAGGAGGGCTCTAGGGCAAAAGCCTGAGCAGGTCTGAAATGGCGTGATATTAGTCAAGTTCTCTGAAGATGATAGGATCAGCACTTCCTCAGAACTAGTTATTTTCTCAGAATGAACTGGGTGAGGCAAGATTGGAGATGACACAGGGGAAAAGAGGTGAGGTGTCCCCAGTCACCTTCTAGGGGATTCAGGTAGGACGAAGAGAAAAGCACACCCAGGAAGCTCAGGCCGCGGGCCTGGGTTTGTTCTACCCACTGGGCTGAGCATGGGGAGAAATTCAAACCCACATGGGGTTTTTCATGGAGGGAGCAGGCTGCTTCTAGAATAGAGTGCAGATGGCTTCCGCACTTAGGAGAACCACCACTGGGACATGCCTCCTGGGCAAGGGGAGCCAGGGACAGGGCTCTGGGAACAGAGCTCCAGGGAGGCCCAGTTTGCTGTCTTCCTGGAAAGGAGGGGTTTCCAGGTTCTTCTCTCCACATTGTCAGAACTCACATCCAAAACGTTGCATTGTGCTTTCCACCTCTTCCTTTTCTGTCTTCTGAAAGAGTCCCGCTGCACACTCCTTATCGCTTTCATTTTCACTTGTTTCCAAGAAAAGCTGTCCATTTTTCTTTACAGACTCAACAGCCAATGACAGCTAGTGGCACATAGTACCACATGCCTGGCACCATGTTAAACTTTTTATGTGCAATTTCATTTACACCTCACAACATCCTCATGGGGAGTTGTCAACTCCACGTGACAGGTGGGGAAATTAAAACTTGGAGAGGATAAGTAATGGGCCCAAGGTCACAATACAGGTAGCATGAGGACTCCCTGGGTCTGTCAGATTTAAGCCTGAGTCCTCAGCCCTGTTTCCTTAAAGTGACATCACACATCCCACACATTATTACCCTCCTCATTATCAACAACCGAGTCCTCCATGAGCCAATGTGCCATCAGCAATCTGACTAGTTTCACACGATTCCTGTGGTCTTGACAATTTATTGGAATAAAAAACATGTATCACTTATTGACAGAGCTTTGTGTTCAAGGCACATTCATACCCATTTCCTCAGCAGAACCTCACATCCCTACGAATTAGACAAGTCAGTCATTATTCTGCAGATGAGGAAACTGAGGCTCCAAGAGGATAAGTGACTTCTCCAAGGTCATACCACTGGAAACAGCAAAGTCAGAGCTAGAATTTCGGGGCTCCTGAGATATCCAGAATTCTTTCACTGTGCAATGCTGCCTCTCCAATAAATAAATGAACAAAATAAATAAATAAAGCTTTCAAGGGAACCCTGAGGAATCCTCCCTCAAGCCTGCCTCCAGAGGGAGTTCAGTTACCAGACTGGCACCTAAGAGTACTTTGGCAGAGGGGTGGGGGTCATGGCTGGATTCCCTGGGCCAGAATATCTGTTTTCAGAATGCTCCAGAGAAAGGCAGGGCTGAGATGACTCTGGATGGCACGCACAGGCCTGTCCCCTCACAGCTTCCATGCCTGTGGACTGAACTGCCTTTGTTTGAAGGCAGAGTCCAAATGGCCTATGGGGAGGCAGGGCCCATAATGCCCCCTTCTGGGGCTGTGTCTGATACTGTCTTGGCATGACACCATGGACTCCCATTGGATCTGTTAGCCTCTGGCATAAGAAACAAGCCAGCTTGGTAGTCCACGGACAGTATCTGCATTCTCCCAGGACCAGCTTGGCTAATACCCAGCAAACATGGAGGGTCCCCTAAAGGTGGAGTCCTTATTTCACAGATGGGAGATTGAGGCCCTCTGACAAGTGGCTAGTCCAAAATCACACAGCTGAACACCAACAAGGCAGGGACCCCAGCCCAGTGCCCAGTGGCTTATCCTCTGGGTCTGTAGCTGGACATTAGCAGCAAACACAAGCACAGGCCTCCAACCCTGACCCTCTGGGGCTGGCATGAGCTGGTGCCCAAGCCCAGAGGCCGCCCAAAGGGCTGAGTTATGACCAATACAAAAAACCATGGCTTCTCTGGAAGTTGTCAGCAAGATGGTGGGGCAGCAAAGTGAGGATGTGAGTGGCTTGGCCTCAGCAAGTGCCCCAGGGGGATGCTACTCCATTTGTTGGAGAGAGGGAGATATTTGCAGATGGGTGCCAGAGGTACCCACCAGAGGGATGGGTTCTGAGCTGGAAGCCCCATCCAGGGTCTCGGCTCCCTTTGTCTCCCCTCAGTGAATCCATTATGATGTGTTTGAGTGTCCAGAAAATATATACCTTAAGATCTTCCAGTGACAAGCTTCCTGCCCCAGAGGCCCGATGAGGGGAGGTTCCCCATGTGACCATCATATCCTCCTTTTTCCCCTAAAAATGACCCCAGCAGCAAGGCCCTGAAGCTTCCATTCCTACAGCCCTTCCTCCTGCTGGAAGCTCTGATGCTCGAGTGGCCTAAGCAGGGAGGTCTGGGTCTGAGCTGACTTCAGCCTGGTGGCCTCACCACAACTCCAGAAAGCCCCATGGTTCCCCTGAGCAAATAATCCTTTATGATACAGGAAAGAGTTCCTAGGAGGGAGAAGGTCCCTGCCCTTCTCAGCTCTGCCAGAGTCTGCAGGGCCCCAGTCAACAGAACAGGTCAGTGCCACCCACATACCCTGCACTAGTTCAGTGAGTTGGCCTCCTCCTGCCCCAGACACCCTGACCAGCCCTGCAGGGCCTGGCTGGGGCCAGCCCCAGTGGACTTGCAGAAAAGTGCCCAGACTGCCTCGTGCCTAACTTCTGCCCCAGGGGCCCTCCTCCTGGTCCAGGCAGAGGAGCAGGCATGGCTAAAATCAAAAGCAGCCTCTCAGCCCGAGTCACTCACTTGACTGCAGGCTAGAGATGAGGGGCAGGGTGACCAGGTCTGAGTTAAAGCTGCCCAGGAGACCACCTGGGGCTGCCACACAGCCTAGAGGGGCAAGGTCATGGGCAAAGCTCCAGTCAGATATTCCCAGGTCACTGCAGCTGCTCAAGGCCAGGAGTGACCATTCCTCAGTGGGCTGGTTCCACTGTCCCGTTGGGGCCCCTGAGGAAGCCAGAGTCATTTCTAGAGGATCCTGTTTCAAATAGCCCTTGGCCAGGGCTGGTGGATGCAAGCCTGCCTCATCAACCAGGCATCTCCCGAATTTGGGGCCAAGGCCATCTGTCAAGGGCGATTCTTCCTCCAGGCAGCCTGTCTTGGTTGCCTTCTCTTCAGCACATCTGGTCTGCCTCAGGTAACCCTGGAATGCCACAGCAGCTGGGTCTTCTTCCCCAGGCACCTCAGGCTCCGGGGGACTGTGGTGGCCCAAGGCCGAGCCACCCTGTGTGTCCCCAGCCCGGCCCTCAGAGTTTTGAACTAAGTCAATGCCACTGTCATCCTGGCCCCTGCTGTTGCTCCCCACCTGTTGCTCCCAGGTGGGCCCTGTGCTGGGGCTCAGGCTGGGCTCCTGCAGGCAGATCCCGCTGTCTGTGCTATTGCTGCTGCCACTACTGCAGCTGTCCCCCAGCACAGGGGGCTCCCTGTTTCCCAGCGTTCTGTCAGCCTGGGGGTGAGGGTCAGGGAGGAGGAACTGGGGCTCTTCAGTCTGCAGGGATGGCTTGGTGCTGCCAAAGCCACTGTCTGTGCTGCCGTGCAGGTCCAAGTTCTTCAGCTCTGGGGACACCTTCAAAAAGGCCTCCTCATCAAGCGGGTGGATGGTGTCTTGGGTCTCTGGGGAGGGACGCTGGCTGATGAAGATGAAGGGGCTGGGCTTCTTGAAGAGCTGGGGAAGAGAGGGCAGAGTGAGAGAAGCAGGAGTCACCTTCCAGCACCCATCCCAGTGCTGCCGGGGAAGGCCAGGCCCAGGAGGAGAGCTCGATGGAGGAGACTACAGTCTAAATTACACTGGAATGTATTCTGTTTTGTTTTCGAATCCAGCTTTCCTCCTAATGCAATTCCCAGTTTGGCTCAGGCCAGATACACAAGAAACTTGTATTCTCAGGCCCAGATGGAGTAACAGGCAGAACCAAGGTCTGCTGAGCATGGTGAAAACTCTCAGGTGGCTCCATCCACAGTGCTTTTCAAACCTGAAAGCAGGCTAGACCCATCTAGAAGCATGTTTCAAACTTTTTTGACTATGACTCAAAATCAGAAATAAGTTGCATAATGACTTGTATATATAACCCGTATGTAAATAACTGAAACCAGTTTCACAAAATAATACTCATCATTATGAGCTGTGCCACGATATTTCTGCAGTTCTTATTCTATTGTATCCCAGTCTATGCCCTCCTGCCTACTTCATTTTCTAAAATTCTGGATGTAAGACACCAAATTAAGTTTTCTATTCCCCGAGTAGTGACTCACGCGAACATGGTGGCTGCAGCGTGGGGCAGTGGCACAAGTGTGGAACTCACAGTGAAGGGGCTGCTCTCTGTTAATTGCCAAGGGTTTCAAGGAAGCCACATAACCCCTCTGCCCTAGCCACACTGGTGTTCTTTCTGTCCCAGAACACATCAAGCACCGTGCTGCCTCAGGGCCTTTGCACACACTCTCCCTCCTGCTTGAAATGCTCTCGGCACTTTATATGGCTGTGTCCTGTACATGGCTTAGGTCTCAGCTCAGATGTCACTTCTTCAGCAAAGCCTTCCTGAATACCTTGCCTAAAGCAGTACTCCTGCCACTCTCTCCACATTAACCCTGTTACTTCTTCCTAGCACTTTGTTCCTAGAATTATTTTACTTGTTTGTTTTCGTCTCTCACCATACACACACTCACTTACTCCACATTCCCAAAAGAACACAAACTCCTTGAGGGCAGGAACTGTCTAGTGTTGTTTACTACCCTGTCTCCAGAGTCTAAACTGAGCTGGCACACAGTAGGCCCTCCTAAGGTCTGCCGACTGACTCACTGACTCACTGTTGCACATCTGCCCTCATTTCCTTGGTACATGATGATTCAAATGCAGCTCTTATTGGTTGAGTCCCTATTCCTATCACATTGCTTGGTGATTTAGGATGTGTCCTCTAGAGCCAGACTTCCTGGGTTCAAATCCCAGCTCTGACTCTTATCAGCTTTGTCACCCTGACCAAATTACTTACCCTCTCTGTGCTTTAGTTCCTCATCTGTAACATGGAAATAATGACAGTACCTGCCTCCTTATGTTGTAATGTGTCTACAGTGCTTAGAACAAAGTGTGGTACATAGAAGGTGCTCAATAAATATATGTTGAATTGAACTTTACCCTCCAATAATTCTGTAAGAGAAGTATTATTACCTCTATTTCCTAGAGGAGAAAACTGAAGCTCAGAGAAGTTAAATGACTTGCACAAAGTGGCACAACAGTAAAGAACACATCTGGAATTCATCCTCAACTGTCCTGATTTGAAATCCCTTCCTTGTCCAATAATACTTACCTTGATGAACTGTTGAAAGATCAAATCAAACAAGCTAATGAATGAGAACAAACTAATGAATGTGTCAGTGCTCTGTGCATTATAATTTATTCATGTGGTAATGACTACGATCATCAGATGAAGGGATTGAGCTATATTTATCCTGAAGAGAAAAAACCCTCAAGGACAAGTCAGTTCTGTGATCCAAAAGTACAGAAGGGGCAGGGTGCGGTGGCTCATGCCTATAATCCTAGCACTTTGGGAGGCCGAGGTGGGCATATCACCGGAGGTCAGGAGTTCGAGACCAGCCTGGTCAACACCCCGTCTCTACTAAAAATACAAAAATTAGCCAGGCATGGTGGCAGATGCCTGTAATCCCAGCTACTCGGGAGGCTAAGGCAGGAGAATCACTGGAACCTGAGAGGGTGAGGCTGCAAGTGAGCTGAGATTGTGCCACTGCACTTGTCTCTCGTCTTGTTTTCCCTAGAGATCCCAGGATCGCTCTGGAGATTCCCCTTCCAGTTGTGGGGCCCCTGCCTTGCAGACGGAGCTGGTTCCTTCCCAGCTGATCCCTCAGCCATCATGCAATAGTGCCAGCTATGGAGGCTATGGTGGGCAATCTTCAATGCGGCCTGAACTCCAGGCCAGAGACCAGGCCGAGGTTTGGAAAATGCTGCCCAATCTTTGCAAGCTGAGTTTTGGAGACTGGCTTGCCACAAATGTATCATTTGTCAGTACAATGTAGCAAGAGGACACACCCTGGGAGGGGAGGAGGGCTTGGCCTCCTCCATGAGCCCCTCCCTGTCCCCTGCCAGCATCCCCTCTCCAGTGGCGCAGCATCCCCACCGCCCCCCAGTGTCCTCTCTCCTCTGGCCCACTCTGGCAGCAGCCCGAGGACCAGCACTTCTGGCCTTTCCTTCTTTCTCTCTTGTGGAACACCCATGGCTAATAGCAGTAGGAAAGTGGGTTCCCTCCCTGACTCTTCCTGGCTGTGTGGCCCTCTGTGTGTAACAATCTCTCTGTGCCTCAGTTTCCTCACTTATGAAATGGGGATAATAACTGTGCCTCATAATCAGAGATGCAATGCACAGGGGCTAGTCCATGGCCAACTACTAGTAGATCATATCAAAATGGCTCGTGGTCATTGAGATTTGTGATTCCATGTGTCTCATCTGAGCTACTGGATGGCAACATTCTCGGTACTGGGCTTCATGCTCACTTCCTCCCTCTGTCCCCACAGCGCTTGATGAAGGTATCTCCCAATCACATCAGGGCTGAGAGCAGAGGCAAGCTAAGGCAATGGACTGGCTGGGAGGAAAAGAGCTCCCTGCCCTCCTGGAAGCTCGGGTGTGGCTGGGAAGGACGGGGCAGTGACCTCCTTGCAAGACTCACCAGGACACTGGGTAGCTTCTTTCGGCGCCGCACATACAGCTGGAGGGCCAGGCAGTAGGCGAGGGCTCCGGAGAGCAGCAGGACAAAGGCAAAGAAGATGATGACGTTGGTCACGGTGAAATCTGCAGGCCCAGAGAGATGTGTTTGTGGCCTGTCACCATGGGGCACGGTGATTCTGGACATAGGACTCTGGTCCCATGAAATCCATTGCCCACTGTCAGGAACCATTCAGTGAGTGGCCCAAGGCAAACTACAGGCCACAACTCTAGATGTGTCTAGGTTTCTGCGAATCCCTACCTGGCCTTCCAAACCATGCCCTGAAGGATTCCCTCAGGAGATGCGCTAACTGCTTCCAGCTCTCTGCACATGACTCCCATCACAGCAAACAGAACAGTGAGGCAGGATGGTACAGCAGGTAAGAATCGAGGCTCCGGGGGCTGCTAGATCTGGGTTCAAGTCCCAGCTTCACCACTTACTAGCTGTGCAATTGTGGACAAATTAATTACTCTGTCAGAGCCACTGACCTCATAAGGTAGTTGTGAAGTACACAGCACTGACCATGTACCAATACCATCAGATTCTTTTAACTTTTATACTTATAGGAGGTAAATACTATCATCAGCCCCATTTTTACATATTAGGATCCTGAAGCACATAGAAGTTAAGTAATTTGCCCAAAGTCATATACCTCAAAAGTTGTAAAGCTGAGATTTGGAACTATTTCATGTATCAGTGAATGAATGTATGAAAAACTCTTAAGACTGCCTGATACCCACTTAGTGCCTTCCTCTGCATTGAGACTTAAATGACACTGAGCTGTTGAGTGTCCTTCACAAACTGAAATTTGTTGCAGATCTAGCAGGAGTCACTTTCACCTTTGCCAGACTCTGCCCACACTGGACTGGGCCCTCCCAGAGCACTTACTGTTGGCATGTTTCATTGGGCACTGGACATCTCATCTGCTGTCCAATAAGAGTTGCTTGTTACAGTCTCCTCTGTGCACACTCTATCTCCCCAGCCAGGATGCAAGATCCTCCTAGGCAAGACCGTGGCCTCCATGTCCTCTATTATCTCCCTCCCCCTACAGCCCCGGCACCTGACTGACAGCCTGGAGCAGTATTTGCTGACTTTAGCAGCTCTGGCGAGGAGCAGAGCAGAGTAGGGGAAGTAAGGAGAAGCCCTTTGTATCCCTGGCTCTGAGGAAGAACAGCAGAAGACTGTAACAACAGGAACTAGCACAGCTCACTGAAGATGGCCCCGGGGGAGGGGGATGTTGTTGGGAAACACCGCTGTGCTCCAGTGGGAGGACCCTAGATCCAAGAGACCTGGTTCTGCCACCAAGTCCTAGCTGTGCAACCCTAGGAAGTTGCTAATACTGAGCCTCAGTTCCCTCATCTCTAAAATGAGGACAGTAGGACCTCTCTCCTATTAAGGATGCAGAGCTATGTGAAGCAGCACCTAACACAGTGGCTGGCACCAGCATCCCAGGTGCACGCGTTTTGGATTGCACCAGGCCCTCCCAGTCTCCCTCCCCATGCTGAGAGCAGCCCAGCTGACTCACACTGCCTGGTGAGGGAGATGCACTCCTCTTTAGACCACATCCCCTTGTTACTTCGGGAAGCGACAGATGGTTTCACCTGGACACAGAACTCTCCCACTTCTCCAGAGGTTAGGAGGCTGAAGTTTTCATGTTTTACTTTCTTGTGTGTGAACTGAAACAAAAATGATAGCAATTAACAAAATCCTTTTATTTCATGGCACACGGACACTGAGAGCTGGTGGGCCTTTAGAGGTGATTTCAGCCAACCCCCTTCAGTATCCTTTGTCTAAGATGACAAACCCCACAATTACCAATGCAGCACATGATCTCTGTAATGACCACAATTTTATTTTGTATTTTAAAAGAAAAAGCGGTGTTTTATAGATGCTGAAGATCTTCCCAGAAGGGGCTGGAATCAACAGTGGTGGAGAGGAGAGAGGGTGGATTTTGCAGATGCCAGCTCTCCCATAACAGGGGCGCCCTCTGGTAGGTTACACAGCCTCTCAGAGCCTTATTGCTTCATCTACAAGGGCTCTGGGGTGCCCAATTGCCCTAGTAGGCAATTCCTTTGAGGAGCATCTCACAAGAGCATAGCTCTGAGGGCTGAGGTGGTTTCTACTCCCTCCTCTGCCCACCCACCATCCCAGACCCTCCCTTTAGTCCATAAGCAAAGTTCCCAATGGCACACAAGGGTGCTTCCAGCCCAGGGGACAGGGAAGCCAAGGGAGTTCTGGCCCTGGGGCCTTGGGGAACCCCATACCGTGAAGTTTCCCGGCACCTTGCGAATGGCAATCTCATACTCTCGGAAGTGACTGAAGATGCTTTCATATGTGTCATTTGCGGGGGCCATCTTGGGCCTGGGTAGCTGAATCTTCCCGAGGATGAAGCCATTGTGGATCTCTAGGTTCACACTGCCAACTGTCAGAGTCACTAAATGGAGTTGGGGTGGGGGGGAATACCATGAGACTTGAGGGCTGAGGAGGGCCTGGGTGTCCCCGCCGAGACTTTGCCTCCAGAATTAAGCTTAATTAGAACCTAGGCCTAAAACTTGGCCACAGGTTTGTCAATGCAGCAGAATGTAAGGACTTCTTGGGGAGCACATTAAAAATACATATACCCTAAAATCAGATGCATCAACCAATGGAATATGATGGACAGCCCAGAAATAAACCCACAATTGATTTTCAACAAAGGGGCCAAGAACACACAATGGGAAAAGAACAGTCTCTTCAACAAATGGTGTTGGGAAAACTGGATATTCACAAACAGAACAATGAAAATAGATCTTTGTCTCACCTCTTACGCAACAATCAACACAAAATGGATTAAAGACAAATGTAACACCTGAAACTATAAAAACCACCAGAAGAAAACCTGGGGCAAAGTTCTAAGACTTTGGTCTGGGCAAAGATTTCTTGGATACGATCCCTAAAGCACAGGCAACAAAAGCAAAAATAGACAAATGGGATTGCATCACACTAAAGAGCTTCTGCACAGCAAAAGAAACAACCACTAGAGTGAAGACACAATCTATGAATGGGTGGAAAATATTTACAAATGTTCATTGAATAAGGGGTTCATATCCAAAATATACAAGGAACTCATACTACTTAATAACAAGAAAACAAATAAACCTGTTTTTAAAATGGGTAAAGGACTTGAATAGACAGTTAAAAGAAGACATACAAATGACCAACAGATACATGAAAAAATGGTCAACATCTCTAATCATCAGAGAAATGCAAATTAAAACCACAATGAGATACCACTCCACACCTGTTAGATTGGCTATTATCCAAAAGATGGAAGTAACAAGCATTGGCAAGGATGTGGTGAAAAGGGAAACCCTTGCATGTCGCTGGTGGTGAATTTCTCAGCCATTATGGAAAACAGTATGGATGTTCCTCGAAAATCTAAAAATAGAGCTACCATGTGATCCAGCAATTCCCACTACTGGGTATATATCGAAAGATATTGAAATTAGTGTATTGAAGAGATACCTGTATCCCCCGTTCATTGCAGTATTATTCATAACAGCCAAGATATGGAAATGCCCACCAATGGATGAATGGGTTTTTTAAATGTGGTATGTATATACAACAGAATCCTATTCAGCCTTGAAAAATAGGAAACTGAGGCCCGGCCCAGTGGCTCACGCCTGTAATCCTAGCACTTTGGGAGGCTTAGGCGGGTGGATCATTTGAGGTCAGGAGTCCGAGACCAGCCTGGCCAACATGGTGAAACCCCATCTCTATTAAAAATACAAAAATTAGCCGGGCATGGTGGCACGTGCCTGTAATCCCAGCTACTAAGGAGGCTGAAGCAAGAGAATCTCTTGAACTCGGGAGGCGGAGGTTGAAGTGAGATGAGATCAAGACATTGCACTGCAGCCTGGGTGACAGAGCAAGACTTTGTCTCAAATTGAAAAAAAAGGAAACTCTCATTTGGGACAACACAGATGGACCTAGAGGACATCATGAGCGAAATAAGCCAGGTGCAAAGAGATAAATGCCATAAGATCTCACTTATGTATAGAATCTAAGTAGAATTCTTTTAGAATTCAATTCATAGAAGTAGAGAGTAGAAGTGGTTACCAGAAGCTGGAAGGAGGCAGGTGGGAGAAGTGGATAGGGAACAAGGAGAGGGGTACCAAGTTACAGTGAGACAGGAGGAATAAGTTCTGGTGCCTATTGCACGGCAAGGTGACTGTAGTAATAATAATGGACTGTATATTTCAAAATAGCTGAAAGATAATATTTTAAATGTTTTTGGCACAAAGAAATGCTAAATATTTGAGGTGATAGATATTCTAATTACCTTGATTTGATCATTCCACAAGGTATACATGTATTATGTATACATAACACTGTACCTCATAAACATGTAGAATTATTACTTGTCAATTAAAAGAAAAACTTTTTTATAAAACGTTTTCAACACTTTACTGTTTTTTGTTTATTTGTTTGTTTTTTTGAGACAGAGTCTCGCTCTGTCACCCAGACTGGAGTGCAATGGCTTGATCTTGGCTCACTGCAACCTCTGCCTCCTGAGTTCAAGTGATTCTCCTGCCTCAGCCTCCCTGAGTAGCTGAGACTACAGGTGCACGCCACCACGCCCGGCTAATTTTTGTATTTTTAGAAGAGATGGGGTTTCACCTTGTCAGCCAGGCTGGTCTCAAACTCCTGACCTCAGGTGATCCACCCACCTTGGCCTCCCAAAGTGCTGGGATTACAGCCGTGAGCCACCGAGCCCAGCCCAACACTTTACTGTTAAGCATAATATTTATGGTAGATATGTGTAGATAGATACCTTTCTACAGGTTAGGACATTTTCTTTCTACTTTAACTTTGCTTAGTTTCTTTTTAAATGTTGTTTTCTTTTTTAAATGGTTAATGTGATAAATTGCATTGATTATATTTTTATGTAGAAATTTCCAATAGACAGAAAAGTAGAAGAGAATATAATGATTTCCAAAGTCCCAGCTTTAGTAATTGCAAACACTAGGCCAATTTTGAAGTAATTGGTGGCAGGGGAGGGTCATCAATATCCCCCCATGAAATTTACTTTAGCATTTTAAAGAAAAATCCCAAGCACTGTATTACTTAATTCCTAATTACGTAAGTATGTATCTCTCACATATCACACCTTTGTAAATATAACTACCATGCTGTTATCACATGTAACAAACAAATACCTAGTAATATGCCCTAAAAACCATTTCATATACAAATATGGTGATTTCCTCAAAAATGTCTTTTTATAATTGCCTTGCTCAAATCAAAATACAAAGAAGAACAAAATGTTAAAAAAAAAAAAAATACAGATGCCCTGGGCCCATTCAAGACACAGTTGGTCTGAATTTCTGAGGCTGGGCCCTGGAAATAGATATTTTAAACACACTTGCTGGGAAACGTTTCTGCACCAGCTGAGCAGTGGCCTGTGGGCAGGCATTTGGAAGCCAATGACCTCCTAGACCATCGGCTCTAACTCTGAATCCTACAGAGCGAGGTCTCCATGCACACAAAACTTTCTCAATCCCAACTGGTGGGATGAAAAATCCCACTGAGTTGGGGGCTTATCCTTTCCTCTTACCTCTCCAGAGAGGGATCCATAACTTCTCTTTAGTAGCACTTCCCATTTCAAAGGGATGACCCCTGGGTGTTCACCCCTAAAGAAGCGGGGCGTTCACCCAAATTCTGCCTACTGCTTGCTGCCCTATGCTGAGTGTTCATGGATTCGCTTCCTCTCCCTGAACCCTCCCTGAAAAAACAAGTTCACAGGCCTGGACCTGGTGACTCAGCTGTCCCAACCCACCCCAAGACCTCTCTTCTGTAGGATAAACAACTCCAGTTCCCTTTTAAATCTCAAACAACTTGGGCTATTTTTATCTAACATTCTCCAAAGTCCTGCCCTGTTTGGGCAACTAGTTCTCCGGCCAGGGAGGCTGGCAGACATGGTGAGCTATGGTAATAGACAGAAAAGCTCTAGACTAGAGTTCCTGGCTGGAAGGGACTTCAGAGCCATGTTCTAAGTCAAGGGAGGAAAAGCACCTTCATCCACAGAGAAGCGGGTGTTGGTGACGGTCCAGTTGGAGTGCCGGCTGCCGTCCACAGCCCGCACTCTGGCCCGGTAGCCATTGCTGTGGTACAGGTCCAAGGTCACTGCGGTAAGGTCATAGGACAGGGTCTGGCTACAGTTGGAGATGGAGTTCCAGGACTCTATTCCATACCTGAGGAGATACCAGGTTAGGCACTGGAAACGAGCTTGTGCTCAATCCTACCTCCTTTAAGGGAGACGCAAGAGGCCAGGAAGAGAGCTCCCACATTGGGAGAAACTGGGACAGCCCTCAGGCTATATCCTCTAGTCCACGGCAGCTCATTGTGAGGGGTCTCCCTTGGTCTTGGGACCCCGTACCAATTTCCATGTGGTCTAGCAGATTTTTAGATAGGAATACGAGTAGGCCCAGCTCTTCCAGAAATTCTTTCTGGCTCCTACAGCACAGCCTGGTCTCTCCCTTCTCCCCACTGCCTTTACAGTCATTAGTGTTCCCCTGTTGTCTGGCTGTACTGTGGATGCTTCTCCTTTTCCAGTAAGATAGAAAAGCCTTGGAGGCCGGAGGTGGTGGCTCACGCCAGTAATCCCAGCCCTTTGGGAGGCTGAGGCGGGTGGATCACCTGAAGTCAGGAGTTCGAGACCAGCCTGGCCAACATGGTGAAAACCCGTCTCTACTAAAAATGCAAACATTAGCCAGGCATGGTGGTGGACCCCTGTAATCCCAGCTACTTGGGAGGCTGAGATGGGAGAATTGCTTGAACCCAGGAGGCAGAGGCTGCAGTGAGCTGAGATTGCGCCACTGCACTCCAGCCTGGGTGACAGAGCGAGAAGCTGTCTCAACGAAACAAAACAAAACAAAACAAAAAAGAGAAAAGCCTTGGCACAAGGCTTTTCTTACTCTGGAGTGAGCAAAGGCTCTGGCCTTTTCACCCAGAGCTCCCGGCACATTGCTCAGCAAGGGAGTCTCAGTCAGTACTTGTCAACTGCTGGCTATGTGTTAGGGGCCCTCAGGCACTCACTTCATTAACAAGGCAGGTATCTTCCCATGCTAGGAGAGTAGAGGACAAGGCGGGGATTCACTCCTCCCTCCCCCTCCCTCTTCCCTTTTCCTCACCTCAGGAGCGCCACTTCATAGCAGGTACTTTCAGACTGATTTGGGATGGGTGTCCAGTGGAGGATGTGGTGGAAAAATTCTGCTTCAAACCACACAGACGGAGGGCTGGGCAGCTCTGTCCCTGGGGAGAAGAGTGTCAGTACCACAGCTGGGAGGGGGGGCAGGCATTGATGACCCCAATTTTACCAAAGAAGAAAGGGAGGTTCAGAGAGGCTATGACTCGCCCGAGGCCAGCGGAGCCCGTAAGGGGCAGAGTGGGCACATGAATCCACATGTGTCTGATTCTAGAGCTAGTGTGTCTCCCTAAATCACTGCCCTGTGCTCTCTGTGATCAGAAGCTGCAGTGGGGGCTGAGAAGAGCCAAGCTGAGTCTGATGCCTACCAGGGAAGAAGGCAGGGGCCGAGGGCTAAGCAAGTTGGCAATGAGCTCTCAGATGTGTTAGTCCCTGGCTCTGCCCAATCCCTGTCCCTGCTCTAGCACTATTCCTAGGCTTGGCCCCATCCACACACCTGATCCCCACCCTGGCTTGGCCCAGGCTCCAGCTCAAAGCCACCTCACTAAGTACACAGACAGCCTGCTTGCTGACATCTGCCTCCTTCTCTTCATAGGTCTCCTGGGCTCCCCAAGCTAAGTGCTTGCCTCATTCCCTAGTTTCTGGGAGGGCTTTGCCTATAGCCAGATGTCCAACCTCTGGCTGGGCAAGGACAGATGGAATAAATCAGCTCTGGCTCTACACATGGCTGAGGACATCCCCACAAGAGCTGGCACCTGTAGCTCCGAGGAGAGATACTCAATACCAATTCCTAGCTCTACTCTCCCTTTACCCCCAGTACACACCATTCACCATGGGAAACACTGCTGAAGGCATTGTCTTCTTTGTAAGAATGCAACAAACATTTCTACTTTAAGAGTCTTGTTGATCAAGCAGACTGAAGTATGTGCAAGGCCAACGGCTGGTTGGTTCCCTTTCTCTCCTCCTTGATCCTCTAAGTTCTCTCCATTTGACAGCGACTCTGCTCCCGCTCCCTAGTGTTCTAACTTCTCTACATCTCTCTAATCATGCACCTGTTTTTTATTTATTTTTTGGGGGGGAGGACTCTGTCATCTGTCTCTTGCTTTCTTTCTTATACCGTCTTTGATCTTCACGTCAGTGCCTTGATTTCGAAACATTAGACGGAAAGTGAAAAATGCAGCGAGTCGTTGTGGTATTTGGGCTGCACATCTCCGACTCAGCTCTCGATCACGTGAATGGCTGACTGCATGTTTTACTTTGTATTTTGGTGTCATGAAGAAGCAGTTTCGGTCCTTGCTCTCTGTCTCTGCTCTTGGTCCTTCCAACTCCCGGCTCTTTCATTCTGTCTCTGGGGTTTACTTTTCTTAGTTGCAGAAACCTTGCCGGAGAACTGTCTGGGTTAGGAGCCTGAACTGGGTTAGAAGCCTGAACTGGCTGGGTTAGGAGGAGAGAGGCAGGGGGCAGTGGGAGTGAGTTGGGGGCTACAGGTGGAGCAAGGGGGATCAGATCGGGGTGATCAGTGAGGGATGAAGGTGAGATGGGAGAAGGACAGACAGAGGTTAGTTGAAGAGTCGACTAAGAGAAGGGAGAGTCAGGAGATCAAAATTATTCCCCAAGGGGACAAGAAGTCCCATCATTTGAACCTAAACAGCAAAAAACCTAGAGCTAAACTTACGGCTCATCTAGAAGTGGGTGGATGATGAGGTTTGCGGGTTGGGGGTTTGGCCTTGCGCATACTTCTCTATCCTTCCCAATCCGTCAGTTCCTGTCAATTTCAGCCTCTTCCACTTCCACAACAGGTGAGCCTGAGATCCAGGTTTGCCAGAGTAAGGGAGCACCCGGGCACCGCTCTGCCAGAGGGCCAGCCAGCCAGGGCTCTCCACTGGATGGAGAACTTTAATGGAGCGGGCGCGGAGAGGGCAGGGCAGGGAAGGGCCGCGTCCCGGAGCCTTACCATGAGCGTCTGAGCCAAGACGGAGGCTGAGGAGCGCCGCCAGCAGCACTACGAGGCACGGCAGCATCCTGGGCGCGCCGCATCGTCCGGGGCCGGAGCGGAGCCGGCCTGCGCGCCTCCAGCTACCCTTGGGCTGGGACTGACAGCTCCGCCGCCCGCTCCGCCAGCGCCCCGCAGGGCTGACGTCAGCGGGGCGAGGCCTACAGACGCCCCGCCCCCGAGGCCGCGGACGGGGAACCACTGTCCCACAGGGCTACCGCCTGGGGCAACCCGAGGCTGTCCTGGGGCGCTAGCGGGCTCCGGCCACCCCTCCCTTTCCTTCCCTCTGGGCCTCCAGTGCCTTCGGATCAAAGTGGTCCGGGTAGCCCGGCCGGCCGTGGGTACGTGTGTGTGGGTGTGTGCGCGCGCGCGTGTGTGCATGTGCTGGGAAGCAGGTGGCCAGGCACAGCCTCGGCCCTGAGTGCGGAAGGTGGGGTGAGGGCGTCCGAGCCGCTTTTGCCTGGCGTGCCGGCTTGGCGTTAAGGATGTGGCCGCGGCCGCTCCGAATGGGGAGGAGGTAGTTGCAGGCCCTTGAGGGCAAAGGCGCCAGGACGCCGGTGTGAGTCTTGGCGTTGCCCCAGGGCCTCCCCGTCTGGGGGTCTGAGGACACCGATGGATGAATACTGAGTAGTCCCCTACCTAATTGTTGGAGGGGGGTCCACAACTAAGCAGTTTATGCAGACCTGCCCCCAAAGTCCCAGGAAGCTGAGAGACCCAAGAAAGAGGCTTTTAACCAGCAGCTCAGCAGCTGAGCCTCAAACCGCGATTTTTAAAATTTTTTTATCTATTTTTTTTTTTTACAGTCTCGCTCTGTCGCCCAAGCTGGAATGCAGTGGCGTGATCTCGGATCACTGCAACCTTCGTCTCCCAGGTTCAAGCGATTCTCCTGCCTCAGCCTTCCGAGTAGCTGGCATTACAGGCATGTGCCACCACGCCTGGGCTAATTTTTGTATTTTTAGTAGAGACGGGGTTTCACCATGTTGGCCAGGCTGGTCTCGAACTCCTGACCTCAGGTGATCCACCCGCCTCAGCCTCCCAAAGTGCTGGGATTACAGGGGTGAGCCACCGCGCCCAGCCTTAAACCGTGTTTTAAACTTAGTTTCTCTTCTTTCCTTTTTTCTCTTCCTCCTCTGGGCCTCAAGATATAATTTTGAGACAAACTGCATGTATGTTACCTCTCATCTTAAAACACAGCCTCAGGACGTGCTGTGACCTCCACTCCCTTTCCTGTCCCATACTGTACTCCCATGCCTTACGCACGTTTATTTACCTACGTGCTTGTTAAGCACACGCTATGCTCTTACCTGGTCATATATTTCCTTAGATGCCTCAGGAGCTGCGTCCTGATAGGGACCAGGCACCTCCGGAATTCTCTCTCCAACAAAAGCTTACTTCAGGAGTTGAACATATACCCTGCTGAAGAGTAACTAATTTATAACCTGGCAGGATCCACGATTGCACCAGCCCCTCCACCAAATAAGACGATAATTAAAGAGGACCACTGGAGCAAGTCACACCACCTGGTACCTCCTAACCTCCCCCTTGCCTTTTCTGCATTTCAGATCCTTTCTTAAAAAACCCCTGCGTTCCCCCCATGAATTGAAGAGTGGAATTGTTTGCTGCTCTTCCCCTGCTAGCATGGCAGCTAGCAGATTTTCCTTTATTATCCATTCTTTCTACAAGCAGAGAGCAGCCAGATCCTTTTGCAGGTTACAGGCTGACACATCCAGTTTCTTCGAAAAAAACATTTAATAAGGACTTATAAACAGAAGCTACGTTTGTGTCTCCATGATTCACCCCCAGGACCAGGGCTTATAGACCACAGGGGAAGGGTGATTCAGAAAAGATGTGTAGGACAGTTGAAGTATGATAACATCAAGGTTGTTTGACCTAAGGGCCGGATTTACAGTAAGTGTTTGCACTTACACAAGGAGCAATTGATAAATTGGGAATCTCAGAGGTCTTCTGGGAGGCTCCAAAGCCAACACGGCCAAAACTGTGGATTAGCATCCAACATGGAGTTGCTTTAGCCTCCATAAGGACTTCTCCCAGTCTCTTCTGGGTTTCCCTTGCTTGCTTGAAATCTGATATTCAGACCAATTTTTGTGTTGGGTAATAGCACTACTGGAGTGCTGGGTAACACCTCAGCACATCCTCAGTCTCTCGCACCTCTGTGTCACTTGGCTCATCTGAGGCCATCTCCAGGTGAACCAAATATGTGAGGATATGAGAGACAGACTGTCCATCACTTTTTCTTGGAGGCTGACACCTGCTTCAAAGTGTGTGTGTGTGTGTGTGTGTGTGTGTGTGTGTGTGTGTGCACTTGCAGTCATATATGATTTGCAGTGGCCAGTCTGTGGATTTGGATTTCATTGTGGTGTGGAGAACGTTGTCTGTTTGCCAAGTGCATATGTGTGTTTGGGACTGTGTGTGCATCCCTCAAGCCCTGCCCTTGTTCTCAGACAAACCAAAGAAGAGGGGCTCAGGACATTTCTGGCCAGCAAGGCCCCACTCCAGGCCTGCTGCCCCACCCACCCGGCCATACCCCGCCCTGCCTGTATTGTAGTTTGTACCTTCATTTGTTCCTGAGCTCTTGTCCTGTGTTCAAGAAGAATGAGAATTCGCTGACAGTTGAAGGGTGAGGATGGGCAGAGAATAATTTTATTGAGTGATGGACCAGCTCTCAGCAGAGAGGGGATGGGGAGGGGGGTGGTTCCCCGCTCCCACAGTTGGGTGTTTTTTTTTCTCAGTGTGGCTGGATCCAGGGCTTTTTCTGGACTCAGAATAGGGAGTGCATGCCGATTGGTTTGTGAGTATGCAAAAAAGGTTAAAGTGAAAATACCACTCAAAGGTGGGTACGACAGTGTAGAAAACCAATTAGGAAAGGGTAGGTGTATGTAAAGTAGGTGAAGGGTGGGGATCAATCAGAGGAAAGCGTGCCAAATGGGAAGACAGGTTCTCAATCTGGTCTGAAGATTTAACTTGCAGCTTGGCTTTCAGGTTTTAAGTTGTCTTCAACTTGGAGGTGGGGTTTCACCAGGGACCCGCCCTATCTGCCTAGGCATTTGACTGCCTCCTGTAACTATCACCTGCTCCTGGGAGGTTTCCCTGGCAGTGCCCAATGCCCACATGGAGGGCCTTATTTACTGCAGCTTTTGAGAAAGGGCCCCTAACTTAGGTGTGTGACACCAGCACTGTGCGTGGTCTAGGAGTTAGTGAGGCATTATCCCCATGGTTTGTGGAGATATAAACCCTATTTCAATATTTTCAGAGCGGAAATCTCTCTGCCCAGTGGCCTGGACTGAAAGTGTGCCAGGTTGGCTGGGGGTGGGAGTTGGGAGATCCCATCCTGTATCTAAGAGTCTACATTGGGACTAGAAAGACCTCACTCTTGACGATAGTCAGCGAAGGCAGGGGTGCCTCAGCTACATGGATGGGGGAGAGTGATATCTGCAGGCCTACCAGGACACATCATCAGCCTGGGCCACCCTCAGGAGACAGCTCTTGTTGCCACACCCCCAGATGAGTGGAGAGGGCAAGCCCCAGGCTTTTTTAATGTGTGAAGATTTTTTTTATACTCTCTGTTGCTCAAGTGAGGAATTAAGATGGTAAATTGCTCAGGAGTACCCTGTCATGACCCAAGGGGTGTAGCTGCCTTCTGAAACAACTACTTAGTTACCCCGACCTTTTAAAAGAGAAAGACACTGTGATGTTTCTTCCAGAACTTTTTTTTTTTTTTTTTGAGACAGAGTCTTGCTCTGTCACCCAGGCTGGAGTGCAGTGGCCCGATCTTGGCTCACTGCAAGCTCTGCCTTCCGGGTTCATGCCATTCTGCTGCCTCACCTCCCGAGTAGCTGGGACTACAGGCATCCGCCACCACGCCCGGCTAATTTTTTGTATTTTTTTAGTAGAGACGGGGTTTTACCGTGTTAGCCAGGATGGTCTCAATCTCCTGACCTCGTGATATGGCCGCATCGGCCTCCCAAAGTGCTGGGATTACAGGGGTGAGCCACCGCGCCCGGCAATTTTTTTTTTTTTTTTTTTTTTTTAAGACAGCGTCTCTCTCTGTTGCCCAGGCTGGAGTGCAGCGGCACAATCTCGGCTCACTGCAACCTCCATCTCTCAGGTTCAAGTGATTCTCATGTCTTAGCCTTCCAAGTAGCTGGGATTACAGGCACCCACCACCACGCCTGGCGAAATTTTTGTATTTTTAGGTAGATACGGGGTTTCACCATGTTGGCCAGGCTGGTCTCAAACTCCTGACTTCAAGTGATCCATCTGCCTCAGCCTCCCAAAGTGCTGGGATTACAGGCGTGAGCCAACGCACCTGGCCAGTTCCTGACCTTGTCTTTACTTTTATTTTTTGTTGACGTATAAGAGTCTTACGCGTTACCATTTTGAAGGAGGATCAAAATTTTTAATTCGTTCATATGACAATATTTACTGCACACTCGTTGTGGGCCAGATGCTATAATGATGCTAGGAATAAAATGGTGATCAAAACTAAGTCCCTTTCCCCAAGAAGCAATCTGGGCAGAGGCAGAAAGTGAACAGAGATTTTAATACACAGTGGTAAGTGCTCTGGGAAGGCAAGTACAGGCTGACTGGACAAAAGACAGAGGCACTAAACCACACTTGGGATAGAAGATAAGGAAAACTTCCTGAAGGAGGTGACATCTAAGTTGAGACTTGAGGGAGGAATAGGAGGTAGCTAATGAAGAGTGGATAGGGAGGGTATTCCAGACAGAAGGAAGTGTTTACTTGGAGATTAGGGAATATGGCATTTTTTAAGAACCCTGGAAAGTGGGTAAACTGGCACTCTTGTTTTAAGATGAGAAAACCACAGTGGCTAACATAGGTTAATACCTAGCTCAGGGCAGAGCCAGGATTTGAATGCAGGCTATTCCAATGTATCCTGCTGCCTCATGGAGAGCACCCAGAATAGGAGTTACGTCAGGCATGTGATTACTATACTTGAAAAGGAAGAAAAAGAAACACGGAATCCACATGTTTATTTTGTTTTGTTTTCAGTGTTCTGAAAAGTCCACCCTAAAGTTCTGTGTATTCTGGTATTCACACCAGTAGAGAGACATATGATAGGAGGCAATCATTAAAGGATCTTCTCTTTTTAAATTTTTTCTTAATTTTTATTTATTTATTTATTTATTGAGACAAGGTTTCACTCTGTCACCCAGGCTGGAGTGCAGTGGCTTGATCTTGGCTCACTGCAGCCTCTACTTCCCAGGCTCAAGTGATCCTCCCACCTCAGCCTCCTGAGTAGCTGGGACTACAGGTGCAGGCCACCATGCCCAGGTAATTTATTTTATTTTATTTTTTTTGGTAGAGATGACATTTCACCATGTTGCCCAGGCTGGTTTGGAACTCCTAGGCTCAAACGATCCTCCTGCCTTAGCCTCCCAAAGTGCTAGGATTACAGGCGTGAGCCACCACACCTGGCCATATCTTCTATTAATATTTATTGAGTTTTTATGACCTATCGGGCACTATGTGAAATACTTCACATGTTGTGGCAGAGAATGGCCAGATGCTTAGTAATACCAGTTCCTCTTCCTGGGCACATGGGGCAACTATATTTCCCAGTCCCCCTTGCAGTTAAGTAGAATATGTGGCTGGCTTTTAAGCACTGTAAAGTTGAGTTGATGGGTGCCACTTCCAGGCCTGGCTGCTAACTCTGTCTTTGCTATTCTGCCAGCCATCTGGAGGTGTCCAGTGGAGGACTCCAAGGGAATAGAGGGAGCTTGGGCCCCTGAATCACCTCTTGGAGGGCAGCTGTGCAGAAAAGACACCCAGTTTGCATCAGCCTATTGATTGGGTGAGGAGTAAACCCTCTCAAGCCACTGAGATTTTGTGAAGTTTTTTTCATAGCAGCTAGTGTTAACTACCCTGAATAATCTGCAAACCTTATTTCATTTAATCCTTATAAACACTCAGTGAGATAAGCATCATTATCAGTGTTTTACAGATGGGAAAATGAGGTGAGAGACTGAGTCACTTGCCCATGTCATTCACTCAGTACGTAGCAGAGCTAGAAGCCTGTTCAACTGGTCTGTTTGACTCCAGAGCTCATGCTTTTACTACCATGTGAACAGTGCCCTTCTGAATCTTGGAAGAATTCTTGCAAGAGACAAATGTCAAGTGATTGAGAGAAAGAGAGAACGGGGTTGGAGAAAAAGACAAGGGGGAGGGCAAGAGAGGAGGAACAGCTGAGGGCTGAGAGTCTTGTAGATGGTAGAGGGACGTGGCTAGCCCAGGGAACCAGGGAACCTGCTGCGTGAACATCTGGCCCCTAGGGTTACCCTGGGAAATTTTGAGGGCAGATTTTGGGCTCTGGGTGGTTCCATTGTCTCATTTTCATTTGACTTTATCTTGGTGCTCAGGATGATGCTGTTAAATGGGCATGCCTGGGGAGTCGGATGGGCATCTGAGTTGGCAGGAAGTCTGTGCTTGAGTGTGCTAACAAGCGTAACTTGCAGTTTCTGTCCCTCAACTGGTGAGTAGGGAAGTTCCAGGACTTGTGATCACTGTGTCAGAGCTGCACATAACAAGGAGAGAGACACAGAGGGAACTGACCGTAAGAAGGAGACACAGAGAAGGAAACTGTGTGGGTAGGAAACTTGGTAGTTGTTGGGTCCAGGAGAATTGCAGATGCACAGTGAGGGGCTCGCCCAGCCCCAGCAACGGCCCTGGGAGAAGTCTCCAGTTGCCAAACCTAATGAGTGTCCACATCCCTTCACCTTCTCCCTGGCTCCCCCCTGGAGGAGCACCAAAGAGCTCAGAAGGGACAAAACCCCATTCTCAACATTCCTCTCGACTCTGTGTGGTGGCTCAGGCTTGAATGGGGAGTTCCTAGAACTTTAGCTGGGTGGGTGAAAGGCATCAGTGAAGGGTTTTAGGCAGGAGAGGGATATGGCAGATTTGCATTTTAAATAGAAGAGGAAATCTAGAGCATGAAGGTGAGTAGCCAGGGTAACTCACTAGTTAGTGACAGAATTAAAACTTTGGTCTCCAGATCGAAGCTCAACTCTCTGGCTCTCAAACCATAGCAGCTAAGTTTGTGGAACTGTGAAGACTGCGTGAGGTTGTCATGCCCATCAGTTTAGGGGGAAGGGGAAGAAGTACTGATCTCCCAGGTGAAGGAATGCCCATGCTAATTACTTTAAATCAGCAGAGCTGGGGCTAAGAGCCTTCTCATTCCTATAATCTGCCTGGGACACTGTTCTTGGTCATTGCCTTAGGTGGGAGGAGCCTGGTTACCTCAAAACCAACAGACCTACTTCTAGCCCCAGCTTGGTCACTACCAGTCGTGCACCCTGGAACCGGTCCCTTTGGCTCTATTAGCTGTTGGCAAGATTGGAATCTGGGCTGTTGTAAAGCCAGACACAAAGTGTTCTGGTAACTGATAATGGCTTCTCAAGTGAGAGTGAGAGGTGACAGCCTGCTGGCAGTCCTCAGAGCCCTCGCTTGCTCTCGGCACCTCCCCTGCCTGGGCTCCCACTTTGGCGGCATTTGAGGAGCCCTTCAGCCCCCCCACTGCACTGTGGGAGCCCCTTTCTGGGTTGGCCAAGGCTGGAGCCCACTCCCTCAGCTTGCAGGGAGGTGTGGAGGGAGAGGCTCCAGCGGCAACCGGGGCTGCGTGCGGCGCTTGCGGGCCAGCTGGAGTTCCGGGTGGGCGTGGGCTTGGCGGGCCCCGCACTCGGAACAGCCAGCCAGCCCTGCTGGCCCCGGGCAATGAGGGACTTAGCACCCGGGCCAGTGGCTGCGGAGGGTGTACTGGGTCCCCCAGCAGTGCCGGCCCACCGGCGCTGTGCTCGATTTCTTGCCGGGCCTTAGCTGCCTTCCCGCGGGGCAGGGCTCGGGACCTGCAGCCCGCCATGCCTGAGCCACCCACCCACTCCATGGGCTCCTCTGAGGCCCGAGCCTCCCCGTGGAGCACCACCCCCTGCTCCAAGGCGCCCAGTCCCATCGACCACCCAAGGGCTGAGGAATGCGAGCGCACGGCGCAGGACTGGCAGGCAGCTCCACCTGAAGCCCCGGTGCGGGATCCATTAGGTGAAGCCAGCTGGGCTCCTGAGTCTGGTGGGGACGCGGAGAGTCTTTATGTTTAGCTCAAGGTTTGTAAACACACCAATCAGCACCCCTGTGTTTAGCTCAAGGTTTGTGAGTGCACCAATCGACACTCTGTATCTAGCTGCTCTGGTGGGGCCTTGGAGAACCTTTGTGTCCATACTCTGTATCTAACTAATCTGATGGGGACGTGAAGAACATTTGTATCTAGCTCAGGGATTGTAAATTTACCAATCAGCACCCTGTCAAAACAGGCCACTTGGCTCTACCCATCAGCAGGATGTGGGTGGGGCCAGATAAGAGAATAAAAGCAGGCTGCCCGAGCCAGCGTTGGCAACCCGCTCGGGTCCCCTTCCACCCTGTGGAAGCTTTGTTCTTTCGCTCTTTGCAATAAGTCTTGCTACTGCTGACTCTTTGGGTCCGCGCTGCTTTTATGAGCTGTAACACCGCGAAGATCTGCAGCTTCACTCCTGAGCCCAGTGAGACCACAAGCCCACCAGGAGGAACGAACAACTCCAGATGCGCTGCCTTAAGAGCTGTAACACTCTCCGCAAAGCTCTGCAGCTTCACTCCTGAGCCAGCGAGACCACGAACCCATCAGAAGGAAGAAACTCCGAACACATCTGAGCATCAAAAGGGACAGACTCCAGACGCGCCACCTTAAAAGCTGTAACACTCACCGCGAGGGTCCGCAGCTTCATTCTTGAAGTCAGTGAGACCAAGAACCCACCAATTCCGGACACAAGAGGGAGTGAGGTCTGTAGAAACATTCAGCAAAAAGCACGCTGACTAGAGGGATCTAGCCCCTTTCTTTCATGGCCTGGATGTGTTTGGCCTCACTCTGGGTTGTATGTTGTGCTGAGGCCCACCACACCATCTTGGGACAACTGGGCCTTTGGTTGTACTTGGGACACCTCCCTCCCCCAGAATTATTTTAAGAAAATCACCTCGTCAGGAAGGCTGTGGACCTGGTCCATGAACTTAGTCCATTGTCATTGCTTTGTGAACTTGGGATGCAAGAAGTGAAGAACAGAACATTGACAGAAATATCTCGTGTCATTTCAAGACACAGTCGTGTCTTCCTTCTGCAGCCCAGATGGCCTTGACTTCTCCAGTTTTTAAGGGTGTCATTTCCCCTTAATTCTAAAATAACAACAGTTTGAACTCCCATCCCACAAATGCAGGAAGTCCATCTGCTCTTGGGTTTCCAATCCCAGAGCCATCCTAGAGGGCTTGCACCTCACCTCTGAGCGTCTCACGGTGGTGGCCTCTGAGCTGCAGCTGTTTGTTTGAAGTACGGACACAGGCCCAGCATCTTTGAAAAAATGCTATTGGAAGCTCTCAAATAACAAAAGTACCAAAGAGATAGTCTGTTACAACTGCTCAAAGCAGTAGTTTCAGAGCACCCACCAGTTCAGCTGCATTTTGCAAACCCTCCTTAAGCTTCTGGCAATGTTGGTGGCAGGGAGAGGCCAGTGAACTTCTTGCCTTTGGAAGTCTCTAGGCCTCTCTGAACACCCTCCTTGCCCATAAAGAGAGCAGAGGCCTTCCTCTTCCTGCCCAAAGACCACCTTGTTTTGTTTTGTTTTTAACTTTTTGCCTCAAGATGATTCACAGCAAGAACATCAATATCTTTCAAGAGAAATTCCTAGACCTATCCTGAAGGTACAACCTGGCTCCAATGGCTCACATAGGGCTAGTTGCCTTAAGCCTGCCTTGGCCTTAAATAACCCTGCAGGTGGGCCAGCAGCCGTGTGGCCCAGATAATGACAAATCAGGCCCAATCCAGGGCCTTACCTCGGTCATTCCTGCCCGGAAGGGAAGAGACTTGGTCTGCCTGCTCTTCCTGCGGTTGTCTGGGCTCCTGCCCTGCAGTGAACAATGACTGGACAAAGGATAATGATTTTCAGCCATGGGACAGCCTAAATTGAGACTTTGGGAAACAAATTCTGTAATTCCTCAGGGGCATGGTTCTGCTAAGGAGATACTCCACTGACATTGCTAAATGAAACCAGTAACACTTCAGTCTGAGGACTCTGTCTCGGACCCATCACAGATGTCTAGGATGTCTTCCAGAACAATGGGTATGCATGTACTTTATATTGACAAGACTAAGAAGGTTCACCCAATACAGGGAGACTCCCATGTGAAGACAAATCCTAATCACTCCTCTGTCATGCAGAAATGTCTTGTAAATCCTTGAATTACAGCTCCTTTGCTTCAAGGATTTAAAGCTCTATATTCTCCCCTGTCTCTGGCAGCAGCCCGAGTGCTCAATGGGAAGACCTAAGCCTGAGGTTCAAGCCCCAGGTCTGTCAGTTGCCATCCGTGACTTTGGGTAAGTCATGAATTCCCCAGGTCTCGGATTTCTTAGCTAAAAAACGAGGATAATACCACTTCTTCCAACCTGTCAGGGTTGTTGAGAGGATGAATGCAAGCAAACATTTGTTAAGTACACTTGCCTAGGCATGGTAGGATCCAAAAATTAGTAAGACACTGGCCTTATCAGACTCATGCGCTTTTAGGGTGTTTAGACTTCAATAGGTAACTTCATTATGATATGAGAAGAAACAGCTTAGATCTAAAGTGTTCTGTAAACTCTAAAGTGTTATATACTTGTGGATATTAGTACTGCTGTCATTTTTCCTATAAATTGGGTTTCCTTTCTGTTCACTGCTGGGCCAAACATGTCTTGAGCAGCTCACAGTGGGAAGCCTCTTCTCCCTGTCCCCCAGGCTCCAGGGGGTCTCCCTGCCCCCCATGGAACCCTAGAATCCTTTCAGGGGGCTCCTGTCATCTACCTACATGTTTCCATTCCACCACTCTTCCCAGGACACACTGGAAGTACAGTCTTTCCTCTTTCACATAATTAATGACAAATGTAAGAAATGGTGGGCTGGGCGTGGTGGCTCACGCCTGTAACCCCAGCACTTTGGGAGACCGAGGCAGGCAAATCACGAGGTCAGGAGATGGAGACCATCCTGGCTAATATAGTGAAATCCCATCTCTACCAAAAATACAAAAAAAAATAATTAGCTAGGCGTGGTGGCGTGCACCTGTAGTCTCAGCTATTTGGGAGGCTGAGGCAGGAGAATGGCGTGAACCCGGGAGGCGGAGCTTGCAGTGAGCTGAGATCGCGCCACTGCACTCCAGCCTGGGCGACAGAGCGAGACTCTCTGTCTCAAAAAAAAAAAAAAAAAAAATAGAAATGGTGGCCAGGTGCCTGGCTCACGCCTGTAATCCCAGCACTTTGGGAGGCTGAGGCAGGTGGAGCACGAGGTCAGGAGATCAAGACCATCCTGGCTAACACAATGAAACCCCGTCTCTACTAAAAATACAAAAAATTAGCCGGGCGTGGTGGTGGGCACCTGTAGTCCCAGTTATTCGGGAGGCTGAGGAAGGAGAATGGTGTGAACCCGGGAGGCAGAGCTTGCAGTGAGCGGAGATCGCTCCACTGCACTCCAGCCTGGGTGACAGAGCGAGACTCCGTCTCAAAAAAAAAAAAAAGAAAAGAAAAGAAATGGTAACTGGAGGCCAGCCAGGGATGACAAATGGTGAGCATGTACAAGTGCCCAGCAGAGGATGTGTGGGAGTGGGGCATGAAAAGAGAAGCTCTGCAGTCCTAAGGAGTTGTGAAGTTTTATAATTTATAAGAAAACGAAAGTCAGAGAGGAAGAGCTATCTCAAGAGCATAGCGGGTTCATACCTCGCCCCCACATTCATTCTGTGGCGATCTGACCTTTTGGGACAGAAGAACAAGACAGGTGATGTTCTTCTCACCTCCTTTTCCAAACTCTTTTAAACAGGCCAACATTTGGGTGATATTGGTGGGGGAGGTCCTGCTGGTATCTCTGATAGTCCGCAGCCAACCCCCTTTCTGTCTTCACTAACCTGTCCCTCTGTCCTACCCCAGCCTCTCTTTTCAGGACACCCCAAAATTCCAGTGGAAAATTACCAGGACCATGAAAAAAATTAGCATTTCTTCTGAGCATTCTTTGAGTTCTTGTATATGGTGAGGTCATCTTCACATTTTTAAAAATTTTAAACTAGCCAGGTGCGGTGGCTCACACCTGTGATCCCACTTTGGGAGGCCAAGGCGGGTGGATCATATGAGGTCAGGAGTTCAAGACCAGCCTGACCAACATCGTGAAACCCCGTATCTACTAATTACAAAAAAAAAAAAAATTAGCTGGGCATGGTGGCACATGCCTGTAATCGCAGCTACTTAAGAGGCTGAGGCAGGAGAATTGCTTGAACCCAGGAGGCGGAGATTGTAGTGAGCTGAGATTGCGCCATTGCACTCCAGCCTGGGCAACGAGTGAAACTCTGTCTCAAAAAAAATTTTTTTTAACTTTAATTAATAAATGTGTTCAAAACCCATACAAGTTATTTAAGTAAATACGTATTCAGAAATATACACAGTTTTGATCAACACTTGGTGCACAGTATGAAGTTTCAAAGAGGTGACTCATGTTTATTGTTGCACATTGTAGAAATAAATTCTCAGCCTAATGTTGGAAAGCTGAAGTAAATAGATGCTGAGATTCATGAAATTCTGGTAAGCAGTCACTACGTGTGTCTATACGTATACATTAACAGAAGGGTTTCCTTGTGATTACTGGGTGCTCACCCATCCACTGGTCCCAGGAGAGGCCTCCTGTCCACCCACAAAGCGAGATACTTATGGCGGTTGGTCACAGCCTCTTGCTATTACACCACTTTCTTAAGCCCCAGACTCAAGATTACTTCCCCCTCTCCACTCAATTCTTCTCCCTAGGCCAACTGTGGTCACCACATACTAAAGCATAAGTCAGTTGCACAGTTCTTCTGAGATCCCAATTTGGTGACAAAGTTCATAACTGCCACACCTTCTTCTTGGGTCAGTAGCTCAAATCTGCAAACATTCATTGAGTAGTCCCTGTGTCAGGCACTGTGCTAAGCACCTGGGGACAAAAACAGAAAGGATACTATGTTTGTCTTGGAGGATGTTTAGTTAGAAAGAGTGGGGGAAAGGAAATCTAAGGTTTATTGTTGTGCTGGGCAATTTGCTACTATGTACTTCCTCTGATTCTATGTGAGATAGGTCTTCTCTTCCCACTTTACAGAGGAGGAAACTGAGTCTTAGAAAGGTTATATGCTTTTCCCAAGGTAACTCCATAAGTGGTACAGCTGGCTTGTAAGCCCAGGTCTGACTCTAACTATTCCTGTTGACTGCTCCTGCCAGCCCCACGCACACCAGCCACAGACAAAAAGCAGTAAGTGGGACAATTCCAGCAGTAGGTCCAGTTGGAAGGCTGCCAGGGAAAGAACCAACTTTGGGGACTACTGGCAGGTGTTTGGGTGCTGCCAATTCCCCCTGTGGGAGGCTCACAGCCCAAGGCAGCCAGGGGTGGGGTCTGTGGGAATGAAAATTACTAGAAAGTGTAAGAAATGCCTTGACAGGGTTTGCATTTGGCACAGAGGATCTGCAGAAGACGTGGCTGGGCTGGTGGCTTCTGAAGCAGAGACTTTATCATCCCGCTCCCATCTGCTCACCCCAGCGCCTCCATCTTCCTGGAGAAATGCCCTCTGAGAGTGTTTATTCTTCAATAGCTGTTGATTTCCTGCCACATACCAGGCTTCATTCGAGGCAGACAAAGCAAACAAAACTCCTGCCACATGGAGTGTTCATTGCAGCAGGAGGAGACGGACACCAAGAGTCAATACATGAGAGAAATGTGTAGCATGTCAGACAGTGATACGCGCCACCGAGAACAATAAAGTAAGAAAGGGGTTTAGGGAGTAGGGAGGGAGGGCTGCCTTTTTGTTTTCCTTTTTTCCTTTTCCCTCCCCCACCTCCATTTTTTTTCCTTTTTTTCTTTAGGTTTTTATAGAGACAGGGTCTCCCTATGTTGCCCGAACTGGTCTTGAACTCCTGAGCTCAAGCGATCCACCTGCCTCAGCCTCCCAAAATGTTGAGATTACAGGCGTGAGCCACTGCGCCTGGCCTCCACCTCCATTTTAAATAGAGTGGGCAGCAGGCCTCCCCCAGTAGGTGACATTAGAATGAGGACCCAAGGGATGTGAGGAATGAACCGTGTGGATATCTGAACGAAGGGTGTTGTGGGCAAAGGGAACAGCAAGTGCCAGGCCTCCAGGTAAGGGCGTGCCCGGCCGGTGTGGGAGGGGTTGGCGCCCAGTGAGTGAGGCCCACCTAAGTGAGGGATGGCTCCTTCATGGGGCTCATGGCTACTGGCTGACAGACAGAGAGACAGACAGGGAACTCGAGAACTCTCAGCCTCCCCCACTTGTGGAGAACATTCCCTGGAGGAGAGTCGAGAGAGGCATGGACATAGGGCTCTTCTTCCTGCAGCTTCTGAGTAAATTATGATCCCCCTGCACACTCGGGCTTTAGCCCTCCTTACACTCACCCTCTCCTCTCTTTCTTCTTGATCCCCTTTTCTTTTTTCCTTTTAAAATTATTTCAGATTATTCTAGATTATTCCATCCCCCATAAATCTGACGTGCTTAGACACGGAGAAGGCAGGAGGGTTTTGGGGGTCAGGGTGAGGAGGGTTTTGGAGGTCAGGTGTATTTGTTTCCCAAGGCTATATCAAATTATCACACACTGGGTGGCTTAAGATGACGGAATGAATTCTCTCCTGGTTCTGGAGGGTCTGAAATCAGTTTCATTGGGCTGCAATCAAGGTACTGGCAGGGCTGGAATTTTCTAGGAAGGAATGTGTTCCTTGCCTCTTTTGGCTCCTGGTGGCTAGCCTTCGTGTGTGCGTGTGTGTGTGTGTGAGAGTGAAATCTTTCCCTGCCTCTTTTTTATACCAAAAATTTCTTAAGAGCTCCAATGCAATTGCATTTAGGGCTCACTTTGATCATCTAGGATAACCTCCCCATCTCAAGACCCAATATACAAAGACACTGTTCCCATATAAAGTAACACTCACAGGTTCAAGGGATTAGGTCTGGATATCTTTTGGGGGCCATTTTCATCCTACCACAGAGAGTGTTCCAGTTTCAACATTCATCTCTATATTCATTCAGTCATTCCCTATTCGACACAGGGTCACTGGCTATTTCCTCAGTGCAAGGCAGTGTGCAGGATGCTGGGAATACACGGTGAGCAAAGGAGAGCCCCCCAGGAGCTTGCGGTTTAGAAGGAGAGATGGATGTGAATCAAATAGTCACTCAAATAAAACGCAGAGTTGCGACTGTGGTAAGTGCCATGAGAGCCTGTATTTGGGGTTTTACCTGGTAAGGAGGCCAAGAAAGCTTCCAGGAGGAAGTACCCTTAAATCTGCATGAGTTGGGGTAACCTTCCCTTCAAAGAGGGAAGGAAGAGACTTCCAGGTGGAGGGGACAGATGGCAGAACGGAGGTATGGCTGGCTCTGGCAGGTTGTGCAGGGCTTGGGGTGGCCTGGGGTGGCGGGTGGGGTTTCAAAGATTGTGTGGAGACTATTGTGGTGTGCCTCCTCCCCACCCTCTACCCCAGTCCTCACCCTTGGCTACTGCTCTGTATCCAGGGCCTCTTCCTCCTATTCCTGACTCAGGCCCATCCCTCCACTTCCTGCTCAGTGTGGCTTGTGGTTTAATAAGGAAACTCCCCAGGCTCAGTGTTGGGGCAGACCGCTAAGCTTCAGTCAACAAAAACTTCTTATGAGCCTACCGTGTGGCACACATTGTGTTGGGAATGAGAAGGAATAGGATGAGGAAACAACATTATTCTGGTCCTTGGGGCAAGAGGCTGTATGGTGGAGGGGAAAACAGAGAGGGTTAAGTGCTGAATAGTCTGTTGACTTGGGTTGAATCTCACTTCTGCTACTTACTGGCTGTGTAATATTGGAAGAGTGACTTCACCTGTCTGTGCCTCAGTCAGCAAACATTTATCAGCTAATTCCAGTCAACAGACATTTAGTGTGCACCCACTGTGTGCTAGGCAGTGGGCCATATGCTGGCAACCCGCAGAGACATGTCTGAGTGGGAATAGAACTCTGAGGTTGGCTGTTTCCTTGCACAGGCCACCAGATGATTTCTGTATGGGGACCCCAGCCAGGCAAGCTCTCTAGGAGATGGCAGTCAGAGAGTGGGGACACAGTCCTGGGAGTGTGCAGCTATTTGGCCTTCTTTGTGCCTTCTCTTCCCCCCTTCTGCAGAATACTCAACACTGCTTATGGAGAACCTTCCTTGGTTAACACTAGACATTCTCATCTTCCTAAGTGCTCCAGCTTTGGGAAGAATGTGCTGTTTTGACCAACAGTTTCATGTGCATCTTTGTTGATCGGCCACTATTATTAGGTGCCTCTACTTGATGTTTTTTAATGGGAATGGCTCCAGTCTTTTCCACTGAGCCATTCCATATAAAGTCCAAGATGGAGTTGGACAGCATGTTCACTTACTGGACCATGCTTGGCAAATCACTTGACCTCTCTAAGCCTCCATTTCTATGATAAAGTGAGGGTATGAATCCCTGCCCTGCATCCTCCTAAGGCTTTTGTAAAAATCAAATGAGATTCTGCACCCAAGCTGTCTTTTCACCTCATTGTGGTGCCCAGCACAAAGCACTAGGGGTGGTAGTAAGGAGGGGTGAAAGCTTGAGCGTTAAATGGTTCATACTTGTGAAAATTGGCTGAGCCCCACCATACCTCATGGGTCCTTCTTTAAGGGTTGTTTTGTGGGCAGGTGGGTTAACCGTCCACAAATTGTTTGGTTTGGTTTTCTTTTCCAACCATAGTGGCTTTTGAGTCTTCAACTCCCTGCCTGCCCTCTTGCCTTTTTAACATCTGGGTGGGGGATTTTGCTCAGAGTGTGAAACAGACTTCTAGATCTCTCAGGTCCTCATAGGTGTGAGGTGCTGTTTTTGCCCTTGGGTGGCAAGGGTACTTTATGTGTGAGTGGAGGTGTCAGGCTATGGCCCCTCATTCCCTGGGACTGTTATGGTGGCCAGGGTCTCATAGTCTGTGTCTGAGAGTTCAGGCACCTATCAGAAATCACGGAACTGAATTCTGGGGTTGGCTCTGGAGCATGCTGAGTTGGGCACCCAGTTACTACACAACCAGGCCCAGCAGGGAAGGAAGGGGGGGGAACCAGAAATGCATGAACAAGACCAGTGAGAGCAGGGCTCACCTAGCAGCACAAAACCCTCATGGACAAATACGGCAAGGAAATTCACTGAAATTTTAAAAGTATGGTGTGCAAGGCACACACGGGAATGCAGTGGGGCTCACCAGTAGGGCTCTGATTCTTTATGCATAAAATGGGCATAATAATACTATGTAGAGTTATCGCAAAGGTTAAATGAAATAAGATATGTGAATGATGTTTAGGACAGTGCATGGTACCAAGTAAGTGTCCAACAAATGTTAGATATGAGAGATCCCGCTCAGAGTCTATAAACTGTTATCAGCCAAAGGGTTATTCCAGTACAAGCTATTTCCAAACACCCTTTGGCTGATAACAGTTATAAATTCTGAATAAAATATTTAAAACTTCAGCTATTAGAAGAGACAGATCTCCCGTGTACAAGAATTTCGTATCACTTACATAGATAATCTGCCATCAATGGTGGTGGAGGAAGAAAACCTTCTCACTCTTTAAGTGCAGGCTGCACATAGTGACTTCCTAAGTGCAGGCTGTACAGTGACTTCCTTCCAGAGAATACAGCATAGAAAGTGGAGAATGAATAACTTTATAGTGGAGAAGCCAACAAACAACGTCAGCCTGCTGAATAAGATGAAAATCAATAGCAGTAAGTTACGTTGATAGTATACACCCTTCATGTGATGTGACAAGAACGGCATTTAACCTCTGTAGTCTTCCTTCCCAGAACGCACAGCCCCAGATAACCATGAGGAAACCATAAAATGAACTCCAATAGTGGGAACTCCTACACTGCACTTGACCAGTATGCACCAGAACTGTCAAGGGCACCAAAACCCAGAGACTCACATCCAAAAGCATTCTATGGAGACATGGCAACTAATTATGACACCCTGGATCAGATGCTGGAGTAGAAAAAGGACATTAGGGCTGGGCGTGGTGGCCCATGACTGTAATCCCAGCACTATGGGAGGCCGAGGAGGGTGGATCACCTGAGGTCAGGAGTTCGAGGCCAGCCTGGCCGACATGGCGAAACCCCGTCTCTACTGAAAAATACAAAAATTAGCTGGGTGTGGTTGTGGGCGCCTGTAATCCCAGCTACTCAGGAGGCTGAGGCAGCAGAATAGCTTGAATCTGGGAGGCAGAGGTTGCAGTGAGCCAAGATCATGCTACTGCTCTCCAGACTGGGCGACAGAGCGAGACTCCATCTCAAAAAAAAAAAAAAAGGAAAAGAACGTTAGGTGAAAACTAAGGAAATGTGACTACAGTATGGACTTTATAGTCAGTGATGATATATCAATATTAAGTTCATTAATTGTAACAAAAGTACCACACTAATGTAAGATGTTAATAATGGATGTGGGGTATATGAGAACCCTCTGTAGTATGTTCTCTCTCTCTTTTTTTTTTTTTTGAGATGGAGTCTCACTCTGTCGCCCAGGCTGGAGGGCACTGGCGCAATCTCAGCTCACTGCAACCTCTGCCTCCCAGGTTCAAGCAATTCTCCTGCCTCAGCCTCCCCAGTAGCTGGGATTACAGGCATGCATCACCATGGCCAGCTAATTTTTGTATTTTCAGTAGAGACGGGGTTTCGCCATGTTGGCCAGGCTGGTCTCGAACTCCTGACCTCAAGTGATCCACCCACCTCGGCCTCCCAAAGTGCTGGGTTTACAGTCATGAGCCACTGCGCCCGGCCCACCTCATTTTTTTTTGAGACAGGGTCTCATTATGTTGCCCAGACTGGACTCAAACTCCTAGGCTCAAGCAATCCTCCTGCTTCGGTCTCCCAAGTAGCTGGAACTACAGAGGTGCACCACCACACCCAGCTGTTTTTGTTTTTGTAAACGTAAAACTGTTCTAAAAAAAAAAGTCTATTTAAAAATACGTATATACATGCATAGACGCATACCTCTATTTCTATCTATCATCTACCAATAAGGAACAGTAGTCATGGAAATGTGCTAACAATTGATGAATCTGTGTAAAGTGTATACAGGAGTTCTTTGTATTATTCTTGCAACCCCTTTGAAAGTTTGAAAATGTTTCAAAAAATATATAATCTGCAAAAACAAACAAATCCAACTATTTTGAAGGCACTAGAGCACAAGCAAGAGCCAACAGCGTTGAGAGGGTCGTGTTAAGTAGAAGGAGTAGAGCAAACTAGGTGAGGTCCCTGAGAGCTCACTCTGGTTCCGAGTGGCACTTAGGAGACCAGATTCCGCATGAGGGTGAGTGCTGCTGGGCTGAGAACTCAGTTGCAGGTCAGGGTTCCGAGCTGCCAGAGCAGCCGGAAATGGAGAAGGAAAGATCTCAGGAAGAAGGGAGTGGCAGATTAGGGAGCCCTAAAACTGCCTGCAGATTCCCTTTAAATCTTTTAACTGACTCTAATACCGTGCATTCGCCCACAGAGGATGAGCCTCCAAGGAAGCCAGCACAGAGCTGGGAGGCAAAGATTCAGTTTCCTTAATGGATGTCAGAATATCCCAGTACTCTTCTATTTCTTCTTTTATCTTTGTGAACTTGGCTTTTGGAAGAATTTGTCCATTTCATCCAAATTGGAATAATGTTCAAAATATATTGTCTAGGATCTGGAGTAATGTTGCCTTTTTTATTCATTCCCAATATTAGTAATTCACATTTTCTTTCTTTCTTTCTTTTCCTTCCTTCCTTCCTTCCCTTCTTTCCTTTTCTTTTCTTTTTTTTTTTTTTTTTCTTGAGAGGGAGTCTCTTGCTCTGTTGCTGAGGTTGGAGTGCAGTGGTGTAGTCTCAGGCTCACTGCAACCTCCGACTCGGGGTTCAAGCGATTCTCCCACCTCAGCCTCCTGAGTAGCTGGAATTACAGGCGCCTGCCAACATGTCCGGCTAATTTTTGTATTTTTAGTGGACACTGGGTTTCACCATGTTGGCCAGGCTGGTCTTGAACTCCTGACCTCAGGTGATCCGCCTGCCTCGGCCTCCCAAAGTGCTGGGATTATAGGTGTGAGCCACCATGCCTGGCCTCTTTCTTTTTCAAAATCAGTCTTGCTAATTTTTTTTTCAAATGTATTAATCTTTTTTAAAAAAACAAATTTTGGCTTTTTAAATTTTTAAATTCTGTTTTCTATTCTTAAACTTCTGCTCTTATCTTTGTCATATCCTTCTACTTTTTTTAGGTTTCAGGTGCTTTTTTTTAATCATCTTGAGATGGCAACTGAGATCACTGATTTTCAGCTTTTGTTCATCTCTAATTTATTATTTAAAGTTATAACTTTCCCTTTGGGCACTGTTTTAGTCACATCTCAGCAATTTTGTTAATGCTATATTTAAAATTGTGCCAGGCGAGGTGGCTCAGGCCTGTAATCCTGGCACTTTGGGAGCCTGAGGCAGGAAGATCACTTGAGCCAAGGAGTTTGAGACCAGCCTGGGAGAGATCCTGTCCCTACCAAAAAATTAAAAGTTAGCTGGGCATTGTGGCTTGGGCCTGTAGTCCCACCTACTCGGGGAGCTAAGGTGAGAGGATTGCTTGAGTCTAGAAGTTCGAGGTTACAGTGAGCTGTGATTGTGCCATTGTACTCCAGCCTTGGTGACAGAGGGAGACCTTGTCTCAAAAATAAATAAATAAAATATTTTAAAATTTCATTATGATTACTTGTGGCCTTTGGATTATTTAGAAGTACATTATTTGCTTCCCAGTCAGTTGAGGATTTTCCAATTATCTCTTTTTTATTAATTCATAGAATATGCTCTAAATGATCTAACTTTTGAAAGCCATTGAGGCTCAATTTATGTCCCGACATATGGTTCATTTTCGTCTTCGATATTTTTTGATGCTATTATAAATGGCATTGTTTTATACATTTCAATTTCCAATTATTTGTTGTTAGTATATAAAAATACAATTGTTTTTAAATATGGATCCTGCAACCTGTTACCTTGTCTGTTATCAGTTACAAGTTCCAGTAGCTTTTTTGGTAGATTCCATCAGGTTTCCTACCTAGATAATCATGTTACCTGAAAATAAAGTCAGTTTTACTTCTTCCTACCCAGCCTAGATGTTTTCTATTTCTTCTTCTGGCCTGATTGTTCTGGCTAGCACCTCTGGTAAAATGTTGAATAGAATTGGTGGGAGAGGACAACCTGTCCTGCTCCTGATCTTAGGGGGAAACATTCAGTCTTTTGCCATTAAGAATGATCATAGCTGGCCGGGCGCAGTGGCTCACGCCTGTAATCCCAGCACTTTGGGAGGCCGAGGCGGGTGGATCACGAGGTCAGGAGTTCAAGACCAGCCTGGCCAAGATGGTGAAACCCCATCTCTACTAAAAATACAAAAAGTAGCCAGGCATCGTGGCAGGCACCTGTAATCCCAGCTACTCAGGAGGCCGAGGCAGAGAATTGCTTGAACCTGGGAGGCATAGGCAGAGAATTGCTTGAACCCGGGAAGCAGAGGTTGCAGTGAGCCGAGATCGCACCACTGCACTCCAGCCTGGGCAACAAAGCGAGACTCTGTCCAAAAAAAAAAAAAAAAGAAGATTGATCATAGCTATAGGCTTTTTGTGGATTTTTAAAAATCAGATTGAAGTTGTTCCCTTCTATTTCTAGTTTGCCGAGAGATTTTAAAATCAGGAATGGGCCGGGCACGGTAGCTCACGCCTGTAATCCCAGCACTTTGGGAGGCTGAGGCGGGTGAATCACAATGTCAGGAGATCGAGACCATCCTGGCTAACACAGTGAAACCCTGTCTCTACTAAAAATACAAAAAATTAGCTGGGCATGGTGGTGGGCACCTGTAATTCCAGCTACTTGGGAGGCTGGGGCAGGAGAATCTCTTGAACCCGGGAGGCGGAGGTTGCAGTGAGCCCAGATCGTGCCATTGCACTCCAACCTGAGTGACAGAGCGAGACTCTGTCTCAAAAAAAAAAAAAAAAAAAAAAATCAGGAATGGATAAAATATATGTTAAATTTTGTCAAGTGCTTTTTCTGCATCCATTGAAATGATTACATGGTTTTCCTTTTTTAGTTAATTTTTTTTATTGTCTTGAGATGGCAACTGAGATCATTGATTTTCAGCTTGAATTTCAGGTGAATTATGCTGAGGGATTTTCCAATGTTCATTCAACCCTGAAGTCATGAGATAAACTTCGTTAGGTCATGATGTATTATCCTTTTAATATATTGCTAGATTCAATGCCCCAAAGTACTGTTTAAAATTTTTGCTCGTGATCATAAGCGATTTTGGCCTTTAGTTTAGTTTTGTTTTTTTTCTGTAAATGTCTTTGTCTGGTTTTAGCATCAGGGTAATGCTGGCCTCATAAAATGAGTTGAGATGTATTCCCTTTGCTTCAATTTTTTGAAAACGTTTGTGTAGACTTAGTATTATTTCTTTCTTAAATGTTTGGTGAAATTCACCAGTGAAGCCACTGGGGCCTGAAGTTTTCTTTGTGGGAAGGTTTTTAACTACAATAGGGCTGTTTAGGTTATCTTTCTTTTTGAACCAGCCATGGTAATTTGTGTTTTTCAGGAGAATTAATCTATTTCATGCAAGTTTTCAATTTTTTTTGACATAAAGTTGCTCATAATATTGCTTTATTATCCTTTCAATATCTGTAAAATCTGTTGAACGAGGTCACCTCACTCATTTCCAATACTGGAAATTTGTGGTATCTCTCTTTTTACCCTAATCCTTATAGCTACAGGTTTATCCATTTTATTAATCACACAGAACCAGCTCTTGATTGGCTTTCTGTATTTGTTTTATTTTGTTTTCTGTTTTATTAATATTAATTTCCCCATTGATCTTTGTTATTTTCTTTTTCTGCTTCTTTGGGGTTTAATTTTCTCTTAATTTTCTTAGTTTCTTTAGATGCAATATGAGCATATTTACTTAATACTTCTTTTTTTTTTTTTTTTGAGATGGAGTTTTGCTCTTGTTGCCCAGGCTGGAGTGCAGTGGTGCAATCTCAGCTCACCGCAATCTCCACCTCCCAGGTTCAAGTGATTTCTGCTGCCTCAGCCTCCCGAGTAGCTGGGATTACAGGCATGCGCCACCACGCCTGGCTAATTTTTGTATTTTTAGTAGAGATGGGATTTCTCCTTGTTGGTCAGGCTGGTCTCAAACTCCTGACCTCAGGTGATCTGCCTGTCTTGGCCTCCCAAAGTGCTGGAATTACAGGTGTGAGCCACCACGCCCAGTTGATACTTCTTTACTAGTATGGGCATTTAGCACTATGAATTTCCTCATAAATACTGCTTAACAGCATCCCACAAATTCTATGTTGTGTTTTCGTTTTAATTTATTTCAAAATACTTTGTAATTTCCCTTTCAATTTCTTATTGGGTCATGATCATGGGTCATTTAGAAGTATGGGACTCAGTTACCAGAACTTTGGGGATTTTCCAGGTACCTTTCTGGTATTAATTTCTAATTTAATTCCACTGTGGTCAGAGAACATATTTTGTATGACTTAAATCCTTCGGAACTTATTTAGATTTATTTTATGACCCAGAATATGGTCAGTCTTGGTAAATGCTTTGTGTATACTTGAAAAGATGGTGTATTCTGCCGTTGTTAGATGGAATGTTCTATAAATGTCAATCCAGTCAAATTGATTGATAGTACTATTCAAATGTACTATGTTCTCATTTATTTTCTACTTATTCTACCACTTATTGAGAGAAGTATATTGAAATCTCTGACAGTAATTGTCAATTTGTCTGTTTGTCCTTGCAACTCTAGCAACTTTTACTGTCTATATTTTAAAGGTGCATAAACACTTTAGAATTGTGTCCTCTTGATTAATTGATCCCTTTATAACTATAAAATGACCTTCTCTAGCTCTGATAATATCCTTTGCTCTAAAACCTACCTTGTCTGATAGTAACACAGTAACTCCAGTTTTCTCTTGACTAGTGTTAGTGTGGTTTACACTATCCTATCCTTTTACTTTTAACATGTAGTACCTTTATATTTAAAATAAATATTTTCCTTCCTTCCTTCCTTCTTTCCTTCCTTCCTTCCTTCCTTCCACCCTTCCTTCCTTTCTCTCTCTCTCTCTTTCTCTCTTTCTTTCGGTGGAGTCTCACTCTGTCGCCCAGGCTGGAGCACAGTGGCGCCATCTTGGCTCACTACAACCTCCGCCTTCTGGATTCAAGTGATTCTCCCGCCTCAACCTCCCAAGAAGCTGGTACTATAGGCGCAGGCCAGGGCCACCAAGCCTGGCTAATTTTTGTGTATTTAGTAGAGACAGGGTTTCACCATGTTGGCCAGGCTGCTCTCAAACTCCTGACCTCAGAAGACCCGCCCACCTCGGCCCCCCAAAGTGCTGGAATTACAGGCATGAGCCACGGTGTCCTTGTTGCTAATTTCCTGTTGGCAGCATAGAGTTGCATCTTGCTTTTTGGGTTGGGTTTAGGTCTATCGTCTTGCTATTTCTTTTCTCTTTGTCTCATCTGTTCTGTCTTCCTTTCCCATTTTTTCTGCCTTCTTTGGAGTATTTTAAAATCTCTTTTGTTGGCTTATTAGCTATAACTCTTGGCTGTTGGGGATCTTTTTTAATGGTTGCTTTTGGGTTTATGGCATACATCTTTAAGTTATCACAGCCTACTTCAACTGATATTATAGTCCTTTATGCCTAGTAGAAGAATTCTACAATAGCATACTTTCATTTTTATCCTTTTTAGCCTTTGTGCTGTTTTTATCATGCATTTTGCTATTACAAATATTCTAAACCCCACAATACGTTGTAACTGTTTTTGGTTTAACAGTCCCTTATCTTTGAAAGAGATTTAAATAATTTTTAAAAATTCATATATTTACCTATGTAGTCACTACCATTTCCAGTATTCTTTATTTATTTGTGTCACCCCAGGTTTCCATCTGGTATTCTTTTCCTTCTGCCTGAAGAATTTCCTTTTACTTTTTTTATGGTGTGGTTCCGCTGGTGGAAATTCTCTCAGCCTTTTTTTTTTTTTTTTTTTTTTTTGAGACGGAGTCTGGCTCTGCCACCCAGGCTGGAGTGCAGTGGTGCGATCTCGGCTCACTGCAAGCTCCGCCTCCCGGGTTCACGCCATTCTCCTGCCTCAGCCTCCTGAGTAGCTGGGACTACAGGCACCCGCCACCACGCCCGGCTAATTTTTTGTATTTTCAGTAGAGACGGGGTTTCACCGTGTTAGCCAGGATGGTCTGGATCTCCTGACCTCATGATCCGCCCGCCTCGGCCTTCTCTCAGCTTTTTTATGTCTGAAGATGTCTTTATTTTTGAGAGATGTTTTTGACGGGCATGGAATTCTAGATGGACTGTTTTCTCCTTCAAGTGCTTTGAAGATGTTGTTCCAGTCTTCTTGCTTCCATTGTTTCTGATGAGAAATCCGTATCTTAATTCTTCCTCTGTATGTAACATGTCTTTCTCTAGCTGCTTTTAAGATTTTCTCTTTAACATTGGTTTTTAGTAAATTGATTATAATCTGCCTCACTATAGTTTTCTGCATATTTTTGTGCTTTGGGGTTTGTTTTATTGTTTGCTTATTTGTTTGTTTGTTTGGTTGGTTTCTTGGACCTGTGGGTTTACAGTTTTCATTAAGTTTGAAAACTTTTTGGCTCTTATCCTTTCATATTTTTCTGTTTCCTCTCTCATTTGCTTTAGGGACTCTTTTAGGGAATCCAATATTAGGCTACTCGAAGTTGACTCACAGCTCACTGACACTATTTTCTTTTTCCTTTTCATTTTTGATGATTTTTTCCCCTGTGTTTCATTTTCTGAACTGCTGAGCAGTTTCTATTGCTAAGATTTCAAGCTCACTTAACTTCTGCAATGTCTACTCTGCTCTTAATCCAATCTGGTATATTTTTCATTTCTGGCATTGTAGTTTTCATCTGTAAATTAGAATTACATCTTTAAAAATATTCTTCCATGTCTGTACTTAGCTTTTTGAACATATGAAATACAGTTATAATAGCTGTTTTAACATCCTTCTCTGCTAATTCTAATATCTGTGTCAGTTCTGGGTTGGTTTCAATTGATTGATTATTTTGTCATTATGGGTCTTGTTTTCCTCTTTCTTTGTATGCCTGGTAATCTGTGGATATATGTTAAACATTGTAAATTTTACCTTGTTGGGTACTTGATATTGTGGTATTCCTGTAATTATTCTTGAACTATGTTTTGGGATGCAGCTAAGTATCTTGGAAACAGTTTGATCCTTTATGTCTTGCTTTTGTGATTTGTTAGGTAAATTTAAAGTACTGTTTAGCCTAGGGCTAGTTACTTCCCCCTACTGAGGCAAGATCATCCTGAATCCTCCACCTAATTCCCTGTGAATTGTAAGTTTCTCTAGTCTGTACAGTGGGAACAGGCACTATTCTCAATTCTGTTTGCATACCAGGTACTGTTCTCTCTCATTCTTTCAGAAGCTTCTTTGCCTGGCCTCAGATAGTTTTTTCTTATGAGTACAATCATCAGTATTCTGCTGAACACTTGAAGGAAACCCTCTTTAGATATCTGAAGTTCCCTTTCTGTTCATCTCTCTCCTCTGGTATTCTGTCCTATTAACCCCACCCACATAGGGGTTGAGTTCCCCCACTGACCTCCACCCCCACCCATGCTATGGCCTGGAAATTCTCTCAAGGCAATTCGTTGGGGGCAATCATATGGCTCTACTTATTTGTTTTCTGTCTCTAAGGGTCCCTGACTTTTTTTTGCCTGATGTTCAAAGTCTCAAAAACTATTGTTTCATACATTTTGTCCATTTGGGGAGGGCATGTTTCTGGTGGGAGGATAAATGCAGTTCCTGTAACTTCATCTTGGCCAGAAGAGGAAGTCCTTACTTTCATTTTTGAAATATATTTTTGCTGATTATAGACTTCTAGGTTGGAAGTTATTTTCCATTAGCACTTTATTTATTTTTATTTTTATTTTTTATGGGTACATAATAGGTGCATATATTTATGGGGTCTGAGATATTTTGATATAGCATGCAATGTGTAATAATCACATCGGGGTAAATGGTGTATTCATCACCTCGAGCATTATCCTTTGTGTTACAAAAAATCCAATCATACACTTTTAGTTATTTTAAAATGTACAATTAAATTATTATTGACTATAGTCACCCTGTTGTGATAGCAAATACTAGGTCTTATTCATTCTCTCTAACTATTTTTTTGTACCCATTAACCATCTGCACTCCTTCCCAACTCCACCCTTACTATCTTTCCCAGCCTCTGGTAAACATCCTTCTACTCTTATCTTCATGAGTTCAATTGTTTTAATTTTTGGCTCCCACAAGTAAGTGAAAACATGCAAAGTTTGTCTTTTTTGTGCATGGCTTATTTCACTTAATGACCTCTAGTCCTATCTATGTTGTTGTAGATAATAGGATCACATTCTTTTTTATGGCTGAATAGGACCCCGTTGTGTATATGCACCATATTTTCTTTACCCATTCATCTGCTGGTGAACACTCAGGTTGCCTCCAAATCTTGACTATTGTGAATAGTGCTACAGTAAACATGGGACTGCAGATATCTCTTTAAAATACTGATTTCCCTTCGGTTGAGTATGTACCCAGCAGTGAGATTGCTGAATTGCATGGCAACTCTATTTTTAGTTTTTTGAGGCACCTCTAAACTGTTTTCCAACACCAACAGTGTTGTCCAATATCAACAGTGCACAAAGGTTTCCTTTCTCCACACCCTTGCCAGCATTTGTTGTTGCCTGTCTTTTGGATAAAAGTCATTTTAACTGGAGTGAGATGATATCCCACTGTAGTTCTGATTTGCATTTCTCTGATGAACAATGATGTTGAGCACCTTCTCATATACCTGTTTTCCATTTGTATGTCTTCTTTTGAGAAATGTCTATTCAGAACTTTTGCCCGTTGTTACATTGGATTATTAGATTTTTTCTTACAGAGTTGTTTGAGCTCCTGATGTATTCTGGTTATTAATCCCTTATCAGATGGGTACTTTGCAAACATTTTCTTCCATGCTATTGGTTGTCACTTCACTTTGTTGATTGTTTTCTTTGCTGTGCAGAAGCTTTCTAACTTGATTTGATCCCATTTGTCCAATTTTGCTTTGGTTGTCTGTGCTTGCAGGGTATTACTCAAGATACCTTTGCCTACTCGAATGTCCTGGAGAGTTTCCCCAATGTTTTCTTGTAGTAGTGTCATAGTTTGAGGTCTTAGATTTAAGTTTTTAATCCATTTTGATTTGATGTTTGTGTATGGCAAGAGATAGGCATCTAGTTTCATTCTTCTGCATATGAATATCCAGTTTTTCCAGCACCATTTATTGAAGAGACTGTCCATTCCCCAATATATATTGTGATGGTTAATACTGAGTATCCACTTCATTGGATTGAAGGATGTGAAGTATTGTTCCTGGGTGTGTCTGTGAGCATGTTGCCAAAGGAGGTTAACATTTGAGTTAGTGGACTGGGAGAGGCAGACCCACCCTCAGTCTGGGTGGGTACCGTCTAATCAACAGCCAGTGTGGCTGGAATAAAGCAGGCAGGAGAAGATGCAAGAGCAGACTTGCTGAGTCTTCCAGTTTCCATCTTTCTCCCTTGCTGGATGCTTCCTGCCCTCGACCATCAGACTTCAGGTTATTCAGATTTTGGACTCTTGGACTCACACCATTGGTTTGCCAGGGGCTCTCGGACCTTTGGCCACAGACTAGACTGCACCATTGGCTTCCCTACTTTTGAGGTTTTGGGACTCAGACTGTCTTTCTTGCTCCTCAGCTTGCAGACGGCCTACTGTGGGACTTCACCTTGTGATCATGTGTGTCTATGCTCCTTAATCAACTCCCCTTCATATATACATCTATCCTGTTAGTTCTGTTCCTCTAGAGAACCCTGGCTAATACATACATTCTTGACATCTTCTTTGAAAATGAGTTCTCTATATGTATTGATTCTTTTTTCTGTCTTCTCTATTCTGTTCCATTGGTTTATGTGTCTGCTTTTATGCCAGTACCATGCTGTTTTGGTTATTATAGTTCTGTAGTATAACTTGAAGTCTGGTAATGTGATTCCTCCAGTTTTATTCTTTTTGCTCAGGATAGCTTTCGCTATTCCAGGTCTTTTGTGGTTCCATATAAATTTTAGGATTATTTTTTCCATTTCTGTGAAGAATGTCATAGGTATTTTGATAGAGATTGCATTTAATCTGTAGATTGCTTTGGGTACTATGGACATTTTAACAATACTGATGTTTCCAATCCATGAACATACACTATCTTTCCCCCCCGCTTTTTTTTGGTGTCCTCTTCAATTTTTTGCATCAGTGTTTTATAGTTTTCATTATAGAGAACTTTCACTTCTTTAAGTTAATTCCTAGGTATTTTATTTTATTTGTAGCTATTGTAAATGGGATTACTTTCTTGGTTTCTTTTTCAGGTTGCTTACCTTTGGCATATAGAAATGCTACTGATTTTTGTATGTTGATTTTGTATCCTGCAACTTTACTGAATTTATTTATCCATTCTAATAGTTTTGGTGGAGTCTTTAGGTTTTTCCAAATAAAAGATCATATTATCTGAAAACAAGGATAATTTGACTTCATTCTTTCCAATTTGGATGCCCTTTGTTTCTTTCTCTTGTCTTATTGCTCTAGCTAGGACTTCCAGTAGTATGTTAAATAATAGTGGTAAAAGTGGGCTTCCTTGTCATGTTCCAGATCTTAGAAGAAAGGCTTTCACTTGTTTCCCATTCAGTATGATATTGGCTGTGGATCTGTTACATATGTCTGTCAGCACTTTAAAGATATCATTCCACTGTCTGCTGGCTCCTATTGTTTCTGTTAAAACGTATATTAAGTTTCTAGGGCTTCTGTAACAAAGTGCCACTTGGGCCTCTCTAGAGGAACAGTCTTGGGCCTTTGGCTTAAACAACAGAAATTTATTTTCTCATAGTTCTAAAGTCCAAGGTCAAGGTGTTGGCAGGGTTGGTTTCTTCTGTGACTTCTCTCTTTGGCTATAGATGACCATCTTCTCCCTCCGTCTTCACACGATCTTCCCTCTGTGCAAGTTTGGGTCCAAATCTCCTCTTCTTATAGGGACACTAGTCATACTGAATTAGGGCCCACTTTAATGACCTCATTTTAACTTAATTACCTCTGACAAGACACAGTCTCCAAATATAGCCACATTCTGAGGTACGGGGGTTAGGATTTCAACATATGAATTTGGTAGGGGGTGGGAGATACACAGTTCAACCCATAACAAAAAGTCAGTCATCTTATTTTTGTTCTTTTAAGATTATTTATCTTTTTCTTCCTGGCTTTTTTTTAAAGATTTTATATTTGACTTTATCTTCAGCAGTTTTACTGTGATGTGCCAAGGGGTGTTTCTCTTTGCATTTTTCCCACTTGGAGTTTGTTAAGCTTCGTACAAATTGCACTCAGTCACTCATCGATTATTTGGAATTCTCTTGTGTTCAATGGCAGCTTTGTCTGTGCCCCATTCCTTGGATTTTGCACACTCTGGTTCCCTACAGCTGGCTCCTTGACTCTCCCACTTTGAAGGTTCATCCCCTTTTAAGTACTCTAGGGATAGGCAACACTAACAAACCCTAGCATTTGGAAGCACTCCCATCTTCTAAACAATGGGATTTTGCAATGATTTCTTATTTAAAATAAAATACGCTTTTCTTCATTTAAAAAGGGTGCACTTTATTAAATAAAATTTGGAAGTGCAGAGAGTTTACAAGAAGGAAAAATAAATCATTCATAGTCCCATGACATAACCACTGCTGCTAGTTTTTGTTTGTTGTTTTTTGAGATAGGGTCTCTCTATGTTTCCCAGGCTGGACTTGAACTCCTGAGCTCAAGTGATCCTCCTGCCTCAGCCTCCCAAGTAGCTGAAATTATAGACATGTTCTGCTGCTAGTATATTGATGTATTTTCTCCTTGTCTTTGTTTTAGACATAGATTAAGCTGTTTTTTAAAAATACAGTTTTATTCATGCCAGAAGTATAATTTTGAATTTGCCTTTTATATTTTATATTCTGTCATTGTATTTTTCTATATTATCAAAGGGTGGCTCGTATTTATTGAAAACTAAAAGTTGAACATTGTATTAATGTATTTTTTAGTAATTATCTTACTTAATCCTCACAAGTATAATATGAAGTAGATACTATCATTATCCTTACTTTACAGGCAGAAAGTTGAGGCTTAGACAGGTTAAACAATTTGTTTAGGAATTGGTAGAGCTGGTATTTCCAACCCAGATCCATTTGAGTTCAAAATACAGGCTTTTGACCACATTCTATACCACAGTAATTAAAAAAATTGTGACACAATTACATACAGTAAAATCCACAGATCCTAAATGTATAATTTGGTGACTCCTGACAAATGTATGTACCACACAACCACTTTTACTGTCTGCATAATTCTTCTCTGGGTCTTATTTGTGTTTTAATTTTGTTTTGACAGAGTCTTACTCCATTAGTCAGGCTGGAGTGCAGTGGCGCTATCTCAGCTCACTGCAAGCTCCACCTCCCAAGTTCAAGCGATTTTTGTGCCTCAGCCTCCTGAGAAGCTGGAATTATAGGCGCATGCCACCACACCTGGCTAATTTTTGTATTTTTAGTAGAGACGGGGTTTTGCCATGTTGGCCAGGATGGTCTTGAACTCCTGACCTCAAGCAATCCAACCGCCTCAGCCTCCCAAAGTGTTGGGATCATAGGCACGAGCCACAGTGCCAGGCCATTACTTGGATTTTCAGCTTAGTAAATAAGAGCAGAACCATCCGTGCAGCACCCAATCTGTCCTCCACTCCAGGCTGCCCTGAACATTGCTCCCTAACCTTTCCACAATTTGGCAACTAAAAGGTAAACACTTGTATGGGGAAAAGAGAGTCATGTTTCTGGGAAGCCAACCCTGACTGCTTGGCTTTCCTTCTATCTCATAATGGAGACATTGGATGCCTCCTCCAGCACACAGGGAACACCTTACAGATCAGCAGTGCTTCCCATTCATCTTTGCATCTTAAAAGCTAGCACAGCCTCGCACATACTGGAACCTAATAAGTAGTTGTTGAATAAATAAAATGAGTATCTCCTGTCTACTCTGCAGAAGGCACTGCTCTAAGTTTGTTCATATACGGTACCTTATTTAATGGCCATAGCAATCACTAGAGGCTGGCTTCATTATCTCCATTTTCACAGATGAGTAAATTAAGACTCAAAGAGGGAAGAAATTTGCCTGAAGCCACACCACTAATAAGCTGCAAAGTCAAGATTTGACTCCAGATACAATATTTCTTTCCATTATCATTGGAATGCTTAATACCATAGTGTCATGTGGCATGAAATTCAGACCATTTTCAAAACCAATGACGGGGGCTGTCCATGCTAGGGTTGAAAGCAGACATTGAGTTTCCAAGGCAAGGACTATGGGTCTGACATCCAGGGAGGGGAGACAAGGCTCTCCCCCTTTTTGCTCTGGTGCTATTGCTATCTCTGTCTTAGTCTTTGTAGAAGCCAGTGAGGTACAAAGAGAATTACAGCCTTTACATTCTAGGGCTTCTCGGAGAATGGGCCTGAGACCACCTGCATCGGAATCCCATGTATAAAAAATGCACATTCCTGAGCGTCCCTAGAGCTATTAAATGATATTTTCTAAGCATTGAACTCAGAATCTGCATTTTAACAATTTCACTAAGTGACTCTCATGAACACACACTCAAGTTTGAGAACCGTTTCCTTAGAAGAAAGGGTCCCTGATCAGAGCTGAAGGCCCAGTAGAAGCCCTTGTAATCAGGGACAGGTGTTCCCTGCTCGTATTTGGGTCGCCAAGGCATACAAGAACTGCCCAGCATGACTGAGAGAGGGCCCTGGGCCTATCACATGTAATGTGTCACATCTCTGACATTTAGAGCTGCTCCATGCTGTGATATCACCAAATCAACAGTCCCATCTCAATTGACATTTGTTGGAAGCAAGATGTCATATACTAATTACCAATGACACTGTCACTGGAAAACAGACCAGAGAAGTGGTGCTGGGTTCAAAGCACCAAGTTCATCTGTTTGCTTTTCCTTCATGCTCATAGAAATATTTTTTCATCTCCACCTGGCTTCTGGGTTGTGTCCTGGGGCCAGAGATTGATTGCAAGGGCAGAAAAGCTGGGTGGGGTGGGAAGTAAAGGAGGGAGGGAGAGACACTTAATAGCTTTTCAAGAGAGGAAGTAGGTGGGGCCTCATGTTTTATCAAAAAAACCACCAGAGAAAAATGTCAGCTGTGGTTGTTTTGGGTAGAAAAGACTCTGAGGTTAAACAATTAATGTTTCTTCTAACTTTTCTATATTTTCAGAATTTCTTCAGCAAACTTGAAACAATAGTACCTAACATTTATTGTGCATTTACTGTGTGTCAGACACTGTTCTAAGCACTTTATATAAATTAACTCATTTCATCCTCACAACCACACTATTTTAACTCCTTCTTACAGATGAGTACACTGAGGCACGGGGATGTTAAGTCATTTGCCCCGGCTACATAGCTAGTAAGCGGCAGAGGTAGGATCGAACAGTTTGGATCAGAGCCTGTGTGCTTAGCCTCTATACACTACTACATACCATCTGTATAATGTGAAAACATGAATGAAAAGAAAACCTTGTTATGTAACTACTCAGTCACCTGCGCACTGTCCGTTTGAAGTGGGGAGGTAATAACGCCAACATTCGCCATGTACCTACTTGGGTCCAGCTAATTTACCTCCATGCGCTCATTTGGAGCTACAGTCCTGAGTGGTAGCTACTCCCCACGTGGCTGCTGGGGACCCGAAAGCTGGCTAGTGTGACCTGAGATGTGCGCCTGTAGTCCCAGCTACTCGGGAGGCTGAGGCAGGAGAATGGCGTGAACCTGGGAGGCGGAGCTTGCAGTGAGCCGAGATCGCTCCACTGCACTCCAGCGTGGGCGACAGAGCAAGACTCCATCTCAAAAAAAAAACCACTGGATATCAAAGAGTTCATATTTATATATATATCCCATTCATTCTTTAATTGATTACATATCTAAATGACAATATTTTGGGTATTCCGGGTTAGAAAAAAGATATGACTAAGGCCAATTTCATTTAAAAAAATGTTTGTGACATGTAGGTACTACATTTTAAAAAATCACATATGCGGCTTGTGTTTGTGACTTGTGTTCCATTTCTAATGGGCAGTGTTGGCCTAGAAGGGAAGGGTTGCCCTCTGCCCCGCTTTTCATTGAGGACACTGAGTAGTTAAGTAACCTGCCAGGGTCCCACAGCCGCAAAGGGTGGAGGCAGGGCTGGCATCAAGCCTGTGACCCCACCTGGCCACACTGCTGTTCTTTCTGTCCTACTAAAGTCTTGAATCTGCACTGGTCAGACGAGCATATGTGCTTGAAACAAGTCATGAACAAGGAGTTTGCACCGATTCCCTGAATCAGACATGCATGGCACCTGCTGCTGTGAGGCACCAGCTCCCACTCGCAGGCTCTGTGCAGGGCATCCGCTGCGACGATGAGAGCCCACACACACTGAGTGCTCACCACCCACCAGGCATGGTGTGGGGCACTGCGTGTGTCTATCCTGATCTGATCCTCACACCGACCCGATCCAGCTGCAGTCAGGAGTTCTGGCTTATAGATGAGGCAACTGAGACTTGGAGAGATGAAATCCATTGCCCAGGGTTACACAGCCAGTGTTCAGTACAGCTGGGTTGCAATTCTGACTTTGCCTGAGCTGTCTTGCCAACCCTAGACTTAGTGGGGAGGGTGACATACATGCTCAGGTGACGCTAACACAGTGTAGAAAGTGACTGGTGATCTAGCACAGGGCCAGAGTGAAGCAGACAGGTGCCCCCTGAACTAGTAGTACTGATAAACAAGGGACACAAGAGAGCTAAACTAGAAAGTCAACGCATCCCAGATCAAATCTAGATACCAGCTGACTTTAGGCTGCAGAGAGACTCAACCACAACTTGGTCTACGTGCCAACAAGAGGAAGAAAGCCTCCGTGAGAGGGAGGGCCTCCAGTGCACAGTACAGGTCTCCCTAGGACTGAGAGGCAGAGCTTGAAGGTAGAGTGCATTTGGTGCTAGAATCCTTCTAGCAGGGTCTGGCCTGGTCAATCCTGGGATGAGGAAGGTCCTCTGGAAGGCTGAAGAGCCTACGAAGTTCGCACACCTCTCTTGTGAGGGTTTGTTGCACACTGGATGAGCAGCTGGCTTCCTGAGGGTTTGCTTCAGTGGCTGAGTCTGTCTGTAGCCTGAAGTGAGCTTCTCTCTGGGGACAGAATTTATTGCTCTGCTGACAAGAGCATTCTGGACTCTGTGGCCACCAGGTTTCTTGTGGCAAATGCATGCACGTCACTTTGGAGAATTCACTGGCCTTTGTCCTGGGCTCTCTCCCTTTGGCTTTGTCTCTGCAAATCTCAGACTATCTCCAGGTCTGGATCTTTCTAGAAAGGTTGCTTCTGTTTACCTGTTCCCCAGGTGCCACCACAGTAGCTCTGGACAGGTGGAGTCAAAAGTGGTGCTGAGCTGCAGGTGACCACCCAGGGTTTACTGCCCAGTTCCCTGGATGGATTCCAGTGGGTATTTGTGTGTATGTGTTGGTGGGGGCAGTGGAAGGGTTAATAATAGGAAGAATTCTTGCTTGTTTTGGGTTGGAGGAGGATAACTGTGTTTTTCTAAAAAGTTAAAAATCACTTTCTTATGCTTTTTGGTTTGATGTGAATCATTTCTTCAGGACCTTTTCATCTCAGAGAATTCACAAACTCAAGGTTCTGGGCTTGACAAGTGAGAAACAAACCCCAGGTTGAGGTTAAACTATCAAGATAACATCACTCCAGCCAGCCAGCTGCTTTCCTTGACGACACCCTCTACCGGAGGGTTTCTCAGCCTCAACATTTGTGACATTTTTGTCTGGGTAATTCTCGTGGAGGGCTGTCTTGTGCATTTTGGGGTTGTTAGCAGTGTCCTGGCCTCGATCCAATTGATGCCAGCGGCATTCCTCACCACTAGTTGTGACAACCAAAAATGTCTAGAGATTGCCAATGTGCCTTGATTGAGAACTGCTGCCCTATGTATTCAAAGGTTCTTTCCAATTTCAACCCAGAGCAACTGCTATGGAAGTTCAAAAGAGAGAAAGTGCTTTTATCTGAATGTTGGGGGCAGGGGGGCAAAAGAAGCATTCTTTCTTTTTTTTTTTTTTTTTGAGACGGAGTCTCACTCTGTCACCCAGGCTGGAGTGCAGTGGTGCAATCTTGGCTCACTGAAACCTCCGCCTTCCAGGTTTAAGCAATTCTCTGCCTCAGCCTTCCGAATAGCTGGGATTACAAGTGCACGCCACCACGCCCGGCTGATTTTTGTATTTTTAGTAGAGACGGGGTTTCACCATCTTGGCCAGCCTGGTCTTAAACTCCTGACCTCGTGATCCACCCATCTCAGCCTCCCAAAGTGCTGGGATTACAGGCGTGAGCCACCGCACCTGGCCAAAAAGCATTCATTTTAAAATTCATTTATATATTTCATACGTAGGGTGTGCGTGGTTCAGGGCACAGGGATGGAGTCAGACCTGAATTTAAATCCTGCTTCTCCCACTTATTAGTTATGCCATCTTCAACAAGTTACTTAACATCTCCTGGCCTTAGTTTCCTCATCTATAAAGTGGGAATAACAGCGGTACCTGGATGCAAAGATGAAAAGAGAGATTGAAAGGAAAGAGCTTGTAAGTGCTCAATACACATTGGGGATTATATCCTAAAAATCAGCCAAGGCCTCCCTGCTCCTCAAGATTTAGATAAGACAAGCTTGAATCTCAAGCCCCAGGCCTGATGTGGTCTGGAGCCCTGCTTGAGAGGAATTTCCAGGGGGATGTGTGGGCCACCCTGCCTTTACCTCTGGGCTTCTGTTTTCAAACGTGTGTTTTCTGTTCTGCTCCATGGGTAGCAATCTCAGTTCTTCCCTTGATTTCCACCAAAACCAAGACAGAAACCAAATTAAGAAGTAAAAATCCCCTTGCATAAAACATCCATGACTATGATCGATTTTGTGAAAATGAAGGGCTCAGAGGAGAGACCACATTGTGCCCTGATTGGACACACGATTGAATGCACACATTGATCTTCCTGGCTTGAGAATCACATCGGGCGCCTTGCCATGGGAGTCTCTTATTGAGGCATCATCCTAAGTGCCGTTTCTTCTTTATCTCTGTCTTCCTTCCTCACTGTTCAATCTTCTCCTCCATCTCTCTCTGTCTCCTTCTCACCATTCAGGTGTCATCTTACATCACCTTCTTAGATAGATCCCTGACCTCATTTTTAGAGGTGCCTCCCTTCTTTCCCATTAGCCACTTCCTTTTTATTTTTATTTTTTATTTTTTGAGACAAAAATAATTTTTTTGGTGGGGGGACAGAGCAAGACTGTCCCCCAGGCTGGAGTGCAGTGGCATGACCTCTGCTCACTGCAACCTCCACCTCCCAGGTTCAAGCAATTCTCCTGCCTCAGCCTCCCCAGTAGATGGGACTACAGGCATGCACCACCACGCCCAGCTAATATTTTTGTGTTTTTGGTAGAGAAGGGGTTTTGCCATGTTGGCCAGGCTGCTCTCGAACTCCTGACCTCAGGTGATCCGCCCACCTCAGCCTCCCAAACTGCTGGGATTACAGGCGTGAGCCACTGCGCCCGGCCCTAACATCCTTCTTCTATTCCAGCATCTGATCCAGGGTGTCATAATTAGTTGCCATGTCTCCATAGGCTCCTCTTGGCTGTGACAGTCTCTGGGTAGAGGTGAGCCACCGCGTCCGGCCAAAAATATTTTTAATTAATTAATTAATTTTTTTTGGCGGGGCGGGGGGTGTCTCTCTCTGTTGCCTAGGCTGGAGTGCAGTGGTGTGATCTCCGCTCACTGCAGCCTCAATCTCCTGGGCTCAAGTGATCCTCCCCCCTCAGCCTTCCAAGTACCTGAGACTACAGGCATACTCCACCACGCCTGGCTAGTTTTTGTATTTTTTGTAAAGACAGGGTTTTACCATCCTGAGCTCAAGGGATCCACCCGCCTCGACCTCCCAAAGTGCTGGGATTACAGGAAGCCACCACACCCAGCCCCACCAGCCACTTCCTATCATTTCATATCATTTTCTTTTCTTTCTTTCTTTCTTTCTTTTTTTTTTTTTTTTGAGGTGGAGTTTTGTTCTTGTTGCCTAGGCTGGAGTGATGCCACAATCTCGGCTCACTGCAACCTCCACCTCCCGGGTTCAAGCAATTCTCCTGCCTCAACCTCCCGAGTAGCTAGGATTACAGGCATGTGCTACCACACCTGGCTAATTTTTGTATTTTTTGTAGAGACAGGGTTTCTCCATGTTGGTCGGGCTGGTCTCGAACTCCTGGCCTCAGGTGATCCGCCTGCCCCGGCCTCCCAAAGTGCTGGTGTTACAGGCTTGAGCCACCGCACCCGGCCGTCATTTTATTTTCTTTATGACACTTAATACTACAGAAATCATCAGTTTACTTACTTGTTCAGTTGTCTGTTGCCTGTCTCCCATTCCTTACTAGAATGTAAGCTTCTTGAGAGCAGGGCTCTTGTCTATGTGCACAGCACAGCACTCTTGTATCCAGAACCCCAGCTGCCTTGGAGCCAGTCTTCCTACTATAAGGTTAGGTCTGCAAATGGCGTCATGTTGACCTGATCCCTGTACCTTCATATATCCTGCACAGGATTGAACAGGGATGTCTAACGCTCAGCTTTAAATGATTTGCCAACATTGCCACCCCCTACCTGCCCCTTCACCCCCCGACCACTTGATCCCTGCCTTCTGACTCTAGATGTTCAGTAAAGTGTGCTCTTCACTCTGGCGTGTGGAGGCTGGGGTGTTGTCTAATGGGGTACATGGTGTACAGAAGGAGCGGCATGAATAGGATGCAGATATAGAGGTAAAACTGGGAAACTTTAAGACCCCTCCGGAATCCTTAAGGTTTGGAGAGTGCCCCTAGCTCTGCCCATACATGGGCTGGATCGCTCTGAGAGCAGGATGCCCTAAGGACATCTAAGAAGCTGACATATGGTGACATCTTTCCTCAAGAGGATGCTCAGGGCCAAAGCCACACAGTGGGAATATAGTCATGGGGGACGAGGACTTGCAGGAGGGTTGACTTAGCTGTCATGGGGCCCTGGTTTGCGGTTGTTCTAGCCTGGGGGATTCAGGCTGGCCAGCATGGTGGAGTGGGTGGAGTGAGTGGAGTGAGCAGGAGAGCCTTTCCTAGGTCTGCCACTAGGTGGCGCCCTAAGCCAAGTCCTGGAAGGCTAAGCAAGCCAAAGGGAGCTTGTTCTCCAAGCCACTTCCCAGGAAATGACTCAGGGGGGATGACTTCATCAGTGGGATGTTCTTCACTGGGATCAGTGGGGTGAGACCCAGGAGCACTGCATCACCCCATTAAAGCTGAGCTGTTCTCAGGGTGATGAGTGCCATTGGGGGTGGTCTTTTGACTCATTCATTCTTTCTCTCATTCTACATTCATCAGCATTCTAATGAGGTACTGCAAGGTACAAGGCATTGCACCTGTTCTAGAGCGACAAGGCAAGCATTTCCTCAAAGAGACTCCTGTCCTGCTCCCTCTTGAGTTTGGGCAGTGTAGTGGGAGGATGGGAGTGAGGTCCAAAAACTGGTGTCTGAGCATGGAAAATGGGGGTGTGGATGATGCAATGGGGAACACCCTGGCTCAGCCCAAACCCACAGCTCTATCTCAAACTCACTCCCAGAGTGCTGGGATTACAGGTGTGAGCCACTGCACTCGGCATAAGCTTTTTTAAGCGCATATCTTATCTCCCCCACTAGCTGAATGGTAAAACAGGCCAGGTCATATCACATTCACCACTATCTCACCAGCTCCCACCCAGCCGTGCTTCCCCAGGATTTAGCACAGTACCTTGGACATTAGGATGTTCAGTGAAGATCTGATCATGATGATGATGATGATGATGATGATGATGATGATGATGATGAATCCGTGGGCCATCTGCAAGGAGGTAGTAGGAATGTGACAGAGGCCCTGCCTGGCAAGGGCTGAATATCACAGATATTACTAAAGATGTCAAAGGTCACTGAGGCAGGGAGGTGCATGACACTGAACATGAGAGTAGCCAGCAGCTTTTTGGAAGCAGCCATGTCTCAGGCAGCTGGCACAGAGAGGCCTCCCAGCAAAGCCATCACCACCCTCATTTTTATTCTTGTGCCTCTATATTGCAGATGAACATGGATTACATTTATTGTAACACTATGGGTCCCACTAGACAAAGACTTCACACTCATCTCCTACTGGTTTGAAATCTCCTGGTGATAGAAGGATACAAGACAATATTATTCCCTGAGCACAAGAATAGGTAATGATCTTCATTGCTTATTCCCTCATGTATTCATTCATTTACTGAGTGTCTACTACACGTCCTCCACTGTGATAGGTAGATACTTAGATGCCATAATGAGCAGAAACAGATATGGCCTGTCTTCACTGAGTTTAAAATCTTGACAGACATCAACCAAATTATCATACAAATATAAAATGATGGCTGTGATTAGTGCTACAGATAGGCACATGGCGCAGGAAAGCATGTCACAGGAGGATTTAGCCAGGAAACAAGCCCCTCCTTCACCAATATGGAAGGAAACCAGGAAACCAGTATAGAAACAGATATCCAAGCAGATGTCCAAGCAGAGCTGAGACCCCCTGCTTCCACGCTGACTTCTGTCCCCCTAGAGGTTAATTGACTGCTTTGCATTTGGATTTGGGAGCTGTCATGACCTGAGGGGCAGCTAGAAACACAAGCTCTATCACATTATGGATTTGATCAAATAGCAAGATACCCAATGGCCCAATGGACTGTCCAGGATTCACTAATCACCTATTCTATCATTTCAAGTGGAAAGAAATTCGCCCTAATTTCAGGGAGATGAGAAAATAGGGAGTTAGAGTTTTAGGATGGCCAGCGCATCCAGGTTTGCCCGGGGCTTTCCCAGTTTTAGCACTAAAAGTCCCACATTCTGGGACTGTTCTGGTTTTAGAACTGAAAGTTCTGCATCCTGGAAACTCCCTCAGTTCTGGGCAAACCAGGACATCAGTCATCTTAACGCTAATCTCTGCCCAACACTGCTTCTCAGTTTCCTCTTCTGTAAGATGAAGAAGTTTGATTAGAACAAGCGTTCTTGGTCCTGGCTGCTAATTAGAATAGGCAAGGAGTCTCTTTTAACAATACCAATACTCAGGCTTTCCTGCCAGAGATTTGGTTGGTATGAGACCCAGGTGTCAGTGATTTGTAAAACTTCCCATTGATGGTTTTGATATGAGGCCAGGAATGAAAACCATTGCTCTAGCTAATCTAAAGTTTTTTTGTGGCACTCTGATTCTCATCTAGGGTGAGTTAGTTATATGTGCATCCATTAATTCATTTTTCCCCAAGCTCCCAGGGCTGGCTGGAGTTGCCATTGTTGTTCCTATTGATGACATAATATACTTCTTTCTCTCCTTCATTCTCTCCTTTGCTGCTGTCTCCTCCCTACCTCTTATTGGCCTGAGCTTCTAAGGCTGCTTGTCTCCGACCGTGATCACGAGGTCAGGATCACTTGGTGATGTCATTTCCTCTGTCTCACCTCTGTCCTGGCTTTCCCCTTCCCCAGTCTCTCTGACCTCCACTAGAGAAGCTAAAAGAGATCTCTGGGGAAAGAGCCAGGTGCTGTCCCAGAGAGTCCCTTCCTCGTCCTTCTTTCCGTGAAGGCCATATCCAGTGTATGCCTTTCCTAGGTGGGTTGTATTTGGGGGTCAGAGGCTGACCCTCCTTCACACACTGTTAGGGACTGGCACAGTCCATGCGAGGACCCAAGTCTGCCTAATATTCTGGGATCCAGCCTTGAAATCTCCACAGTGCTGATGGCAAAGGGGCTTGGTATGTGGAAGAAAGTTCCAAGAACTACAGTGCTCCAAGACCTCCACCAAAAACAGACCTCTTCCTTTACATGAGATAGAAATGGCATTTTCATCCTCTCAGTTATCTAGTAAAACCTTTTGGAGTCATCTTAACATCATTTCCCTCATGTGATCTTGCAGCAAGTCAGGTCTACTTCTAAAACAGATCCATGGCTACCAGCCTGGCCAAAGTCCCCATCATCTCTCACCTAGATAATAACAGGGACCTCTAAACTGCTCTCCCTGCCTTTCTCTGGTTTACCTCTGAGATATCTTTTAAAAATGTAAATCAGGTAGTGCCATCAATGTAATTCACCATATCAATATACTAAAAAAAATGATCATCTCAATAGGTGCAGAGAAAGCATTTGACATATTTTAACTTCTATTTATGGTTTAAAACTCTTGGGAAACTATGAACTTCCTCAACTTGATAAGGGACATTGATATCTATAGCTAACATATCTCTTAATGGTGAAAGACTAACGATTTCTCCCAAAAATCAAGAGCAAGGCAAAGATGCCTGTTTTCATCATTTTATTCAACATTGTACTAAAACCCTAGCAAGAAATAATTACATTTCAACTCAATATTGTACTAGAACAGCAAAGTACTAAAAACAAATAAAAGGTATATATATTGGAAAGAAACAGATAAAACTGCTTTCACAAACAACATCTGCATTAAAAAAAAAACTCAAGGAATTGAACAAAATATCTCATAAGTAATTTTAGCAAGGCCGAAGTGTCCAAAGTCAATACGCAAAAATCAATTGCATTTCTAGCAATGAACAATTGGAAATAGATATTTTTAAAAATACTATATATAGTCACATTGACAAACATGACATCTTTAGGGATAAATTTAACAGAATGTATGTAAGAGCTATACACTGCAAACTACAAAATGTTTCTGAGAGAAATTAAAGAACACCTAAAAAAAATAGAGAGATATACTATGTTCATGGATCATAAGACTCAATATTGTTTATTTCTCCCCATATTGATCTACAGAGTTTTGCAATCCTAATCAAAATTCTATTTGGCCTTTTTTTGTAGACATTAACAAGCTTCATTCCAGGTTGGTGGCTCATTCCTGTAATCCTTAGCACTTACTAAAATGTGGATTCCTTATTAGAATCCTCATGTATTATTCACCAGAATTTGTTCCTAACTTTTCACAAGATTTGTTTGGAACCCCCAGCACCTAGCCCAGACCTTGCATATAGGAGGCTCTCAAAATTATTTGTGGAAAATTTCCCCAGAAGGTTAACAGAGTTACCATATGACCCAGCAATTCCACTCCTATGGATATCCCCAAAAGAACTGAAAATATAAGCTCATGCAAAAACTTGCACATCAGTTGATAGCACCATTATTCATGATAGCCCAAAAGGGGAAACAATTCAAACGGCTATCACCTGATGAATAGATAAATAAAATGTGGCATATCCACACAATGGAGTGTTATCCACAGTTATTCACAATACAAAGAAATGAAGTACTGATACAAGCGTCAAGTCCAAGGGAAAAATTCTGCTTCACCCTCTGAAGTTTTGTTGAAAATCACTCACATAAGGCAGATTAATAGGAGAAAAGGTACATAAATTTATTTGACCATAGTTTTAGGTGACACAGGAGCTTTCAGAATGAAGACCCAAAGATACAGGGGAAGTTGTCCATTTTTATGCTTAGGTTCAACAAAGTATAGACAGCTGTGTGGAGAAATACGATTGGACAAAAAGGGTCTGATCTAATGCTAACAGAGTGAGTATGGAAATCCAGCAAGGCTGTCCATCTAGATTTTTGTTGACCCCTTTGAGCATGTGTTCCTTCCTTCTGGGTATGAGGGTCTAATGAACTACAGTCAGGTAAGGTAGGTCACATCATGTTTTATGGCCAGTTTTTACACTGGCGGTGTGGAGTTGGGGAGAGAGATTGATACTTTTAGGTTTTATGGCTGGCTTTGGAGAAAAGGAGTTTGGGTTTCTATGACCCACCTTGGAAAAGAGGGATTCCAGTCTCAACGGCTGGCCTCGGGGGAGAATGGGACTGAGAAACAGGAGGGCAGGAGCAGGTCAGAGAAAAACTTTTGTTTCTGAGGTCTTCATTTTGAGGTGTTGTTTTCTGAGTCCCAACATAAGCCACAGCGCAGATGGACCTTGAAAATATGATGATGAATGAAAGGAGCCAGCCACAGAAGACCACACACTGCATGAGTCCACTTACAGGAAATGACCAGAATAGACACATCTACAGGCACAGAAAGTAGATTCGTGGTTGCCTTAGGGCTTGGGGGAGGGAAGCTGGGGAAGTAAGTGCTAAAGAGTAGGGTATTTCTTTTGGGAATGATGAAAATGTTCTAACGTTTATTGTGATGGTCAATCTTACACAACCCTGAATATACCAAAAACCATCTAATTGTATACTTTAAATGGGTGAACAGTATGGTATGTAAATTCTATCTCAATACAGCTGTTAAAATTTTATGGTGAAATGAATGAATGGATCTGCCCCTTCCGATAGCCTCCTGGCTCTAGAGGAGACACAGCAGGTGGCCCTTGTCCCATGAGCTGGTCTCTGGACCTAGAAATGCACAATTGACAGGTGGCAACTCATACTATTTGTGAACATGCACCCTCCCCGTCTAGGACCTCAGCTCCCTGGCCTTTGGAAGTGCTGGGAGATGGTGGGAAGGGGTCTTGGAGGGCCAGACAAGGTCCAGGCTCAGGAAGCACTTCTGGCAATGTTCTCCCAGCTCTCTGCATCTAGAACAAAGCATTCTTAGTCAGCTGGGCTCACCCCACCCGGAGTAATTACCCTCGTTAGCCCCTCTGTGTGTGTCATCTGCACACATAGGTAATTAAACTGAACGAGGGGCCGTGACTCAGCTGCTCTGCCTCACACCAGCCCTGGCCCAGTGCAGACTGGGAGAACTGGCTCTGCCAGGCACTGGGGGTGAGTGGACAGCCAGGGCACCTGGTGCTGAGCAGAGGATCAGGTGGTGGCACAGGAGGACTCTCTGGTCTTCCTTACTCCTCATCCCAAAACTGGAACCTAGAGCAAGTGGGCCCCAGGTGGGTCCAGGCAGGGCTGAAGATGGTTGGCTGGTTAAACTTGGGGTTAGCCTTGAGGCTCTGAACTCACTCCTATGCCACAGCCTGTGGTTCAGTGTTGAACCAAAGGAGCCTGGGGCAGCCTCAGACTCTGAGGCATGGGCTGAGGCCTAGGAGGACAGACCAAGCACAGGAAGTGGGTCTTTAGAATCCTGGCCTCTCAAATACCCTGCCGCAAGATGTCAGAGGGCTGCTCTGGAATCAGAAGTTTAAGGGAACAACTGCTCAGAAGAGAGGATCTCTGAAATTCCTTCCAGTTCCCATGTTCTGCGCGTCCGATTGTTAATATCCGCTGCACACTTACTCTGTGTGACGGCTCTACCCACACGATCTCATTTCATACCCACATCCCTATACGGCAGATCCTGTTCTCCTGCCTGGATTACAGAGGAGGACATGGAGGATTGAGAAGTCAATTATTTGCTCCAAGTCACAGGCCTTCCATGTAGTGGAGCCTGTATTCAAATCCAGGTCTGCCTGACTCAGAGACCAAGGTCTCAACCATCCATTGCCCATACTCCTTAAATCTATAATTCTAGAAATCCAGGCTCTCCTTCTAGTTAACTTTGAAGAATGTATGTGTGATGTAAGAACCATCTCATGAGAGTAGAGCTGTGATTAATTCAATTAGGGTTATTTTATAGGACACAGTAATTTTTCTTTGTGATGAGAAGACCACAAGAAGCAATTAAGTTATTAAGCAACTATTGTTTGGTACATAGTAGAGATTCAATAAAGGCTTATTTATTGAATAACTGATTGCCTAGATTTGTGCTAGATCTTCTGAGGGGATGCAAAAGAATTCTATCAATCAATTAGTAAGTATTTATTGAGTGCATGGTATAGGCAAAGTACTGGTCAATGTTAGCAGGCAGACCAGACTTCTTTGGATTTTTAAATTTTGGCAATTAATTCAGATAATAATACTGTCCAAATGGAATGAAATACATCTGTTAATCCAGCTTGACAGCAGCGAGTTTGCAACATTTGTTTTAGACTTTCTTAATATGTTAAAAAAGTCCAACACCCAAGGCTATTGAAAAAATTACGATTAAGAGAAAAATTGTATAATAAAGTCGTATAATGCCATACACTATCATTTTCATTGATGTTATCTCATTTAATCTTTACAACCTGAGATAGATGTCATTCTCCCTGTTTTGTGGATAAAGAGACTGAGATTCAGATAGTAAGCTTGTCAGGAATGTAATCAGAATTCCAACAGAAAGTAGAGGAACCTGTACACTCTACAGCTTTTAAAAAAGCCGTAATCTGGTCTACACTCTGAACTATGATGTTATATTGCCTTAAAGAAAGGGAGCTGTTTCTAACAGAAAACCAACCATAGAGAAAATTGGAAGCTTGTCTACACAAAGCATCGTCCAGTAACCCTCTCCAAGAATCTCTGTGTGGATAGACCTTATTGAAAGCTTCATGAATTCTCTGGAGGACAGAATAACAAAAACATTTCCACATCTGAAGGTGATGTTGAGTTGGGAGATTGGATAGAGAGCACAGAGCAACATTAAAAGCAGTTTCAGAAGTCAGACGGATTTGGGATGCTAACCCCATTTCCAGCACTTGTCAGCTATGTGGTCTTGGGCAAATTACTTACCCCATGTTTTTTCTTTTTTCTTTCTTTCTTTCTTTCTTTCTTTTTTTTTTTTTTTTTTGAGGTGAAGTCTCACTTTGTCACCCAGGCTGGAGTGCAGTGGGCACCATCTTGGCTCACTACAACCTTCACCTCCTGGGTTCAAGTGATTCTCATGCCTCAACCTCCCGAGTAGTGGAATTACAGGCGTATGCCGCCAGGCCTGTCTAATTTTTGTTTTTTTAGTAGAGACGGGGTTTTGCCATGTTGGCCAGGCTGGTCTCGAGCTCTTGACTTCAGGTGATCCACCCGCCTCGGCCTCCAAAATGCTGGGATTACAGGTGTGAGCTACTTACCCTTTTTGAGCCTTGGTTTCTTCTTCATCTGTAAAATGGGAATAAAAATATCTATGCATGAGGTTGCTATGAAGACACTGCACATAAAGAGGCTCCAATAAACATTGGCAATCATTTTTCTAGCAGCAAGGCCCCAAGGTGAGGAGGGCAAGCATAAAGGGGCATGAGGTTCCTCACTGAAGACGAAGGTCATGAGGACACGCACAGAGTCAGGCTGTTCCTGCTCTGTTTTAGTGGCCTGAGCAGTATTTGGAACATGACAGTTACACTGTAAGTAATTGTTTATGGAATGTGTAAAAACTAAGCAGGATTCAGGGGCTGAGGGAGTGGGTTTTGATTTGCTAAAATGGAAGGGAGAACATCTCTGCAAAATGCTTCATGACTCTCTTTAGGGCCACAGGTCCTGAGCCAGACATTCTGACTCAAGGAAGGGGTCCTGGCATTATGATAGACAATTTTGAATGCAGCCTACTCGTGGGCGGTCCAAGGTGGCCATAGCCCAAAAGACCAATGGAATCTGGATGTTTTCAGGGAGAATTTCGGAATTCAGCTGGAAACCTTTTCCTCTCTTTGTGTTATGCCCCTCACTCAGTGCTTTTATGGTTACAGGGGCTCTGTCAGGAGCTGCCAGAAATATCATAACGCCTCAGTTTGGGAGAACTAAGGCTGAGAAGGAAAACAATAGAAATCTGTAAATCCTCCAAGGCCGAACTGAATTCTGACAGGTTAGAAGAGGAGCGTCTTAGAACTCACAAGTATTGTGTGAAGACAAAGGTAGGGAGATCTGTTTGCAGAGAGTTTTAAACTTACAGTAAGAATGTCCAATGTCATTATAGTACTTCAGAGTTCCCCAAGATCCATCTCACATATCACTTGATCTTTAAGGGACAGGCAGAGCAGACACATCTTTGCTGGATCACAGTTGAGAGAACTAAAGTGAAGTGACTGACCAAGGTTCCACTTCTGGGGAGTAGCCAACCCAGGGCTGGGCGTAGGCCATGACGTGTTGCCTCGAAGAAGTGCTACAGGTTGGGAATAAAGACAGGTTCAAGGGAAGTGTTCGTATCTTTTTTTTTTTTGAGACGGAGTTTCACTCTTGTTGCCCAGGCTGGAGTGCAATAGCGCCATCTCGGCCCACTGCAACCTCTGCCTCCCGGGTTCAAGGGATTCTGCTGCCTCACCCTCCCAAGTAGCTGGGATTACAGGCACGTGCCAGCATGCCTGACTAACATTTTTGCATTTTTTAGTAGAGACGGGGTTCCACCATGTTGGCCAGGCTGATCTCGAACTCCTGACTTCAAGTGATCCACCTGCCTCGGCCTCCCAAAGTGCTGGGATTATAGGCGTGAGCCACAGCGCCCAGCCCCAGTGTTCATATCTTCACGAATGTTGTATCTATCATAGCTATGAAGGGACCCTGAGGCTGTCTGGAATGTACCATTAATGTTGCAAAGGGCATAGCTTTGGAGGTACTTTGCTGCGAGGCTCAGCCAAGCCACCAGCCTTGTGGCTTTGAGCAGGTTGTCCAGCCTCTCTGGGCTTTAGCAAGAATGTTACTTGTCCTATGTACCTTGGAGGATTGTCCTGAGGACCAGATGAGATAAAGGAAGGGAATGTGATATTACAAGTCTTAATATCACACTGGAAGATATCACTAAATGTCGTCTGCTGGAGACAGCCTCCTGGTCCTGTTTGCCTGTGGGTCTGACTCAGTGTGTATAAGCTTCTCTACTCAGGGCCAAGTCAGATTAAGTGAGGTCAAAGGATGCAGAGTGGCATAGTCTCCTCCCGAGAGCTACAGCAGGAGTGTAACACTTGGGTTAGGAAATGACCTTGGAGTTTGTTCCACTTTTCTATGTGCACAGAAAAAAAAAAAGATCATATTCCTTTAGATGAATTTGTTCTAAGCAGAAAAGTCTTTTGAAAGCTGAAAAAGCAGAAAGGCTCTGTTTTCTTTCCAAACTCTAAAATACTATAAAAGAAATGAAATCGTGTAGCTGCATGCTCAAAGATCTGAAATTTATTACGTTAACTAGGCTTGAAGTCTGGGTAACTTTGTATGCTTCTTAAATGATTCACATTCGAAAAGCAAAAAAAATCAAAATGCATAAAATTTCCTTTTCACTGAGCAAACAATATAAGTGTCTGTCTTTGGGTGACAGTTGACAAAACACAGCATGATTAATCTGGGGACCTGCAGGAGTTCACCTTCGGTGACTTCACACTCATCACCTGCTCGGATAAAAACACATCTGTCTGAAGCAGCTGAGAAATGAAACTGGGAAAAGAAAGGCATCAAAATCAAGTATTTCTTTTCAAATACTGTGAGTTGTAAAGAGAATAGATAAAGGTTCTAACAAGAATGTACCGATTTAACATTTTAAATTTTATTATCAAAACAGTAGACTGACATTAAGAACATTTTAAAATACAATGACTCATTATACCTCTCTGTGCCAGCTGACACTGTTATGGTAAGAACATAGATGTGGAGACAGAAAACATAGCTTTAGAACAAATCAATGTAATGAATGTGAGAATTAGCTCCATCCTTCATGAATTGTTGACGCTGGGAAGTGTATTTCTTTGTGTCTTTGCTTCCTTGTTGGAAGATGAAGAGGGTAATAAGAACTATATTTGAGTGTGCTCAGAGGACAAAATGAAATAATATATATGGGCTAGCACTTTGCAAATATGAGTTATTATTTCCTGGTGTTCTTTTTATTTTTATCCATGAAAAAAAATGTCGTTTCTCCTTATAGTTTTTATTGATTGCATCTTGCACCTGTTTTTGCCTTCCCTCTGGTTTTGACCATTCTTCTGTTCCTATCTTTCTGGGCCGTGCTGAGGGGCATTTTCTTCTTTCTCAAACTGTGACTCTGTGTCTCCCCCTCAGATTTTCTGTTTCACAGTTCTTTGACAAGGAGCTCCAGATCACCTGATTACCTTTGTTGACTTCCTTCTTTTGTGCCAAATCGTCCTACTTGGAGACCTCTAGTCTCTCCAGGGTTGAAAAGGACCTCACTTTTTAAGATGAGAAAGCTGTGGTCCAGGGGTCAGCTGGGAGGAAGTAACAATCTCAACAAAAGCCCAGGTCTGAAGTCTTAGGCCAGATCTTATTCCACCAAATCTCTAGCAAAGGACACTTCTCTTTGGACTTCAGATCCAAAGCACAGATCTTGGCCAGACACGGTGGCTCACACCTGTAATCCCAGCACTTTTGGAGGCCAAGGTGGGAGGATCATTTGAGGCCAGGAGTTTGAGACCAGACTGGGTAACAAGGTCAGACCCTATCTCTACAAAAAATAAATAAATAAATAAATAAATAAATTAGCTGGACATGGTGGCCCACACCTGTAGTCACAGCTACTTGGGAGGCTGAGGTAGGAGGATGGCTTGAGCCCAGGAGGTTGAGGTTGTAGTGAGCCGTGATTGTGCCACTGCACTCCAGCCTGGGTGACAGAGTGAGACTGTCTCAAAAAAAAAAAAAAAAAAGCACATATTTTGCTCAGAGTCCTATTTGTTGTTGAAACCATGACCACGTATAGTCTATACGTGTATGTGTGTGTGTGTGTGTGTGTGTGTGTGTGTGTGTAGTGGTGTGTGTGTGTGTGTATAATCATATGTGGGCACTAGGGACCAGGTCCTGTGCCAAATGTGTTATACAAATGATTTCACTGAATGGACAGAAATACTCTACGAGGAATCATTATCTCCATTTGGTGGATGAGGAAACTGAGGTTCTGAGATGGCCATTAGCTTGCTCAAGGAACATAGAGGCGGTACACGGCAGAGCTGTGATTCCACAGCTGTCTGACCGTAAAGTCCCTTCTACAAACCACTCCACACTCACCGCTCTGAATGTCCCCTTCCCGGGCCTGTCAAGTGCCTCCTGGCAGCCTAGAACACCAGGCTGTCTCTCTGTCATTTGTGTAGCCTCTGGAATCTCACCTCCTACTCGAGAAAGCCTTCTCAGATGGTTCGAGGGGAGTTAAGGATGGTCCCGTCTGAAGGTGGGATTCTTGCGGTCACAGTAGTCAGCAACTCTCACCCTCACCCGCTCTGTGAATGTTCAGCTCCAATGTGTGCGGGTGGGACCCATGCTTGTCCCTGCCAGGCTTAAGCCCTGTCTGTCAGCATCACGGGTCTGTCTGCAGCTGCCTCATTTCTGTGGAAAAATGAGCAGCAGCCCACTGGGTATTTCCAGTGAGCAACGGTGGGTTTTATGTAAAGAGTCAGAATAAGCACGTGTAAACACGGCTGTGGCCGGCACTTCAAGAGGGCTGTGGCCCGTGGGCCTTGTTTTGGAGAAATTCGCTGAGGGAGGGGTTGGAACCACCTCACAGCAGGAGCAAGCGAAGGAACAGGTGGGAAAAGTGCAGACGCAGAGGATCACCGAGCTGTCGCCCTCGAGTGTGAAAAGGGCTGTCTTGGGGAAGTGGGATTTGACTTCTGCTGTGGGTCCCCACAGAGGGGAACAAGGAGCTACAGACACACGGTTGGGGTGAATTACAAGGAAAAGCAGCTATGTCAAATCCTTCTTTGGAAACAGGTGGTGCCTAGTCAGTCAGAACTATCCCCAGATGGAGCGATCTGGGCACGGGCCGGGCAGCCACCAGGCAGGGGTGTTGCAGAGGGTCCACCTGAGAGGGCTCGGCTGCTCTTGCCTGGGAGGTCCTGGAGGGCAGGGGCAGCCTCCTCCACTGCCCACTGCCCATTCTTCAAGGGGGTAGGGGCCAACTTGACTGAGACTACCAGGGTCCTGCCAGAGGCTTCTTACCTACTTTATCCCATCTAATCATGGATTTATTTCATTTTATTTTATTTTATTTTTAGAGACAGGGTCTGGCTCTGTTGCCGAGGCTGGAGTGCAGTGGTGTAATAGCTCATTGCAGCCTCAAACTCCTGGGCTCAAGGGATCCTCCCACTTTAGCCTCCTGAGCAGCTGGGACTACAGGCATGCACCACTGCCCTCAGCTAATTGGACTGATTGATTGATTGACTGATTGATTGTAGAGAGTGTCTCACTTTGTCCAGGCTGGTCTCAAACTCCTGGCTTCAAGCGATCCTCCTAGTTCAACTTCCCAAAGTAATGGGATTATAGCCGTGAGCCACTGCACCCAGCCTTTAATCATGGGGTGTGGATCATGCAATGACAGGAATGCCGATTATCAGAAGAAGAGCAGGGATTTGTCCCACTCTGCCCCCTGTTGCCCTGAACAAGACACAAAGGGGCAGTAAACTCCATGACTAAGAGAAACCCTGGGGCCCCTGCGTTTAAGATCCTAGACTGTCTGAACCACAGGCCTACTGGGGAGTCATCAGGTGGTCTTTTGGTTTCCTGCCCACACTTATCTTCTGGCCTCCCCTTCGGGTGTCCCAGTCCTTTCTCCCTCCTCTTTCCTCTTTATCCAGGGGAGAAGCCCAGTATCTGCTGGAAATAGGGAACCTTAGAGTTGCCCCACCAGCAGAGTCCCCTGAGAGCCTCCCTTAGAGCTGCTGAGAGGCTAGCTGGGGACCAGGGACTCGGTATGGACTCATGGGCTGTTTTCTCTTGGCTTGAAAAAAAAATCTCTCCACATGATCTGGCCTCCTCTTATCATATCTGGATGACCTAGCACCTGATGTGAGTCCTGAGGCAGTGGCGCGGCTGGGCTGCGCTCAGGGTTCAGCATTAAATCTTAGGGGAGATTTAGATGAGATTCCAGAAAAGGGAAAATTAACCTCTAGTGACAGGAAGCAGATCAGTGATTGTCTGGGGCTGGGATGGGGTGGAGAATTGACTGCAAGAGGTGGGAGGAAACTTTTTGGGGTGATGGGGATGTTCTAGATTTTGATTGTCATAATGGTTACACAGGTGTGCACATTTGTCAGCCTTCATTTAATTGTTAACTTATTATTGATGCATTGTTAATTTAAAAAAACAAATCTTAGAACAGATTGGTAGCAAGTGCCATGTTCAACAAATGGTCAGGCAGGCACCAGTTTGCTTAATTCTGAGGACTCCTGTTCAGCCACAACAAAGAACATGTAAGCCATGCAGATTCATGGAAGACCAAAAATGAAGTAATACGGCACAAAAAAGAAGGAACTCAGGGTGGAAATTCACAGTGAAGACAACAGCTCTCTAGGGCTCAGGTCTGCTCTGTGCAGAGAGGGAGCTCACCCCCTGGGAAGAGGCCTTCCTTGCTCTTGGTTGGCCTGGATGTTTTGAGCAGCTGGGACAATATCCTGCAGAAAGTAGAAGGAATAATCACGAGGGGAAATGGGGCCCTGCTAACATGTGAGTAATAAAAGGGGGAGACAAAATCCAGATGGAAAGCTGATCCTGTCTTTACTTAAAATTCTGATATTTTATTCACCTTGGACTTTTCCCGTTAATGCAGATTTTAAAAATATTTCATTAAAACATGATTTATCTTGATTATTTGGGCACGCTCTTAAATTGTGCAGCCTGGGCAAGTGCCTCACTTGATCACTGATGTCCAGCCCCAAGGGAAAAGCAGGAAGAGAGAACCAGCCTCTAGTCCACAGAACTCAATGGCGATCAACCTCTGCAGGCCTGGAGTGGGGAGAGGCACGGCTAGGACCACAGCCTGGAGGGACCCAGGACGGCCCTGGAAGGCTAAGTGGGGGCGGAAGAGACCTGCCTGGGGCTGCAGCTGGGAAGACTGCTGGGCTTGGGGGGTGGGGCAGTACAGACCATAGGAGCGTTAGGTGTGCTGGGCCCAGGGGTGGCTCCTGGTGACTCACCCCCTTGAGGGTGGACCCAGTGTCTCCCCTCTGCCACACTGAGTCTTTAAGTATGTAGTTGGTTTCCTGGCTGCCCTCAGGCCTGGAGGGAAACCCACCTATTGTGCCAAGAGTGGTGGAGAAGCTCAGAAGCGGGGTGCAAAGTGGGGAAGGGTAGGCAAGGGCTCCAAGCAGGGAGTTGGGAGGTGATTCAGGGGTGAAGCTGCTGATAGGCTCAGGAGGGAGGAACATGGGCCCGAGGTGGGAACTCCAAGGAAGATAACAAGGCTGGGAATAGAAGGCCCAGAGCTCTGTTTCCCAGGCTGGAGCCTCAGGAAGGAGTTCCCAAGGCACTGGGGTAGTGGTAGCTAGAACAGCCATGGAAGCAGAGAGCTAGGAGTTTAGTCTCAAAACAGTAGTGAGATTTTCTCACACCTCACTCTCCTGGACAGCTGCCAGGAGATGTGTGCTTGTTTGCATGGCTGACATTTTTCTGTAAAACTCCCTTCACTCCACATGGAAATGACCCAGGTAGGAAATGACCAGGGTACAAATGGGCCTGATGGCTGGCCTACACTCTCCCTGGGGCGTTGAGGGAGCAGAAGGTGGGTCCCAGGTGCTGCCAATAGCCTCTGGGTGTGGAGTAGCCAGAGGTGGGCAGGTGTCTTTCCAGAAGGCAACCAGGGAGCTGAAGGGAGAAAGCCAGGGACCAAGGCCAGAGAGAAGGAGGCAAAGGAAAGGGTGGGAGTCAGAGAGAGCCTGGGATTGTACAGTCAGGAGGACAGCAAAGGAGGCCGGGAGGAGGGGGAAGGAAAGGGCCAGGCCAGGGTCAGTGGGGAAGTCAAAAGCGGTGCAGGCCTCTAAGTCCAGCTCTGTGGGGGAAGCATCCAGGTCTTGTGCTGCCGCAGCGCCTTCACTCTGAAAATAGGAAAACCACCAGCTAGGAATTTCATTCCTCAGTGTCCCCCCGCCACCCGCCCCAACACATCAACTGTGTGTTCTCCCAGGGCAGGGCCCCTGCCTTTCTGTTCTTTGCCCACCACTCTCACTCCCCAGCAGCCACCGTGGGCCTGGTGCTGAGCAGTCAATCCTTGCTGAACTGAACTGCCCTTGGTGGGGATGTCACACGGGTCAGACTGCTTTGTCAGCGAGGACTCTGGGACAGGCCAACTTGTGTCTCTGATGCAAACCAAGGAAAAGAGCAAGAGGTGAAACTGATGTTCCTTCCCAGCCTTCCCAGTGCCCTGTGCCCCGTGCCAGGCACTTCCTCTGGTTCTATGTGTTCTCATTTTCCCGATGGTGAACCTGTCAGGCCTTGCGAGTTCCCCTCAGAGTTAGGGTTCTCATTCCCCCGAACTCGCCCAGACCCCCAAGCCTGAGCTCTTTCCCTAGGTTGGTGGGACCTTCAGGGAAGGAGGCTGAGGGTGCCCTTCGGAGACCAGTGGCCTGCCTGGGGGATGAAGTGGAGGCCCTCGGATCTGGCCTGGGCGTGCCAGGGCTCAGTGGCAGCCAGAGAGGGGCTGGGCTCCTCCCTGGGAGAGAGGGAAGAGGAGCAGCTGAGGACAGGAGGTGGGTATCTTCTCAGGAGGATGGATGGGAGGGGCCCCTTTGTCATGGTGGGCTGGTGGATGGGGCAGGAAGGGGATGTGGCCTGTGGCTGAATTCTGCTCTCTTTGAAAGCCAGGGAAGTGGCTCCCACAATAAGCCAAGATGAGAGAACTCTAGGGTCCCTGCCTGGGCCCTCCAGAGTTCTCTCCTCCAGCCTCTTGCCTCTGGGTTAGATTTCCCTCAAGACACCCTAAGCTGGGGCACAGTTTCCACTGTGAGCTAGAAGTTTCCGTTTTCTTGAATGTAAATGGGGGGCGATAGTAGTCACTTCCTTTCAGTTTTTGCTCAAATATGTCACCACAGAGAGCCCTCTCTGACCATCCTGTTCCCAACTGCCAGGACTCTGCCTCCCCTACCTTCTGGATCCTTTCGCTGCTTTGTTTTTGTGAACGGCACTTTTCACTTTCTAGGAGGCTGTGTAACTGATTTATTGATTTTTGTCTGCTTTTTCCCCCCAACCCGCAAATACTAGAGCCACAGGGCAGGAGGCTTTGCCTATTTTGTTCCTGTGTCCCCAGCACCTAAAGCAATGCCAGGCACTCAATACATATTTGTTGAATGAACACGTGAAGGATGCGTGTGAAGTGTTTCGCAGGATTCTTGGCATCTTAAGATTATTGCTGCTGCTGTTGTTTGCTGTGTGACTTGAGCACATTCCTTAGCCTCTCTGGCCCTCTGTCTCGCAGTCTGTAAAATGAAAAGAGTGAACCACTAAAGATCCATGAGCTTCTTTCAAACTCTAAAAATCTTGGTGCCTCTGAATGCTCAAGAAAGTTCTTCCCAAACCTCAACAGGAACTCCTTTTTCTTTTTTTTTTTTTTGCAGTTCTCAGCAGCAGCTCAGCTGGAACTTAGCCGGAGGTGCTAAGGACTCCTTTTGCAATAGCCCTTCCTTTACTTCTTTTGACTCTGAGGATCAGAATAGGGTATAGGTTTGGGATCACGAGTCAGCCCAATGTTTCTTGGAACAGTTTCCATTCAGATAGTTATGTTTTATTTCATTGACTTTGATGTGTTGCTTCTGGCACTTTATTGTTTTCAATAGAGGGCAATTCATGATGTGCATAATTAAAGGTCATTTGATTTTCATTTCTTTGTTAAGAGTTTCATAAAAACAAACAGAGTTCAGGAGAAAGCAATTGCCAGACCATGCGCCCAGAGACCATGTGCCCTGATTTGGGATTTGGACACCTGGTCCTTGGAGATGAAGGTTCCCACTGTCCTGCCATAGGTGGGGCTCTGCCCCTGGCCTGGAACGTCCCCTGTGGGGATAGGGTCATCCCTCAGAAGGCTCTGGAGCATCTGTTTCAGGGGCTCAGGTCAACAGGACCAAGACCATCCTCTCAAGGCTCTGCCCTTTCTCTCAGGGCCCCTCTGAAGAAGTAGCTCAGAACACTCCTCTGCTTCTGTGGGGGCAGTTTCATGAGTAAAGGCAGCTTCAGGTTCCCGGTATTTGGAATTTGGTATTCGCTGAGTAACTGGGATGGCCTCGATGAGGGGCAGAGGAACAGGTCTGGCTAGTTCTGTGTTGTTTATACTGGGGATTACTTCACACGTCCCAACCGGCTTCCCCGCCCCATTTGGTGGGGGCTGGCCCTTGGCCCTCCAACTCCTTTACCCTACATGCCTGAGAAGCCAGGGACCAAGATGGATCTTCTCCTCGACATCAGCTAAGCCTGGAGGACTCTTCCCCTCAGAGACCATGGAGAGGGACAGCCACGGGGTGAGTGTGACCTCAGGCCTCGGGCCAGATTCTCCCAGCGCTGAGGAAGCAGGGCTGAGGCTGGGAGACAGGTGGGACAGCTACCTCTGTGTTTCAGGTTTGGGGGAAACTGGCTGTGCCTCTTCTAGTTTGAAGCTACTTACGATCAAGATCTCTTGGTCTCCTTTTAACGTGGTTCTAGAAAAAGCCCCTGGGAGGAGAAGCTGCTGGGATTTGGGGTCTGGCTGGTGAGCACCCCAGGGCTATGTGGCTGAGTCGTGGGTTTCCTGCTCTGTGGTCTGTGAGCACTCCTGCCGGGCATCCATAGTGTTACAGCACCAACTTTGCCGATTGGGAATCCAGGCTAATCTACTTTAATCTCATTTTTGCTGGTTGGAAAATCAAAAGCATTCTAACTGCAATTCAGGGGCATCTTGTCTAAACCCCTCACTACACTCCTAAACCTTCCCAGAAAACTGTGACTTTCTGGGTGCATTCAAGATTTTCAAGGGGATGTTTCAACCTCCGTTGGTCACTTCTTTTTGGACTTAATAACTTTCATGCTTGGGAAGTGCTTCTTGATGTTTAACCACAAGTCCTGCTACCACTCAACTTCCTTTCTTCTGCTGCTCTTGGGGTAGGAGAAAGCAGCTGGCCTGTCCTCTGTGGGAAAGCCAGTCATACACACATGAAGGCTTCCAAAGATCTTGTTCTGCTGTGCCTCCACTTTCTTTTCCTCCAGGAAATCCCTTTTGTGCTCTCATTTCTCCTTTAGGTCTTGTTTTCTGCCCCCTCCAAATTCTCTGTACCTTACCGACATGGTAGAGCCTGGGACTCTGGGAAGAATGGGCTAGCACTGGGTTTGGGAAAGATCAGCTCATCCTATGTTTTGGCTTATAGTTGGCTTGTGGTCCATTCTGCACCCCCAATGTGTTTCTGCAAACTTTACCATCATTTTTTTCCCACCATTCTTCCAGCCCCCTCTTGACTTTTCTTTCCCAGGCTGCCTCCCTTGCCCTCTGCTCTGGGCTCCTTCGTTCATGTCTCTACCTCACCAAAGTCACTTGGCCCTAGGCCTTGGGGGGTTATCAGAGCCTCTTACTGTTGAGCAGTAAGGGGGGTACACAAGGGCATGCAGAAGGTGAACCCTTAGTCACAGCCATGGGGCATCCTCCTTGGCAATATGCTGGGAGCCTAAACTAGATGGTCCCTAAACCCAAGAGTGAGAAGGGCTGAGCTATCCGGAGGGTGGCCATGCTCCCACTGGAGATGGATAGTCCATCCCTGAGACAGGGTGATGGGGCGATATCTTCCCAGGAAGCTCATCTCTTCAGAGTCAGGGATCAACATGAAGGCTGCTGGAGGGATACAGGACAGAGAACAGACTTCTTTGAGGAACTCCCAATTAATCTATGAATTAAGTGTCAAATATTATGATAGGTGCCATATTCATTCTGAAAAAAAGATTGTCCAAACTTACCTTGGAATGGAAGAATGGAATCATTACATTCTTATTTAAGGTTCTTAACTTCACTCCCCTATTTAAGATGGAACTCTGAGAGAGTGAGCCTATAGTTGGGGCTCGTATTCCCATCTGCAGCAGGTTTCTTAACCTTGATTAAATAGGAGTGGTCTGGGAGAAGCTGGTCACCTGAGCTTGTGCCTTCTCCTTGAGGGCTTTATTGCAGAGAGATGCATTGTGATTTCTGTCCCTCAACTCCAAAATGTCGTGAGGAAGATGGTGGCCAGTGGGCTTGAGCCTGATGGCACTCCTCTGTCAGCTGCTGGATCTTCAGAGGGATCTTGGAAAAGAGGTGGAGAAGGGTCTCAGTTTCTCATATTCAAAAGAAAGTTGCATGTCGTGGTGGACAGAGAACTGACCATGTTCCCCGTCAGCTTTGGGCAAGCCACTTCACCTTTCTGTACCTTAGTTTCTTCATCTGTAAAATGGAATAATAATACTACTCTCAAAAGAAGAATGTTGGACAAACTAAATTTAACAGAGTTTAATTGAGCAAAGAACAATTCTCAAATGGAGCAGTCCCCCGAAGGAGAATAGATTCAGAGAGATTCCCACACAGCTGCGTGGTCGGAGAGGATTTATGGACAGAAAAAGGCAAGCAGTGTATGGAAAAAGGAAGTGAGGTACAGAAATAGCCTTATTTGAACACTGTTTGAACAGTTGGCTGCCTTTGATTGTGCAAAATTGGTGATTGTTAACAAGAGTAGTTTACAGTCTGTTTACACGTCCAGTTGAGTTATAGTTCATTATGTACAGAGAAACCTTTTGATCCGAACTTAAAATATGTAAGGAGGCAGCTTTAGGCTAAGCTTAATTTAATAATACCTACCTCAAGGAGTCTCAAAATAGTGTCCTTCCCATAGTAAGGCTCATTTAGAATAGCATCTGGCATAGAGAGATAGAGATAGATAGATAGAGATGGAGTCAGAGAATGTTGAAATTTATCATCACTGCCTAGAATTTGGGGTGGGCTCCTATAAATTTGGACAAACATCTTCTTCTACCTGTGCCTCAGCTTCCCCACCAAAGAAGAGGGTTGGACACATTCCCCCCTGAGGCTCCTTTCTGGCTCCCTGACAGTCTGGAATTACATAGAACGGGGATGACAGGTGCGCCACACCAGATTTGTTCTTGACAATGCGTATTTTGTGCTTTTTCAATTCTCATTTTTAATTCTCAGAGCAGTGCAATGCTTATTAAAGAAAGACTGAATTAGACCCATTGATGAAGCAACATTCCTTTGTGGAGTGGATTTTCTTATACTGGGCCTTCTTCAAGTGGAACAGGTTCCAAATTAGCCCAAGGCCACAGGTGCTAGGGATTGGTGAGAACCGTCTGGGGGCCCACCGCTGGTCCAGGATAAGGCACCCTTTCCAGAGGAGCTGGGCAGTTCCTGAGATGGCTCACCCGCGGGTCAAGTCACTCTGCCATGCCGTGTCCCAGCCCCATCCCAGCCCCAGGCACCCCAAGGACCCTGGCACCTGCCCTATGCCCCTGCAGGTGTGTAGCCCTCACCTCGTCCTCCAAGGACCCTGGCACCTGCCCTATGCCTCTGCAGGTGTGCATCCCTCACCTCGTCCTCCAAGGACCCTGGCACCTGCCCTATGCCCCTGCAGGTGTGTAGCCCTCACCTCGTCCTCCAAGGACCCTGGCACCTGCCCTATGCCTCTGCAGGTGTGCATCCCTCACCTCGTCCTCCAAGGACCCTGGCACCTGCCCTATGCCCCTGCAGGTGTGCAGCCTTCACCTCGTCCTCCAAGGACCCTGGTACCTGCCCTGTGCCCCTGCAGGTGTGCAGCCCTCACCTTGTCCTCTGTTTCATGTTGTCATTGGTGAGGAGCAGACTTCCTTTGGCACAGCCACCTCGATTTCCCCTGCATTGTCCCCTGAGACTTGGCAGATGTGAGCGTAAGCGTGCGGGAGTGTGTGTATTGGGCCCTGGGCTGGGGAGCTGGGTGGGAAGGACAACTGATGTAACAATGGCCACTTAGCTTAAGTGTCTTGTTTTGGCAGAACAGATTCCTCTTGGTATAGCAACAACAAGGGTGGATGTGCCTGGCCAAGTGGGCAGGGCACTGGTGGTGCAGGCATGAGGGAAGCCACCACAGGGAACCCTGGCTTTAGCCGTCAAGTGGAGGCCTTGACAGCACCAGATGGGGGTTGGTTTCCCTAGGAGGGAAGCAATACCCAAAACTTTAGAGGGGCCCCCATTATGTACCAGCCCTGAGTGTGTCACTACCCTAGGACTGGCAGCAAGAGAAGGCACAGACACAGGGAAACATTGAGGCAGCAAGTTCCTGGGCAATCAAACATTATTTGCTGGGCAATAGTGGGCACTCCATGTTCTTTACAGCATTTGATAAATGAATGAATGAATGAGTGAATGAACGAATGAATGAACAAGGAGGCGTCTTGATTCTGGTCTAACAGGGATTCCTTGAGCTTTTTCATGTGCACAGGAGGCATCGGAAACTAGAAGGGACTTCAGCACTTACTCTGGCCAGTCCCTTTCAAGTTCGTTGTAGCAGCTGCCTCTTTTGTTCAAATGAATGTTATGTTGACTCCGCTGTATGAAACTGAAAGGTCGGTCTTCTCTGTTGAGGTGGGGTAAGGGCTCAGAGCCCACCACAGTCCCCACCAGCTGGTCTGCAAGGCACCTCCACGGAAACTGAAATGCTCTGTGGAACCCTGTTTGAAAACTGCTGATTGTCCAACACCCTTAATTTATTGAAGAGGGAGCTGAGGCCCAGAGAAGGATGTGACTGTCCCCAAGGTCACACGGCGGCCTAGGAGCAGAAGCGAGGCTCCCCGTGCCCCCCACCCCCAGGGCGAGGCAGACCCTGCAGCTCTGGCCCCTTCCAGAGTTCAGTCTGCCTCAAGGGCTGACCCAAGTCCCTGAGCTGTATACTGCGTGTGTGCTGGAGATGCTGGTGCTGGGTGAGGAGGTGGTGGGGAAGATGCCTGTGTGCTGAGGAGAGCCTGTATTTGTGGGGTTTCTCTGGGTTCGGGGAGGGGGAGAGTAGGAAAGGGCCTTGGGAACCTGGAGGTACAGTGAAGCCTGGGTCTAGCCGTGAGAAAGGGAAAAAAGTCACCCAGTCCAGCCGGGCCCTCGCTGGGAAGGGTTCAGGCCTCCCCTGCCACAACCCCAGGGCTCCCCAGGTTCCCAACAGGCAAGGAGGGTTTTTAGGCTCTGTCAAAGGGAGATCCTGATCTTTCTCAGTGCCGCCAGTGCTTCCAGAAGGGTTTAGTGAGGGGTTTTTCTTCCTGCCTAGCCCAGAGTGCTGGGTTGTTGGCCCATGGTCTGCCCGTGCCCACCCTATGGGCGCCCTTGATGCCCAGGGTCACTGGAAAAGGGACGCTGCCACGGGGGCCTCTGTCTGGGAAGGGTCCTTTCTCATGGAGGCTGGTAAGGGACAGAGAGGGGAAGAGCAGAGTGTTGTGTAACAGCCCAAGGATGGGGGCCAGAAGATCATGGTTCTAGAATTGGCACCGTCCCCACCTGGCTGTGTGTCCGTGAGCAAGTCACACAGCCTTTCTGGGCCTTCATCGCCTCAACAATAGTATAAAGGGCTTGGGTAGGTTTTCTTTTCTTTTCTTTTCTTTTCTTTGAGATGGGGTCTTGCTATGTTGCCTAGGTTGGTCTTCAGCTTCTGGCCTCAAGCCATTTTCCCACCTCAGCCTCCCAAGTAGCTGGGACTACAGGCCGGCGCCACCACGCCCAGCTTAGAGGGTTTTCAGAATCTTTGCAACTCTGACAGCCTGTGATATGCCCAACCCTGGGTGGTAGCTTTACGAAGGGATGGCCCAGGGCTGAGGAGGGAGGCCCAATTGGCTTAAACTGGACTGAAACGGGCCCTGATGCACCCGCCCTCAGGCCATGAAGCAGCTACTGCTCCCTGCTGGACATTCTTCAGGACTAGAAGGAGAGCTTTTTTTTTTTTTTTTTTAATTATTATACTTTAAGTTCTAGGGTACATGTGCACAACGTGCAGGTTTGTTACATATGTATACATGTGCCGTGTTGGTGTGCTGCACCCATTAACTCGTCCTTTACATTAGGTATTTCTCCTAATGCTATCCCTCCCCCGTCTCCCCACTCCCCGACAGGCCCTGGTGTGTGATGTTCCCCATCCTGTGTCCAAGTGTTCTCATTGTTCAATTGCGGGAGAGCTTTTTATAGGGTGGTTCACACTGCAAGCCCAGGCTCTGGGGGACCTGAAGTGCATATTTCCCAAGTTCAGGCTGCTGCTTATGGCTGAAGAACTCTCATTATGCAGAGCCTGGGGCTCGATCCACAGCAGCAGCTCCATAACCACTGAGATGAAGCAACCATGAGCCCACATCACTCAGGCCCCCTCTCTCACTGGCTGGGCCCCCAGAAGGTCCAGGAGAGGACAAGAGCTGGACATACTCAGGGGCTGGCTAACTTACTACCATCCCCACCAGGTAACGGCCCAAGGGGCAGAGTCTGCAACTGGAAACCAGAAAAACATCCCATTCGCCTCAGGGGGGATCTAACCCTGGGAGCTGTGGTGTCGAGACCCCTGGGCTGGAAGTGGGGGGCCTTGGGTTTAGTCCCTCCTCTGCTGTGAGATGGGCCTGAACAACTTTGGGCAAAGCACACAAATGTTTTGGGCCTCTACCTCTCAGTCTGTAAAGTGGGAGTAAAAATGCTTATAGACTTCTGTCCAGGGACAGGCTTTGGAAAGACTCCCAGAGCCAGGGGCTGCTCCTTTTAGCCCTCCCTGGCTTGTCCCTTACCGCTTTCCTGCGGACCCCTGCCCTGCCTTCCTGCCCCAACACGTCTGGAGGGCCCTGAACAAGCCTTGGGTGAGGACCCTTGGGAGCTGCAGAGGCATAGCCAGGTGGTAGCAGTGACAGCCTGGGGTGTGGGCCTGTTCCATGTCATGGTAAGGGCTTACAATTGTGTTACTGCAGGGGGTAACCTCAGAGACTACCCCACGGGTAGGTGGGGAGGAGAGGCATGGTCAGGAAAGAATGGTTGGCAAGGTTAGGCCAGGGATGTGGCTCAGAGTTGACCACACTCCCCTGCTCCACCCTGTGCACCTGCCCCTGAGCAGGCTGAGAAGCCTTTGGTCTGCAGGCAGGTTGTGGAGACACCAGGACACATCAAGGAGTTGGTCATTTCACTTCCACTTCTGAGTCTTCGGCTCACTGCCAAAGGCCAGGATTTGGGAAGCTTGGGTTCTGGTCCTGGTTCTGCCCCTTGTAGCTTGGGACCTTGGATAAGAAGTCTCGGCTGGGCGCGGTGGCTCACGCCTGTAATCCCAGCACTTTGGGAGGCTGAGGCGGGCGCAAGATCAAGAGATCGAGACCATCCTGGCCAACATGGTGAAACCCCATCTCTATTAAAAATACAAAAATTAGCTGGGCACAGTGGCGCGTGCCTGTAGTCCCAGGTACTCAGGAGGCTGAGGAAGGAGAATCACTTGAACCCGGGAGGTGGAGGTTGCAGTGAGCCGAGATCACGCCACTGTACTCCAGCCTGGCGACAGAGTGAGACTCTGTCTCAAAGCAAACAAACAACAAACAAACAAGTAGTCTCCTCCCCTTCCTATTCCCCAGCTGCTGAAGGCCTCTACTCTGAGGGTGAGATCAGGCCAGCGGTGGGAGGCTAGAGTCTCAGCAGTTGTTCTCCAAGAATTGGGGAAAAGAAATGAGTTAGTGCTATAACAGGTTAGGTATCCAGAAGAACTTCCAGCAGCGTGGGGCAGCAGGCCGTGAAGTGCCTAAAGAAGGTTGGTGTGGAATCTCTTACTCAGATGATCCCTGAAGATGAGAACTCTTCTTGATGTCTGGGAGGGTTTGGGTTGAGGGTCAGAGTCAGGGGGTGGAGCGGGGACCTCACTCTGGATGCTGCTCTCCTCTGGTCTGGGGGCTGCCCTTCCATCCTGATGTCCCTGTTGGGACTTGTAGTTCTCTTCATGGGCAGTTCTTCTTCAGGTCTTGAGGCTCCAGAACTCTCCTCTTGCCCTGGTCTTGGGGTCCAGCCACTTTCCACCTGCCTCCCAGGCTCTGACAGCAGAGCACTTGCTCTACCCAGACCAGAGCTAGATACCCCCAGACCCAGGGCCTGCAGAGACTCCATCCCACTTTCGGATGTGTCGCCCTTTCTGCAGTTCTTGGCTTTCCACCAATGCCCCCTCCCCACCAGTTCCCTGTCTGGTCTGACTCCCTTCTCCTGTTCCAGCTTTACAGCTTTCCCCAGCTCCCTCCCCCCACCTGCCCACCCATTTTCCTCTGGGCCTCTTCAAGATGGGGCAGCTGGGGCTGGATGGGAGGGTTCTGTTCAGGTAGAGACAGCCTGAGCTGCCTGGGAATGAGACGACTGTGCTAGAGTTCCTAAAGACCACCAGCTCATTCAGGGGGTGAGGTGGGCTGTTTCGTCTCTCTGAGCCCCGGGTCCTTGTGTACAAACTGGGGATAGTAATTCCTGCCCAGCTTGCTAACTGAGAGACTTGTGAGAATCAAATCACATAATGGTGCAAAACTGCACATACGAGCCCTGAAGAGACGAAGGTAGGTCCTGTGGATGTTTGTGACACTGTAGGTCAAGGCCCTCCTTGCTCCAAGCAGGCCTGGTTAGAATCTGAGCTGTCACTTACCTGGTGTGTGAATTTGGGCATGTTCTTAACCTGCCTGGACCTCTGTTTCAATATCTATAAAATGAGGCTAACCATACCAACTGCAAAGAGCTGTCAAGAGGTTGGAATGGGGTCCCGTAAAGTGCTCGTGGGCTGTTATCTTTGTCATGGTTTGACACACATTTATAGACCAGGCTCTTTCATGTGTATCACCCATTTATCTGGGGGAAGGAGGTAAGGTCTGCCCATTTTACACATGTGGAATCAGGCACTGAAGGGTTATGTCGCTTGCCCAGGAAACGCAGTTGGGAATGGAGGCAATCAGATTCAGATTTTTCCATAGCAAGCCCAGCATTCCCACAAACAAACAAACAAAACCCCACTATCGGCTGGGTGTGGTCTGGTGGCTCACGCCTGTAACCCCAGCACTTTGGGAGGCTGAGGCGGGTGGATCATTTGAGGTCAGGAGTTTGAGACCAGCCTGGCCAACATGGTGAAACTCCATCTCTACTAAAAATACAAAAATTAACCGGGTGTGGTGGCGGGTGCATATAATCCCAGCTTCTCGGGAGGCTGAGGCAGGAGAATCCCTTAAACCCAGCAGAGGTCGCAGTGAGCCAAGATCGCGGCACTGCACTCCAGCCTGGGCAACAGGGCAAGATTCCAATACAAAAATTAGCCAGGCACGGTGGTGCACACCTGTAGTCCCAGCTACATGGGAGGCTGAGGCAGGAGAATAGCTTGAACCTGGGAGGCGGAGGTTTCAGTGAGCCAAGATCATGCCACTGCACTGCAGCCTGGGGGACAGAGCAAGACTCAAAAAAACAAACGAGCAAACAAACAAACAAACAAAACCCCTCCATCACAGACACGGCTCACCACACCCTCACTGTGTATTGGGCGTTTTACAGGCATGATCTGTGACCTCAGTACCACGAAGCAAGGTGCTTCGCTCTAGCTTACAGATAGGAGACTGAGATGTAAAGAGGTGAAGTCACTTGCCTGGGGCGCCCAGCTGCCTTAGAGGCAGGCCAAATTCCAGCCTGGTCTCTCTAACCCAGAGCACCTGAAAACTCACCTGACCCCGATGCCCCAGGCCACCAGGCACCTCCTGGTCTTGGCAGGTCACAGGGCCCCACTATGGGTCACACTGGAAAGTATCACAAGACCAAGATCCCTGTGGTAACCCCCAGCCCTATCCCCAGGTTCCCAAGGTGTTCCTGGCCCTGCAGGGCCAGGGGGCCCCATTCTTAACCAATCTCACAAAGGCAAAATGAGCACTCTGTACACGTGGTTCACGAAGACTGTGCAGGAAGCTCTTCTGACTCAAGAAGGGCAGGTGACTCAGAGACAAATAGGCATGGGGTAGAACCCTGACTCTGTGATTCTGCAAGATGAGCTCTGAGCCTTGGCTTTCCTATCTGTAAAATGGCCTTCCAAAATACCAACCTCCCAGGGGTGTGGTGAGGCCCTTGTGAGGCCACAGATGTGAACGTTTATTATCAACTCTAAAGTGCCAGTACACACACGAGTGATTAGTATTTTATTGTCCCGGCTTATGGGAATTCCCCCTGAAGTTGGGGAAGACTTAGAGTGTGCACAAAAGAGGAAGGAGATCAGGCAGGCTGGTGAAGGTGCCACAGTGCCAGGATCCCTGGCAGGAGCCGAGGCCCAGGCCACCCCAGGAGGGAAGGGCAGGGCCTTCTGCAGCTGGGGCTTGTCCATGTTATGGAAAGACCTTAGTCTGGCCTTTGTCCAGCATTCTTTTTCTCCTCAGATGAGCTCACAATGGCACTCAGCCCCTTCAGTTGGCAGGTCAGGGCTTTTCTTAACTAGTGCTTAACTAGCGATTACAGCTCATAGTAAGAACAATATTTTATAATCTAACACACATACATGAAAGAAAAGGATGCGGATGTAGGAGGTGGAAGGGAAGAGGGCAGAAGGGGTCTTTGCTTTCCCCATGGGGGACCACATTCCCTTGATACGAGGTCTCAGAGTGAGTGACCAACCCAGCAGCCTCTTCCTTTAACCCCTCCTAGACATGCGTAGCCTAAGCAGGTGACCCCCAACCCCCGGGCACTTGGCCCATTGCCCTCTACCCATCTCTGCAGGTCCTATGTGGCAGGGGAGCCCCTAGGGGAGCTGGGGGACAGCAGGTTCTTTGAGCTTTCATTCTATCCTTGGACACAGTCCTCCTCTCAGATGCTTCCTTGTCCGGGGGGCTTTGCTCAACCCCTAGCTGCTGCCCCAGAGCATTCATCTCCTAGTGCAGCACAGCTGACAGCTGGGGTGGGTTGGCAGGGGAGCAGCCTGTGGGATACTCTTCGATCTGCTTTCAGAATGCATCTCCAGCAAGAACACCTTCAGCTGGAGCATCTCCAGCCCAGGCATCTCCAGCTGGGACACCTCCAGGCCGGGCATCTCCAGCCCAGGCATCTCCAGCCCAGGCATCTCCAGCTGGGACACCTCCGGGCCGGGCATCTCCAGCCCAGGCATCTCCAGCTGGTACACCTCCAGGCCGGGCATCTCCAGGCCGGGCATCTCCAGCCCAGGCATCTCCAGCCCAGGCATCTCCAGCCCGGGCATCTCCGGCTCTGGCATCACTTTCCAGGTCCTCATCCGGCAGGTCATCATCCGCCAGGTCAGCCTCGGTGACAACCTCCCCAACCAGAGTGTACCTTGTTAGAGCAACACCAGTGGGGGCTGTACCCATCCGATCATCTCCTGCCAGGTCAGCACCAGCAACCAGGGCCACCAGGGAGAGCCCAGGTAAGGGGGATGCTGTAGGGAAGCCACGAGAGATGGGAAGCAGCCCATGGGCAGGGAGGAAATCTCAGAGCCAGTGTGCTCTGCTCTCATAGCAGACAACGATGCGGGGAAGGGGAGGTAGGGGGGTGGGAAGTGAGGGACCTGAGGGTGGAGGCAAAAAGGAAACATTACATGAAAACCTGAGACAGTGGAAAATGAGGGGCAAAGGGGGTAGGTGATAAGAAGCCAGGACTAACAAAGCAGCTTGTCACCCTGGAGTCTGCACAACCCAGGTCAGAGCACCGGTTTCAATAGCAAGGTCTCCCAGTTAGTCACAGGGTTCTCTCCTTGTGCTGTCCTGTGGGTCTGCCTAAGAAGCTGGGGTCTGCAGTGGAGCAAGGTCATGATCAGTGGGCCCATCTGTGGGTGGGGGAGGAAAAGGAGAGATTCTGACCAGGTGTGCAAGTCCATCCCCAGCCTTCCAAATTGTGGGTTGTGTGGTTTAGCTACTAGGGAGTCAGAGAGGTTGAATAGGCCTTGGGGACTGGGTCTTCCCTTAAGGAATCAGTGTTCCTGCCCACTCCGATGCTGCCCTCCTCCCATCCCAGAATTCAGACTGTCCCCACCACCACAATACACACAGGCCTGGATGATACGTGGCTTTGGAGGATCACTCGAAGTTTGGGGCCCATCCCACAGCCTTGCCCTCTCCAGGGTGGGTGAAGTGCTTTGGTATCAGACCCACTGCACTGGAATCCCTACTCTGCCACTAACTCACCAAGTAACCCTGGGCAAGTGATTTCACTTCCACGAACCTCAGTTTCCCCATCTATAGAAAGGGGCCTAATAAGACTCTGCTCATGAGGTTGCTGTGAGAATTAACACAGGCAAAGTGCCTGGCTGGCCCAGAGGAGAGCACAGTAAAAGATCGCTGCTGGTGCCAGGCAGGGGGAGCTCAGTTTTTGCATTTTCAGATGGGACAAAATTCATTCATTCATTCAATTGACTTTGAGCCCCATAAAATCTCATTCCAACTTCTGGGGTGGAGTGGTCCTCACGGGGCCCTCCTGGGCCACAGTCTTGTTTCCCCCACCCTCTCCATCTCGTCGGACTCCTCTCCAGCCTCATATTCCCCTGCTGCCGCCCTGCTCCTAGGTACGAGCCTGCCCAAGTTCACCTGGCGGGAGGGCCAGAAGCAGCTACCGCTCATCGGGTGCGTGCTCCTCCTCATTGCCCTGGTGGTTTCGCTCATCATCCTCTGTGAGTTGAATGGAGGGTGCAGGGGTGGGTTCTGGGCACTGCTGGGCAGAGTGGGACCCAGGGATGGGGGCAGGCAGGGGAGACAGGTGTGGGGAGCACCCACTCACCCGGCTACTGTGTCCAGAGAGGGACACTCCTGCAAATGGCCTTGGACTGTGCTGCCCCCGGGGCCCCTGTGGGGTATCCAGGTTAACAGTGTGGAAGTCAGAGGAACCTGAGCTTGGCTCTCATCTGTGCCACTTACTATGCAGCTTACTTGGGCAAGTTAGTTAACCACCCTGAGCTCAGTTTCTGCATCTTCAGATGGGACAAAATTCATTCACCCATTTCATTACTATGTGTCCCGTAAGTTCTCATTCCAACTTCATTAGATTATGAGGAATAAATAAGACAACAGCACAATTCCTGGAACAAAATCTACAAATACTAGCTATTAAAAAAACACACATGAAAACACTGATTGGAAAAAGTCTGTCAAGGATATTCAGTCAATGGGATGACGTGTTCAGCATTCAGGGGTTCAGGCCCATTCTCTTCAGCAAAGATACCCAGGCATGCCCCAGGGCTCTCTGCTCAGAGGTCCACTATGAGCCCAGCACAGTGGGAAACTTTAGGCAGCGCAAATGTGCATGTACATTATTCTGTCCTGTCCTCAGAGAGATTACAGTCTCCTGGGGGAATAGCTGGAAATTTTGAAGGGCAAATGCATTTGAGTGTGACTATGAGGAGGGGATGACAGCTGTGTGGGTTGGATGCAGGGGATAGCTTCTTACAGCTGTGGGGCCAGATGAAGACCTGGAAGGTGGGACAGCAATTATGCCCAGCAGGGCATCTGAGCGAATGAGCAGCCACAGAAAATGTGGGAAACCAGGTGGCAAGGACAGCATGGGGGAGAGGAAGGGACCCGCCTAACCAAAGTGGAGAAGGAACTATCAGGGACCTGGGGCCGTCTGTTTGGTTCAGCAAGGCTGGGCCATGCTGTAGAGAGCTTTAAACCCCAGGCCAAAGAGTAAGGATTCTGTTAAAGAGGCAGCACCAGTGGTGAAGGGTGGAGTGGACCAGCGTGTGGAAACGTCTGCTGGCAGGGCTGCTGAAGGGGATTCTGAGGGAGGGGCAGTGTGCTGGCAGAGCAGGCTTTAGTGCCACACAGACCCTGGCTCTGCCACCGACAGGCTGTGTGAATTCGACAAGTCCATTAACATTCTGAGCCTCAGTTTCCCCACCAGTCTGACTGGGTGGGGTGGTCTTTGTCATAATGCACATAAAGGCCTCGGCATGGTGCCTGCTGTGACTTGCTGCCCTGCCCTCCCTCCCTTTCCCACTACAGGGCACCCTGCTCCATGAAAGCCACAGGACTAACCCATGGAGGGGCGAGATGGCACCCACGGGTGGGCTCACAGAATAGAACTAAAGCTCTCAGCGTGGTTTCACAGCATTTCCTGAAGTTCCCAAAAGCTCTGCCAGGGAGGCCTCTAGACCTCCAGGGCTAAGGAGGTGGCTTGACTTGTGCAGGTCACCAAGCAGCTACCTGGTGGGGTCAGGACTAGAGCCCAGGCCTCCTGACTCCCAACCCGGCCCAGTACCCTCTCCACTACACATCCACGTGGGGCTCCATGAGCACTCCAGGGGAGACTGCCCAGGGTTCCCCGGGGGTTGAGTGCCCAGGATATGGGAGGAAGACCAGGGCACAGAGAGGAGGGGCCAGCCCAAGAGATTAGGAGGGATTTGTGTCTGGACCTGGAAGGAGCAGTCACACCCGGGCGGCCTTTACCCTGGGTGATGGAGAGCACAGTGGGCCCCGGAGGAGAAGCAAGGGGTGGGGCTGAGGAGCTGGTGGAGGAGGAGCGGCAGGGTGAGAAGTTAGAACCCGGGTCTGTGAGGCAGCCAAGGGGAGGTGCCTCCAGGCAGGAGGGCCCACAGCCCCTGGTTTGGAAAGAGATTGCTGTTAGAGAGGGAGGAAGTCGTGAAGCAGATTTGCACATATGGCTTGTAAAGCTGTTTTCTTTTAGCCCCAACTTGTATATGTGGGAATCAGCCACCTAGAATTGCTGGTTGATTGAAAAGACATTTAAAGGCATAAAGACAAGTCATGGGGAAAGAACTGAGCATAGAGGTGTCCCTTGCGCAGGGGAGAGGGAGAAGCAAAAAACCTAGGAGCTTTTGAGGCTGGAAGGATGGTCGCCTTTGAGAACAGACAGACGGTGGTTGCCTGTGTGACTGTGAGGACAGAAATTTATCTGCTGTGACCCTGCGGAGCACAGAGAAGATGGGATGGCAGAGGGGTTCTGAGAGGGAAGCTCTGGGATACTGGAGGAGGTGGTTTCTCTGGCCACTATGTTGGCCAGCATGTAGGGAGGGGAGTTCCCAAGGTGGTCCCCATCTCCACAGCACTCTCTGTCTCTCTCTCTCTTTCTCTCTCTTTCTGGGTGGCTGGCTGCTTGAATCTGCCTGGTGCTGCCCTGCTTGCAGGAGCTTTCTGGAGCATTCTGGAGCATTCCTGAGCAGCCTTTCTCTCCATACAGATGGGGGATGAGAGCCCCAGAGTTCAAGAGGGATTGCAGGTCGGTGTCTCAGAACCCCCAGGTCCTTGGGCTGCTCAGTGTCTCATCTCAGTGGGGCTGGCCATGACCCAGCTGTCTGCTTCTTTTTCTCTAGTCCAGTTCTGGCAGGGCCACACAGGGATCAGGTACAAGGAGCAGAGGGAGAGCTGTCCCAAGCACGCTGTTCGCTGTGACGGGGTGGTGGACTGCAAGCTGAAGAGTGACGAGCTGGGCTGCGGTAAGGAGGCTGGGTGCGGGGGAGCGCGTGCGTGTGCATGTGCATGTGTTTGTGTGCCTGTTTGTATATGTGTGTGTGTATGCATGCCTGTGTGTGTATATGTGTGCGTGCATGTGTGTGTATGTGCATGTTTGTGTGTATGCATGTATGTGTGTGTGCACGTATGTGTGTGTGCATGTGTGCATGTATGTAATCCAGACCCAATGATTCCCTGTCCATTGCCTCCCATTTGAGCTGATACACAGTTTGCATCAGTCTGTAGCACTCTAGTGACTTTGCATTGGCTCTGTCCATGCTAGGCATCCTGGGCTTCTGAGTACTGGTTAACCCCCATGACCCAGGCCATGTTCCTGGACTTTTCCCAGGCCTCAGCAAGGAGTGCTGTCAGGACAAGCGCTTTCTCAAAGCCTCACTCAGCTCATCCCCCAAGAGCTTGATGCTTCCTAGGTGCTGAGGACCTGCTCTGCCTTTTTCTTGCCCTGCAGTGAGGTTTGACTGGGACAAGTCTCTGCTTAAAATCTACTCTGGGTCCTCCCATCAGTGGCTTCCCATCTGTAGCAGCAACTGGAATGACTCCTACTCAGAGAAGACCTGCCAGCAGCTGGGTTTCGAGAGGTAACCCCCAACCTGGCCCCAGAGTCCAGGCTTCAGGGATGTCTCAGGCTCTTCATAGGGTGTCTCAAGCATGTTGCAGAAACATTATATTAAAAAGACCCTTGGGGACCGGGGCTGATCTCACTAGCTCTGGACACCCTCGAGGTGTTCAGAGTCAGAGGCCCTGAGATCCTATGAGTCTGGAGCAGATTGTTTTCATGAGGCCAACATAATGATGTATAGATCTGCAATAGTATCAGACTCCTAGATGGTTCTTTGCATCAAAGCACGCTCACATCCATTATCACATTCACTGATCGTGGTGGTGGCCCTACGACTTGGGCAGGCATTTGGGCAGATCTTTTCTTCTTATATCTGGGAACTAGAAGCTCAGGTTGTGCAAAGCCTTTCAATGGACTTTGAGCTATAGCTACTGTGTCTTGAGCCAGACCTCATCAAATGGAGAATGAAATGGGGCAGGTGAGGCTAGGCAGAATCATAAGGGTCTTTGGCTCTAAAGATTTTAAACAAATCAGGCAGTGCTAACAGGTAGAGGAGGAAGTAGGTGAGCAATGACCTTCCACTTGAAGAAGTGTCTGATTTTCAGCCCAGACACGCATCTCCATCCTCCCTCTTGGACTGAGTTTTCCAGATGGGTAGTCTTGGGTTTATCAGTGTGTGTGAGGTTGTGGGGAGAGGAGTTTAAGATCTCACTGTGGGTTCTCTACAGAAGAAGCACCAAAAACACCTGGGGTGGGGTGTTAGGATTTAGAACATGTTCTCCACCCCACCTCAGCCTGTCCAGATCCATGAAAGGGGGATGGTAGTAATGCAGATGGAAGACCATGGGCATCTTTTATGAGTTGTGTGGCCTTATGCAAGCCTGAACCTCCTTTAGGTATTCAGGTCTTTGAATGTCACTTATTCAAAGAATATTCATTGAGCTTTTATCGTGTGCTAGATACTGTGTAGTACCTGGACACAAAGGAATAAGACAGGAGCCCAGCCTTGAAGGACCTCTAGTGTGGCTCAGTGAGAGAGACTTAAACCAATAACCACAGCACGATGTGACATGTAATGATGAGGATGTGGGTGAAGCACTAAGGGCATACAGTGGAGAGGGTGCCTAACTGCACTGGTGGAGAGAGCAGAGAATGGGCCCTCTGAGTAGAGGAGCAGCGTGTGCTAAGTGTCATGCCAGGGCGTCACGCAGGGGTGTACCATGTTCTAGAAATATACATATGTTCCATGCAGAGAGTAGAACACATTAGAATCACCCGCCGTGCTTGTGAAAATGCATCTTGGAATCAGAATCTCTGGGATTAGGACTTAGAACCTGCTCAGCAAACATCCCAAGGTGATTCTTAGGCACGCTGTGTTCTAAGATCCAGTGGGCTTGCCCAGAGCTTCTCACGCTTTAATGTACAGATCAGTAACCTGGGATTCTTTAAAATGCAGATTCTTATTCAGTAGGTCTGGGGGGGTTGCTGCTGCTGCTTATTCACAGATGACAGTTTGGGTAGAAAAGGGCAAGATTGGTGTTTCTCAAACTTGAGTGTGCATCAGCATCACTAGAGAACCTGTTAAAATGGTGATCGCTGGGCCCACACCCAGAGCTTCTGATTCAGAAGCATTGCTAATATTAATAACTTCCCAGGCAATGCTAATGCTACCAGTCTCCACCATGAGAAATGCTGGGTAGTGCATAGGGCTGGGGATCTTGGAGGGGAGTTGGGGGAGATAAGGGGCAGTGGTGGAGCATGTGGGTGGGGCTGCACTTTATTGGGGCTTAGCTGCTGCTTGGAGGAGTTGGCCACCATTCAGACCATCACAGTCTGGCCTCTGTCGGCAGGGCTGGTGGGGCTCTAGCCTGCTGGAGGACTTGGGATGACTCTGTCTCCAGGGGGCTCATTCTTCTCCCCTCTGCTCCCTTGTAGTGCTCACCGGACAACCGAGGTTGCCCACAGGGATTTTGCCAACAGCTTCTCAATCTTGAGATACAACTCCACCATCCAGGAAAGCCTCCACAGGTATGGTGGGGCAGGCAGGCTGCCTGTTTGTGAGCAGGGGAAGGAGTGGGTAGGAGAGGGTCTTTGAGTCAGGGAGCCCCCTTCACTGGCTTTTCTAGTATCCAGCCTCCAGGAGTCCACCATGAGTGTTCAGGGGCATCTTGGAAATAGTCCTTATTCACCAAACTGCCTTCTGACTTAAGAATTCTTATCTGAGGCTCGGTGCTGAGGACAACTGGAGACCAGGGGTGCCCCTGAGAGTTTATCAGGTCGTCAGAGGCAATTCATGAACCTTGGGACCACCAGTCGGCCAGGTGTTTGGACTGAGAGCTGCTGCAGGGAGTGGACCTGGATTGGTGGGGGAGAAGCACCACTGACACCCTGGCATGACACTTTGCACATGCCGCTCCTCTACTCGGCCCATTCTCTGCTCTCTCCACCAGTGCAGTTAGGGGACAGGGTAGACAGGCAGCAGTAGGGGACCGCCAGGTGCAGGCATCAGGGACAGGGAGGGCCACGTTGGAAGCATCAGAGGTTTGGGGTCTCTGCCAGCTAGCATTGTTTGCCCTACGGAGGGGAGAGAAGAAGCCAGGCTCCAAGAGAAGTAATGGTGAGGGAAGGGATGTGAATTTGCTGCAGCTGGATGCCAGCTCTGTGCTGCGTGGTTTCTGCATCTGCGTTGAGGAACTGTGTCAGAGGAGCACCAGACCACCTGTTTAGTTGTGAAAAGATGCTGCGACAATGAAGTCCTAAGTTCGAAGAACATGGATCTGGGCCAATGTCTGCAATGTGCCACAAGGAAACTAGTTGAGGGGATGAGAGTGGAGATGGTTTGCACTGAGCCACTCCGATTCTGGACAAAGCACTGGAAGGGACAATGTCACATGGGGAAAGGGGAAGCTCAGAATCTCCTGCTTCCTGTACAAAGGGTAGCTTCCTTGGAAACAGGATAGGAACTGAGCAGGAGTCAATCAGGAAGGCTTCCTGGAGGAGGTAGCTAATGTGCCCTTTTCCCACTTTCTGTGTCTCCCCCTGCAGGTCTGAATGCCCTTCCCAGCGGTATATCTCTCTCCAGTGTTCCCGTAAGATGTTCTTCTTCTTGGATTGTGGCCAGTGTCGTGTGGGAGTAAAGGGCAGAGGGGCAGCACTCCTCCAAGGGAGGTGTTTGGCACAGGGGTTCAAGTCAGGAACAGTGTCTTAGCCAGCAGGCCTGCTTCAGGGCTGGAGTCCCTGTAAGGCACCGGTACACCCAGGGTAACATTTCCCCTTCTCCTGACTCTGGTAGGGGCTCAGCCCAGCAACCTTTTATTCCAAGGAAGCTGTCTGAGTCTTCTGTGCATCAGGGGAAGTGTATTCTTCCTATGTTTAGAAACAATAGAGACCCTCATTATAATGCTTGTCAATTCAGGGTCACATTAGAACTGGTCTGCATTCCTGTGCACCTAATGGCAGTCCTGGGACTTACCATCATGACCCCAATGCCCAACACAGTGCCCAAAGCTTGGGACACTCCAAAAGGATTTGTCAAGTCAATGAAAGAATGAGTGAAGGAGAAGAAAGAGGAACCTGCCTGGGGTCAAACTTTCCGCGGAATGATCCCAGAAAGCCACCCCACCATGTGGTGGCTCTGCTCTCACAGAAACTGCTGTGTGTAGCAGATAAGGGAGCAAAGCCCGTCCATGGAAGGGTGGGTGCCCTTCAGGATGGGGCTGCCTGAGCCTGTCCTGGCCCTGGGAGCACAGCAGAGGCATCCTGATCAGGAGCTCGGAAAGAACCCTGGGAGAAACAGGGTTCACAGTACGTCTACTCCTTCCCTCCAGACTGCGGACTGAGGGCCATGACCGGGCGGATCGTGGGAGGGGCGCTGGCCTCGGATAGCAAGTGGCCTTGGCAAGTGAGTCTGCACTTCGGCACCACCCACATCTGTGGAGGCACGCTCATTGACGCCCAGTGGGTGCTCACTGCCGCCCACTGCTTCTTCGTGTAAGTGCCTGAGAGGCAGGTGATTTGACACTGCCCAGGGTCGGGAACCACCAGGAAGGGCTGGCTGCAGACTGACTTCTTCGTGGAGGAGGATTCTGGGTGTGAGTCCAGCCCCCATGGGCCAGTTGGCACTGGTGTAGCTTGGGTGTTCACCTGGTCCTGAGAGTGTGGGTCGGGGGTGTTTGTTCCGAGCTAGGCCCAAGGATGAGAAAGTCCCATTGACGGCCCCAAGGGGGAGAGAGGCAGGCAGGAAGAGGGACTGGGAGCCTGCCCCTGAAGAACAGGGTGAAATGAAAAAGGCGTTGGGTTTGTTGCTGCTTCCTGCAAATGGAACTCATAGCAGAGGAGCCCCTAGTTATCCCAGAAATTGAGGGTTAGGGATTGCAGGCAGGGCACTGTATCAGCTGCTAACGGTCACCAGCTGGTCTATTGTCTTTGGGGGCCCACAGCCCAGGCTGGTGGGCAGGAAAGAGCTCTGGGACCAGGCCTCAGGGGCACTGGCCTCCCTAGTAATGAGTTCAGTGTGTTACTTTGTCCTGTCTGAATTTGCTGAGGGTAATAATACTGAGATCTTATCAGTACAAGCCCTTGACCCTGTCTGGTGAGTGAATCTGTGTCCCCATCCCTAGTCCCAGCACCTTCTGCAGCCCTGTGACTTGTCAGCATCTGTCAGTTCATATCGAGGCCCCAGAGTTTCAGCATGGCAGAAGTCAAAGTCTCCTATTTGATCCTTGGTGACTTGCAGAGGAGATAGTGGGGGGGGAGTGCCACACAGAGGTCTTACTCATCCTTCCCTCTTTATTACTGTAAGGTGCAGAGCTGCAAGCTCATAATTTTTGAGGGGCTGTGGGGGATTGCTTTGGACTCCAGGGATAAGATAGAGGGTTCCCTCCAGAGGTCATTTTATCCATCCTCCTGCCTCCAAGCTGGTGCTCTGACTGTGGCTCCCTGTAGGTAGCAGGGGCTGCCAGTGAACGCTGCCAGGCAGGTACTGGACCACGCTCCTTTGTGGCTCTTGCAGGACCCGGGAGAAGGTCCTGGAGGGCTGGAAGGTGTACGCGGGCACCAGCAACCTGCACCAGTTGCCTGAGGCAGCCTCCATTGCCGAGATCATCATCAACAGCAATTACACCGATGAGGAGGACGACTATGACATCGCCCTCATGCGGCTGTCCAAGCCCCTGACCCTGTCCGGTGAGGGAATCTGCACTCCCCGCTCTCCTGCCCCCCAGCCCCAGCACCCTCTGCAGCCCTCGCACTTGTCAGCATCTGTCAACTCATATCCGGGCCCCAAAGCTTCTGCAGGGCAGAAGTCAAAGACTCTTAAAGATCCTTACATGGAACACTTCTGTTTTATAATTAGGGAAACTGAAGCCCAAGGGTTATAAATAAGTTTGCTCCAAATGACACATCTCACATTACAAATTGATGACGGAGTCAGGGCTTGGGTACTGATCTTAATCAATAGATTGAATTCTTTCACTGGTATTAACTGAGCACCTAGGGGCCAAACGCTATGGTAGGCATTTCACACATATGATTTCATTTACTCTTCACAACCAACCCTGTGGAGCAGGCACTATTATTAACTTCATTTGACATATGAGGAAATGGAGCTTTACAGAGAGATAATTACCTGAGGCCACAAGTAATAGGTGGTAGCTCTGGGATTGGAACCAGGTCGATCTGATTCCCAAGCAGTGCTCTCCCCACCTGGCTCTAGACTGGCAAATTGCTTACCCTGCAGTCGAGAACTTAAGCTGAGTACACATTCAAACAACTAATTGCTACAACGTTGTTGCTAAGGACCAAAGGAGGCTACACAAAGGAAATGCTGCAGAGGTTCTCAGAAGATCACTGTGGACAGGGGACGTCAAAGAAGACTTCATTCATTCATTCATTCATTCACTCATCATTCATCCATTCACTCATTTGTTCACTTATCAAATACTATATGGCCAGCCCTATAGTACAGTTGCAAATAGAAATAAAATACACCAAGACGACCAGTAGAGGCCAATTATACGATGTTTTCGGGGAGCAGGGAGCTATGGTGGCATAGGCGGGAGCAACTAATCATCCTGGCAGGCTAGGGGAAGCTCAGCAGAGGAAGGATAGCCAAGGTGGGTCCCGAAAAGATTGGAGAAGACAGGTAATGGGGGCTCAGGGAGGACCCTGAAGAATGGAGCCAGAGCCCTCTGGCATAAGCATCTGTAAAGGTGGGAGAGGGAGGAGGAGTACCGGGATTTCTGGAAGCCTCGGAGGACTCTCTGGTTAGTCCAGCCATTCTCGTGCTCTGAGCCTGTGAGCTGGTGTTTCCTCGCACATTAATTATGGAGGCGGTGTCTATCATGAGTCAGAGCAGTTAGATCATCAGAGTGGGGTGAGGAGGAGGATCCCTGGGTAGAGCTCGGTTGGGCAGCGCTAGCCCAGAACCACGCCCACGCAGCGTCACACCCACTCGTAGCCACGCCCCGACACGACACGACACGCCCACCAGCCTTTCTGAAACTCCATCCTTGTCTGTGGAGTCCAGGGCTGAGGTGAGGGATGCCCGCTACCTCCTGCCCTGCCGCTCAGCACACAAGAAGGGCACAGACTGCAGGACCAGAGCAGGCCTTCTCACCTTGTCAAACCCAGGCTGTATTTGGCTAAACATCCAAATCTTACCTCCCACCCACCCTCCACCCCTTAATATTATTTGGAATTCCAAAACTAAATAATTTCTAAAAGCGAATGAAAGCTATTCTCACATTGCGTATGCTTTTCAAACGTAATAGTCTCCCTCCAGGCTCCAATAGGCTTTTGGGCAGGAAGCAGACCCTTAGTCTGAGAATCACAGCTCAGATGTATGTAGTCCTGTGGCCAGAACATGTGCCCTGATTTTTGGTTTAGAAATCAGGACTGATTTTCTTAAACTCATTTGGCAGGTGGAGCACTAGAAGTCACAGTACTTTTGCTTGTGAAAGTTCACTGGTAAATTTAATTCCCCCATAAAAAACAGTGAAATATCTAACGATGGATCATGTAACAGTGTTACATGTTTTTAAAACTTTACATCTCAAAAAGGGGCATAGAAAAAAAATCCTATGCTGCATTTTTGTTAATAATGCATGCTATTCCTTCATCTATTTTTTGTTTACTCTCTAGCAGACAAAAGTGAGGTAGACACCAATGTTTAAAGCCTAATTCCAATTTATGGGAGAAGAATTTAAAATCATCCTTCCCATCTACGCTTCCTGCCTTGTCTCTATCTTTTTAAACATTTATTGAGCACTTAATATGTGACAGGCATTATCTTAGGTGCAGAATACTGCAGTGAATATAACAAAGGGTTGAGAATACTGCAAACATTCTATTAACTAATATTTTCCTCCTGCAAACTCAGATGTGTTGGTCAATGCCCTGGTCCCCCTAGGGACACCAGTCCTCAGAGCTTATGAAGTGATATATAACAGTGACTTCTAAATATAATATTTCTGAATGTGGGATCAAGTTAGCAGGAATTCTGTGGTCTGTGTCTCTAGGAATGTGTTTCCTGTTTGGAGAGATTTCTTACCTTGTGCTGGGAAAACATTTAAAAGGAGAGCCACAGGCTCTGGACAACCAGTGGGTACCCTCGCCAGACCAGGCTGGACATACCGCTGAGATGCCATGGTCATAATATCTGGGTCTTAGCCTGCTGCTGTTCCTTGTTCTAATGGAAAGACATGGAAGAGGCTCCACCAGGAGAGACCCTCTCAGTAGGGAGAGACCCTCAGCTGCCCAGTATCGGCTTGTACAAGGGAGCTTCCAAGGCTTACGCATCTGACCACAGGGCAACCACTGAAATCAGAACGGCTTTGAGGACTCTGGTAGCCCCCAAATGCTGGTGGGTTATGATAAAGTGATCGAGTTTCATGTCTGGTCAGTCCAAGGCTCTGGAGGATTCAGATCCAGGACTCTAGAGTCAAGGATTAATGTTCTAGGAGACCCCTCCTTGCCCCCAGAGTGGTTGTGCTCCTTCTCCCTCCCCCTACTGAAAGTCTCAGCCTTGTTCCTTCACTGACGTCTGGAGGTCTTGTTGCAGCTCACATCCACCCTGCTTGCCTCCCCATGCATGGACAGACCTTTAGCCTCAATGAGACCTGCTGGATCACAGGCTTTGGCAAGACCAGGGAGACAGATGGTAAGAGGCAAAGATGCTTGGTTGTGTGTATGTATTCATGTGCATGTGTGTGTATACATGTGCGTGTGTAAGCAATGTGTCTGGGTATACAGATGAAGGCCTATGTCGATGAGCGTTTGGGTATACGGATTCATGGGCCTGGGTGTGATTATGTGTGTATAGACACCTGAGTATATGCCGGTGCAGTCACTGTGACAATGCCCTCCAATCAAGACCACCTGGAAAACTGCTGTGGTTGAACTAGTTGAGTTCATTGCTCATTGCAATGAGAGAGAGAACACACCATGAAGAACCATGGAGCATCTCAGCAAGAGGGTGTCAGAGAGGGAATGCTCGTAGGATTTAGGTGGCTTGGGGAGGGTTCAAAGACGCAGGACTTTTCTCTAAATTGTGGTGTCAGGAAGCAGGGGTTATGATTGGGAACCTTAATAATCTTATCTAGAGGCCGGGCACCGTAGCTTACACCTGTAGTCCCAGCACTTTGGGAGGCCAAGGTGGGAGAATCTCTTGAGCCCAGGAGTTCAAGACCAGCCTGGGCATCATGGCAAAACCCCATCTCTACAAAAAATAGAAAAATTAGCTGGGCATGGTGATGTGTGCCTGTAGTCCCAGCTATGAGAGGGGCTGAGGCAGGAGGATCACTTGATCCCAGGGAGGTTGAGGCTACAGTGAGCCATGATCATGCCACTGCACTCTAGCCTGGGTGACAGAGTGAAACCCGTCTCAATTAAGAATATATATATATATATATATATATATATATATATATATATATAATCTTATCTAGGAGCTCTAAGTGGTAAGGAAGCAGCAGTCACTCATATTGGCCAGGAGAGGGGGATGTCTGGTACTGTTGTGGTTTGCACAGTGACCTTGTTTTTGTCTGGCCTTAAACAAGATGATGAAGTGGTCTTGTTTTCATGTCATCCCAATCACAGAGTGCCTTGTCCTGTGAGATTGCTTACTTTGAGCAGGATGACCCCATGGTTAGACTCAGGCCACTTCCATGCATCAGGACCGCTTTTCCCTCCCTCCGTGAGGCAGAGCAATGACTGATGTGGGTGCAGCCTACTTCTCCTCTTGTCTCCATACCTGACTAGCTGTGTGACTGTGGGCAGGTCACTTCTCCAGCACCAGGCCTCCCCACCGGTAAATGGATTAATGCCACCTGCTCTCTTTAGGGCACATAGCTTCCAAAAACAAACAAAGCCATGTATCTGAGGGTGCTTTGAACGTAGGCAAGTGCTGTGCAACATGTCGGGTAGCCTGATAGGCTTGTGAGTGTGTCTGTGTGCATGGATGTCTCTGTCTCACGTGCAGTGAGCTGTGTCTTGTGTGAGGGCGTGTGTGCCCATATGTCCTGGGTGTCCAACCACAGAGGGCCTCCCTTGGGTGGGAGCCAGGCACGGGCATGGCACCCTCCATTCCCAGGAGGCTGTGATTCTGGGTCTTGGGGTGGCAGCTGGACGGCCAGGAAGCTATCTAGAATCTCACTGGCTTCCCATCCTCTGTCTCCTCCACCCCACTTCACTGAAGACAAGACATCCCCCTTCCTCCGGGAGGTGCAGGTCAATCTCATCGACTTCAAGAAATGCAATGACTACTTGGTCTATGACAGTTACCTTACCCCAAGGATGATGTGTGCTGGGGACCTTCGTGGGGGCAGAGACTCCTGCCAGGTGAGGGTACCTGTGGGTGGGGCTCAGGTCCCAGCACCCTGGGGATGGGGGAGGCAGGGGTGTTGGGGCTGATGTGGGAATTGGGACCCCACCCTTTCCCGCTCATGGACCACCTGTCCCATCCTGCGAATGTGCCCCCTCTCCCCTGCAGGGAGACAGCGGGGGGCCTCTTGTCTGTGAGCAGAACAACCGCTGGTACCTGGCAGGTGTCACCAGCTGGGGCACAGGCTGTGGCCAGAGAAACAAACCTGGTGTGTACACCAAAGTGACAGAAGTTCTTCCCTGGATTTACAGCAAGATGGAGGTAAGATCCCTGCAGCAGGACACTGCACCCAGCAGGCTGGGAACTTCCTCAGGTGGGGACCCTGGAGGAGCACCCAGGTTGTAGGCAGAGGTCCCCTCAGCGTCCCCATATTCGGGGGGTGTTCTGGACAGGGTCAAATGTGATGCCTGGGGTCAATCCCAGCTGTCTGTGTTTCTTTCCCTGCTTTTCTTCCCTCAGAACAGAGCTCAGCGGGTTGAAAAAGGGTGGACCTACAGGCCAGGCAGGCAGTTGCTGGGCAGATGTTCTCCCAGAAGTATTTTTTTGTGTAAGGTTGCAATGGACTTTGAAAACGTTTCAGTTTCTGCAGAGGATTTTGTGATAGTTTTTGTTATCAAGCATTTATGCATGGGAATCCGCTCTTCATGGCCTTTCCCAGCTCTGTTTGTTTTAGTCTTTTTGATTTTCTTTTTGTTGTTGTTGTTGTCTTTTTTTAAAAACACAAGTGACTCCATTTTAACTCTGACAACTTTCACAGCTGTCACCAGAATGCTCCCTGAGAACTACCATTCTTTCCCTTTCCCACTTAAAATATTTCATCAGAACCTCACTACTATCATAAAAGAGTATAAAGTAATAAAATAATAAAAAGTTATTTTATGTTTTTTGACTTGCTTTAACCTATATCCAACCTCAGAAGTCATTGCTCAGGTCAAACTGAACCACAGACCCTTCAGTGTGTGCCTTACCTTGCCCTTGGCCTTTGGAATACTTGATCCACCCTAGAGAGTCCCCTCTCCCACTTCCACCCTCTCATCTTCCATTTTTCTTACTGAAGAACTCTGACTAATCTATCAAAATCAGCCATTTACAATGCCTGGAATATCCTCGGTATTTACTATTTATTGTTATAAATTAAGGATGAATGAATAAACAAATAAATGAAAAGAATAAAAGGTGGGCCTCACCTCGGTGCCAGCCCCAGTGCCACTCTCCTCTCCCAGGGATGACCGAGATGTGAGTTCACACAGGCCGCTGGCAGTGGAGTGATGGGAGGCCTCCCTCCACGGCAGGAATTTCGGTGTCAGGAAACAGGGATCTGCCTGCAACTCTGCTGACCTAGTTGAGACCCTGCCTTCTCTGGGCCTTCAGCCTTTAGCTGTAAAGCAGGGGGTGCTCTGCCAGCCCTCCCCTTCTCTGCCTGGGGAACAGGGGAGGGCTCAGATAGGGGGAGCAGAAAAGGCTCCAGAAATCTAGTGCAGAGAGGCCCTCCAATCCTGCATCCATCCTTTCCCTTTGCTCTCCCTCCTTGGAGAGGCAGTGCTAGGTGACAGCGAGGCTAAATTATAGGTTCTGAACCCCAACCTTGGGCTTCTGTGCTCCTCGCCCACCTGGCCCACCCTCACCCTCTTCTCCCATTCTCTTCCTCAGAGCGAGGTGCGATTCAGAAAATCCTAACCAGCTGGCCTGCTGCTCTGCACAGCACCGGCTGCTGTGAAGACTCTGGCCATGGTGACTGGCCATGTGTGGCATCATCTGGGCTAATGGCCACCGGGCACCATCGGACTCCCACCTCCACTGTCTGCTGCCTCTGTGTGTGTGTGTGTGTGTGTGTGTGTGTGTGCATATGTGTGCATTGCCACTCTCCCAAGTTTTTCAGAAACCAGCAGAGCTGTCAACTCTTCTCAAAATCCCAGGCTGGAAATTACCTGGAGACAAGAGTTGAGTACCGTGGATGTTCCTACAGGAGTGTCCATAGATGGATGGAGGAGGTGGAGCCCAGAGCCCAAGGAAGAGCTGGGAATTCTTGCTTCTCTGACCCTCACTTACAGACTAGCCCAGTGTGGGCAGATGCCAGCGGCCCAGGTGGCGCCATTGCTGTCCTGGGATGGATCGTGGGTTTTGGTGGATGCAGCTTCCCAGGGCCTGGACCGTCTTCGGTGAAAAGCTGCTCCCGTTGGCTTTATGAGCATCAAGTCCTCACCCAGACCCCCTGCTGGTGCCGTGGATGTCACCAGTCGGACTGTGCTGTGGCTAACCAGGCTGACAACTGAGATGAGGATTCACTGTACTCATTTGGTCACAAGCTGCTGGGGCGGGTTTTATTTTATTTTATTTTTATATTTAAGAAATGAAAATACGGGTATTTTTAAAGATTCTCCAAAAAGTCCAGAAGCCTTGACAGCTGGCATCAATCAGCCCAAGACCCCCAGGGGATTCATGGGAAATGTCGTATTTTAGAGTCCTACAGAATATTTCTGGCCTCAAGGAACTGGATGAAGAGACTGGACAAAGTCCCCAGGATGGGCATCCCCCAAGTCACTACAGCATCTGGAGCCCCTAGGAGATACTCAGGGAAGCAAATCCTTGTTTGGGCTGGCAAGCAAATCCGACACGACGAGGTCCACAAACTGTTTCTGCATCCCAGGGCTCTGACGAAGGCGTTAAGAAACAGATGCTGTTCCCGCGTAGGCTCCCAGGGGCCCCAGGGAGGTCCAGGTGGACTGCCTCTCTCATTCCCAGTAGCTGTCCTGGGACTTTGGGATTTCTTCTCAGCTTTCTCCACCTTTCAGTTTCTCAGTTGTTTCAGAAACATAGCAATGACATAAAAACTGCTATGGAGAGAAAGCTAACATGGTCCCATGCCTTCCAGGCAGCCCTGCTGAAGGATCTAAGTTGGCCCTGTTCCTGCAAATCATCAACGTGCCTGGACTCGCCAGCTAAAAGCCTGGGCCTTCCCCAGCCTTTTTTCTGGGGCACCTATTCCTCTGCCAGTCCTGCTCCCCTCACCTTCCTTGGGCCCGTCAGAGTCTTTTGTGGTGCTGTGCTTCTCAGAGGCAGGATCCAAGCAGATCAGCCCAGCCTAGCCCAGCTCAGGCAGGCCATGGCCGCTCAAGGGAAAGACTGCCCCAGAAGAGCAAGCTGGAGAGGCTGGGCAGGGGCTGATGGGGCTGGGTACACTGGGGAATGTTAGCAAGACTGGGAAGGAGGCCACATTCCTGTCTGCAGCAGCCGCCAGCGATGGTCTTCAGCAATAAAAGTTGTGTGACCTGAGACATCTGTCTTTGGATGTTTTACTGGTACCCTAGGTAACAAATTGAGGTTGCCCACCCTAGTGCCCAGACACTCTTGGTTTTGGTTCTTAGTTTTGGTTCCTCATCTTTGGGTTCTGCTCATTTAGCCATACATTCATGTATTCATTCCATTCACCAGCTGCATCCGTGCCTACTCTGTGCCCGGTACACATGCTAGGCCCAGAAGATACAAAGGGCATGACAGCATCCTCAAGGAACTGGGTCATGACCCAATGTGATAGAAGCTGTGATTGAGTGTGGACACCACGCATGGAACATGCACAGAGCAACCACCAGCCACACCTAGAGATGTCAAGGAAGCTTCACAGAGGAGGTCAGGTTTGGAATGAACCTTCACAAAGCAGGTGGGGGCAGGGGAAGGGCACTCCAGGGCATGTTCTTACCCTCTTCCTCTTCCTCTACTTCTGCCTTTGCTGGCTCAACAACAGACATGTTGACAAGGAAACCCCAAAGCTTACTCAGCTATTTCCAAGGGAATCGGATGGGTGGTCCCACTGGCCTCTTCTGAACGATCTACCTCTTCTTGCTTTGCACTTTTCCTGTGTTTACCATATTGACCTCAAACATTATGAGCCCACTGGTGAATCCCCAGCTCCACCTCTGTACCCCCATTCACCAGTGGGCTGATAGTCCCCAGGGGCACACCAGCCACAAGCACAGAATTCTTCAGGTTTCCCCACAAGCATCCAGCCTCTGGATACCCTGAACTTGATTGCTTTAGTCTTTCATATCAATGCCAGGGAAAGTCCTTCTTTTGATTCCTTTCTTGCTCTATCTGCACAAGAAGGTACAGGGGAGGTGGCAGGTGCCACGCTTACTATATTCCTAGGAGGGGTGACACTGACTGTAATAGATCCTACAGTTTCTGACAATTTCAATGGTTTAACCTAATTGAAGTTTATTTTGCATCCATGCAACAATCCTGTAAGGGTGTTCTGATCAGAGGGAGACTTTCTTCCACAAGCTTTTTCCATCTTGGGAGTTTGTCATCCACATTGTTGTCTACTTCTAGCCAGAAAGAAAATATAAAAAAGACTCATTCACTCCTTAAGTGCTCTAGCCCGGAAGTCATTTCCACTGACATTTTATGGGTACAGACATGTCATATGTGACATGTGGCACCACCTAGACAAAATTGGGCTGGGAAAGGCAGTCCTTGGCAGATCCCCCTGCAGGAGCCAGCACTCATTTCAGAGGACAACCAGCCATCTCCACTCACCATAGGAAGGTGGCTGCATCCTCAGAAGCCCAGCCTGGGCAGAAACTTAGAGCTTAGGCCATTTCTGTTTCTTTCCCCTTAGAAAGCAGACACTTTCCTTTCTCTCTCAGGGCATTCCTAGGACATAAATTGACTGGCAGGGATGTAAGGGTATGGGAGGGGGGCAGGGAAATAAGTTAGAGAAAAAGCAGGATCTGGATGGGAAAAGAAAAATACATTCCTTTGGCCCAGGATATCTATAGAGGCTACCAAAATTAGGGATGGCGGGGGGTGATAGGGCATTCTAAACTGGCGCAGAATCTCCAGGGAACTGTGTGTGTGTTTTGGGCAGGGAGGTGGTTGCAGTGACATTGTCCTATGTCCCTGGAGCCTAGGCTCCTCCAAGTACCAGCCAAGCCTTCTGGCTTTGTCAACTCTATTGACTGCTGAATTTCCATAGAATTTATCTGGGAAAGGAGTGCCAAGTGAGTGTGCTGGGCAGGAGAAGGGGGAGGCTATTGCAGGGAGAGATGATGGCTCTTTACAGAAGGAGCCACTTACAGCCTAGCAGGTGCTCCAGCTGCCTCTGGGCTTTGGTTAGATTCCCAGGGATCATTGTTCCCCATAATCACTTAGCTGTGGTCCTGATGCAATTGGGTGGACATGGGGACACACATGTGAAGTCCCCGTGATGGCCATGATGAGGATAATGATAATAATAGCCAGCATTTGCTAAACGTTTGCTATGTGCCACATGCTGTGCTGGACACCTGATGTATATTATCTCCTGTGAGCACAAGAATCCCGTGAAGTGGACATTGTCTTCATTCCTAATTTACAGATGAGGAAACAAAGGCCAAGCAAAGTGAAATAAGCCTCCCAAACTACATGACTGCTGCATGGCAGAGGTGGATTTGAATCCAGGCTCTGACATGCAGCTGCTTTTTTACACTCTGCATTCAGCTGCTCTTTTACACTCTGCACCAGAGTCAGGTGGAATCCTCCCAAGTGGGACCTCATAGGCTCTGCTCTCTGGCTCTGCGTATCTTTCCAAGAGTGTCAGGGTGAGACAACTCCCCAGAGAAGGCTAGGCGCACCCATCAGAGTGTCACATGACCAGAGGCTTAGACCATGTGGTTTCTGGTAACTTGGACAAGTACATCATGAGTGGGAGGAGGCCCTCCTCCACCCCGGTCCCAAGTGGATGGTTTCTGGGATGCCCTGTCAAGTCACAACAAGCTGTCACCCAGGACACCTCCAAGTCTCCTTGATGTAGGTGGATGGCTCTGAAAGGAACATGCCATTCATTCCCCGTCTCCTGTGCACTGGCCCAGGCTTCCTGTCCCTAGGAAGGCTGCCACCCAGTCCAGTAAGTAAGCGTGCTGTACCGATCTTACAATGGGTCCTCCCAGAGAACAGGGAGGACTGTGCTCAGGAGATAAACAGCCCTGGACCTTCTGGGACAGGAGGTCTTGAGACCTCTGAGAAAGGTGAGGGCATAGCCTGGTCTATGGTCCTCCACGGCTCACTCCTGCCAATGGGACATGGGAGGTGGACATAATAGGAGGCCTTCTCTGTCCAAGCCCTGAGTCCCAGAAAAGGTTGTCTACTTTTCATAGAAGGAAGGAGCTGGGAATCTGCTTTGAATAATTCCTTCTAATTACGCTGTGTTGTAGCAGAGAGAGCTCTGGAGTTGGAATCAAAGTACCTGGAGGTACAAATTCCAACTCTACTACTTACTCAGCTATGTGGTCTTAGACAAACCATCCTCTCTGTTTCTTCATATGTAAAATGGGTGTATCTGGCCTACATTCGTTGTGAGATTAAATGGTACGATCCATATAAACATGCAGGGCAAAGTGATTAGCATATCATGACCTCTCTGCATATGTTGAATTCGCAGCGAAAGGGTCAGATCCTTCACCCTCAGGCGCTTCATCAAACACATGACATAGGAGAGAGAATTTTGGATAAAGCTTCGAGTCCTAGGAAATTTGCCATGTCTCTCCATAAACTTTGTTCCTAGGCTTTTAGCAATGACCTGATCCTCCATGGAGGTGATGCTACCACCTAGGCCAGGTGGATATTCCCAGCTGGTGGTCCCTCTAAGTCGTGGAGCTCCATGACTTAGAGGAGCTCACCCCGCTCTCTCTTATCACTGACAGGGCCAGGAAAGCTGCCTGTCCCTGGAAGAATTCTCCTCTGGGAGATGTTAATGTCCTGCCCTGGCAGACTCTGACTGCTCAGCCAATGGAGTTGGCCAACTCAGGTCTGTGAGGGGCATTCATCTTCAGCCCCCACAACTCCTCAATCCACAGCCATCTCCTGCCCCACCATACCAGTGTCTGGGAGACACTTCTTAGTCTTCATCTTCCTGGAATTCTTGCAGCTTCTAACCATCGAGTGCCTCCTACTTTATGACATTGCCATGACCTCTGGGACATGGACTTTCCCAGGTCCCCTTCCTGCCCTCTGGCTGCTCTTTCTCAGTCTTCCACAGATTCTGAAATTGTGTTCCCAGGAGACGTCCCCAGCTCTCTTCTTTTCTCTTGGTAAATGGTAAATGCTCACCCTGGGCCATCTCATCTATTTCCAGGGTTTCCAACATACACCTGTGGAGCCAGCAGGAATTTGCTCCATGTCACTAAAGCATAAAAAATCTCACCTTTCTTTTTAAAATCAGATGAATCTGACTTTGAACTGCTGCAGCCTAGCTGAAAAACATCCCTTGTCACCTTCCTCCCCAGAAGAACTTATTGCCCATTGTTCTCCAGGTTGGGTACTCCATCTGCAGCCCTTGTGGGTACCCCTCCGAGTACTGTACAGGTAAAGGGCATAGTTTCCAAACCTCTGTTCTCCATGCCCTCACACTGAGGGACCTCACTGTTCCTGGGTCAGACTGAGGCTGCTCCCCTATCTTCAACCCTCAAATCTTCTTCCCCTAGCAGGTAGTTCAGGCCTGTCTCTTTTATGAACAGTGCACAAAGGCTTGTAAATTCTCTATGGGATCAAAGCCATTCTTTCCTGATAAGATCATGACAGAAATCAGGATGAGTATAGAATTCAGTAATTGTGTACATGTTTTCATGTGAACGTAAGTTTTCATTCCTCTAGGATAAATTACTATCAGTGGAATTATTGTATCCTCTGGTAATTGTGTGTTTAACTTCGTAAAAAACTGCCAGGCTTTTTCTAGAGTGGCTATACAATTTTTCATTCCTACCAACAATATAAGCATTTCGTTTGTTCCGCATCCTCACCGGTATTGTCAGTATCTTTTTTTGTAGCCATTCCAATAGATGCAACAAGATACAATGCTATCTCCTTGTGGTTTTAATTTGCATTTCCCTAATAACTAATAATGTTGAGAACCTTTTTTATGTGTTTATTTTCCATCTGCATATCCTCTCTGGTGATGTGTCTGTTCAAATATTTTACCCATTTCTTTATTGGGTTGCTTCTTATTGCTCAGTTTTGAGAGTTCTTTATATATTCTGGATACAGTCTATGTTGGACATGTGATTTACAAATATTTTCTCACTTTGTGGCTTGAATTTTCATTCTCTTAATTGTGTCCTTAACAGACCAAACATTTTTAATTTGGTAAAATTCAACTTATCAATTTTTTTCTTTTTAGATTGTGCTTTTGCTGTTGTATCTAAGAACCCTTTGCCAAATCCAAGCTCAGGAAAATTTTCTCTGATATTTTCCCTTAAGAATTTTATTGTTTTATGTTTTACATTTGGGCCTGTGATCCATTTTGAATTAATTTTTGAATACTCTCGAGGCCTAGATTGAGGTTCATTTTTATTTGTTTGCAAAAGGATGTTTAGTTGTTCCAGCACCATTTGTTGAAAAGACAGTATTTTTTCCATCCAATTGCCTTTGCATTTGTCAAAAATCAATTGAACGTGTTTGTGTGGGTGTATTTCTTGACTATCTATTCTATTCCATTGATCTATATGTCTGTTCTCACAATTATGCCATGCTGTTTTAATCACTGTAGCTTTATAGTATGATAGAATTGAATAGAGTGAATCCTCCAAATTCATCCTTGTCCAAAACTGCTTTAGCCATTCTGGTTCTTTTACATTTTCATGTAAGTTTCAGAACAACTTGCCTATATTTACAAAGAAACCTGTTGCAGTTTTTTATTGGGATTGTGTTAAATCTATAGGTCAGTTTGGAGAGAATGAACATGTTAATTATATTGAGCATGTTGCTCCATTTATATAGAGCTTTGATTTCTTTCATCTAGGTTTTGTAGTTTTCAGCCTACAAATCCTGTACCTATTTTGTGAGACTTACAGTTAAGTATTTACAGGTTAACATAACATTTTTATTAAAATAACTATGTTTTTCAAATCAAAGCAAATAAAGAATTTTACATTGTTTACACTGCTTTACATTTTTGCAAATCTCTTTAATGTCTGGCTTAATAAAAGATAATTGGATTCTCATACTTGGTTCTATATTCAATCTGTTGTTTATGTTGTTTTTGTTGAAATAAATGAAGAAAATCCAATCTCACATAGATATAGAGTTGGAAAGTGGAAGGGTATTTAAACGGCCTTTTCAGATAATTCTGGATCCTTTTTTAAATATTATGCTTAATCTTGAGAAGTGGCAGCTTATTGAAGGTTAGTCGCAATGTGGAATCAGAAACCATATTCATTAATTTTTTTGTATTGTGTTAATTTAAAATCTAATTAGACATTGGTCTATCTTGCACTCCGAAATGGGTCTTTTACACATGCCTAATTTTATACTATCATTCATCGATCATTTGGAAAATGTTGGCTCTCTAAGTTATAAATGACTTCCAAATGTTAACACATTTCATTATACAATACCAAAAACTACGTGTATTAATATCACCACTGGAAGTTCTAGCCAGAGCAAACAGGCAAGAGAAAGAAATAAAAGATATTCAAATAGGAAAAGAAGAAGTCAAACTATCTCTCTTCCCTAATGATATGATTCTATACCTAGAAGACCCTGAAAACTCTGCCAAAAGGCTCCTAGAATTGATAAACAACTCCAGTAAAGTTTCAGGATACAAAATCAATGTACAAAAATCAGTAGAAATCTATATGCCAATAACCTTCAAGCTGAGAGCAAAATCAGGAATGCAATCCCATCTACAATAACCACACATACACACAAAATCTAGGAATACATCTACCAAGGAGGTGAAAGATCTCTACAAGGAGTACAAAACACTTCTGAATGAAATCATAGATGACACAAACAAATGAAAAAACATTTCGTGCTCATGAATTAGAAGAATCAATATTGTTAAAATGGCCATATCACCCAAACTAATCTACAGATTCAATGCTATTCCTATCAAACTACCAATGCCATTTTTCACAGAACTAGAAAAAAGTATTATAAAATTCATATGGAACCAAAGAAGCGTCCAAACAGCCAAAGTAATCCTAAGCAAAAACAACAAAGCCACAGGCATCGTATTACTGGACTTCAAACTCCACTATAAGGCTATCGTAACCAAAACAGCATGGTACTTGTACAAGAAAAGTCACACAGATCAATGAAACAGAATAGAAAACCCAGAAATAAAGCCACACGCCTACTGGTATCTGATCTCTGACAAAGTCAACAAAAATAAGCAATGGGGAAAAGACTCCCTATTCAATAAATGGTTCTGGGATAGCTGGCTAGCCATATACAGAAGAATGAAACTGGACACGTACCTTTCACCATAGACAAAAATTAACTCAAGATAGAGTAAAGATTTAAATGTAAGACCTCAAACTGCAAAAATCCTACAAGAAAACCTAGGAAACACGATTCGGGACATCAGCCCTGGGAAAGAATTTATGACTAAGTCCTCAAAAGCAATTGCAACAAAAGCAAAAATTGACAAGTGGGACCTACCTAACTAAAGAGCTTCTGTACAGCAAAAGAAACTATCAAGAGAGTAAACAGACAACCTACAGAATGCGAGAAAACATTCACAGACTATACATCTGACAAAGGTCTAATATCCAGAATCAATAAGGGACTTAAACAATTGAACGAACAAAAAACAAATACCCCTATTAAAAAATGGACAAAAGACATGAGCAGACACATCTCAAAACAAGACATACAAGCAGCCAACAAACATGAAAAAGCGCTCCACGTCACTAATCACCAGAGAAATGCGAATCAAAACCACAATGAGACACCATCTCACACCAGTCAGAATGGCTACTATTAAAAAGTCAAAAAACAGCAAATGCTGGGGAGGCTGTGGAGAAAAGGGAACACTTATACACTGTTAGTGGGAAGGTAAATTAGTTCAGCTACTATGGAAAGAAGTTTAGCGATTTCTCAAAGAACTTAAAAACAGAACTACCATCACTGGGCATATATCCAAAAGAAACTAAACAGTTCTACCAAAAAGACACATGCACTTATATGTTCATTGCAGCACTATTCACAACAGCAAAGACATAAACTCAACCTAGGTGCCCCAAAACTTGGATTGGATAAAGAAAATGTGGTATATACGCACCATGGAATACTACACAGCCATGAAAAAGAACAAAAGTATGTCCTCTGCAGCAACATGGATGCAGCTGGAGGCCATTATCCTTAGCAAATTAATGCGGGAACAGAAAACCAAATACAGCATGTTCTCACTTATAAGGGGGAGCTAAACATTGGGTACTCACGAACATAAACAGGGCAACAGTAGACACTGGGGACTACTAAAGAGTGGGGGTGGAGTGGGGCAAGGCTTGAAAAACTAAGCATTGAGCACTATGCTCAGTACCTGGGTGGCGGGATCAATTGTACCCCAAACCTCAGCATTACACAACATATGCCTATAACAAACCTGTACATGTACCCCCTGAATCTAAAATAAAAGTTGAAATTATGAAAATATTTAATATAAAAAATAAATAAAATGTTCATCATGCTTAACCAAAAAAAAAATCACCACTGATCTCATCAGAAAAGTTTTTACAAATTGGGAAGCTGTCAAGCTCTTGATAAAGGATGTAGATTCTCTAAAATTCTAATTTTTATTTATTATTTATTTATTTATTTTTTGAGATGGAATCTCTCTCTTGTCGCCCAGGCTGGAGTACAATGATGCGATCTTGGCTCACTGCAACCTCTGCCTCCTGGGTTCAAGTGATTCTTGTGCCTCAGCCTCCCAAGTAGCTGGGATTACAGACATGCGCCACCACATCCGGCTGATTTTTGTATTTTTAGTAGAGATGGGGTTTCACCATGTTGGCCAGGCTGGTCTCAAACTCCTAATCTCAGGTGATCCACCCACCTCAGCCTCCCAAAGTGCTGGGATTACAGGCATGGGACCCCGCGTCCAGCCTGAAGATTCTAATTTTTAATTGAAAGCTTAAACTATATCATTAGTAACAAATATTGTTGTTTGTTTTCCCTGAGGCGATAAGCTCATTTTACTAATTTCTGAAAAATAATTGCCAGTTCTCAAGTCTGCATAATTATAATTTGTCTGTTGATCTTTATTCAAGTAAAAGTGGTGTTTCGTGAAAAAAGCAGTTAGCTTAGCATGCAGCTCAAAAATACGAGTCTTTTTCCTTGAGAGAAACTTGGCACTTTGGTATGTAGCAGAGATCCTCTATGCATGCTTCCCATTTTGTCACACTAAATATTAAAAAGACATGTGCTCAGGGTTGAAATTTAACCATATTAATAATTTTTAATAATAATTTTTGTGGCTTCTTCAAGGATGTTCTTAAGTGAAACTGGCAAGTATGTGGAGGTGAAGAACAGTCACTACAAGTACTGTGCAGGTTGGTGCCACTGTCTGATTCCTGCTGAGGAGACTCCGCCTTGCTCCTGTGCCATTGGTGCAGATGTCAACACAGTGAAAAAGACAAATGACATCATAGCATCATTATGAAAATAGTTTTGACCCTGCTGACTCCCTGAAAATGTCTCTGGCTCCCCGAGGAGTTCTCAGACCCTACTTTGAGGACTGCTACATTAGACCATACAAGACAAAAAAGCAAAATCCAGAGATATTGATTTGAACTCTACTTCCTGGAAATTCTACTGGAATCATATCTTTATCTCATCCTCACTACTTTTTCCGACTCTCAGGGAAAAGTGAACAATCTGTCATCTGAAGAGGCCTAAGTCTAGTCAGCTTTATGCTGTGATGTTGGGTCTTGTTGAAGAAGATGGATGAAAATCTAACTGCAGTTTAATAAAGAGCACAGTGGGTGGGAGAAAGAAGAGTGGTTGGGAATTTGGATTTTCTTAACTTCCTGGGTTTGATGCATCCCAGGTGAGCACTCAAATTCTAGTTAGAAACACTTCAATAATTCTCTCTGGGTTTCAGGAAGCATATCTGATATAGTCAATATCAGCGATGATGTCTGGATGGGTTCAGTTTTGTGGTTGGGAGTAGAGATCAGAATCCATCAGTTCCTCTCTGATAATCCCTCTAACTGGACTAATAGATGACCCAAATTCAATTGAATTCAACAAATTGTCACAGGCACTTATTAGTACCAAGAATTGTCTGAAACGCTGGGAACAGAGGCTGAGGTTGGGTTAGAGGACACACACCTATCGGTAATTCATCACAGTATTCACCTAGCTGGCCATTCCTACTCCGGTCTTTTTTTTTTTTTTTCTTGATTGTGTTTGTAATTTTGTAATTTAGTTCTCATTTTACGAGCATTTAAAAATAATCCAAACTGGCTAAGCACAGTGGCTCACACCTGTAATCTCAACACTTTGGAAGGCCAAGGTGGGAGAATCACTTTAGGTCAGAAGTTTGAGGCCAGCCTGGACATATTGAGACCTCATATCTACAAAAAAATTAAAAAATAGCCAGACATGGTGGTGCCTCCCAGCTACTTGGGAGGGTGAGGCAGGAAGATCTCTTGAGTCCTGGAATTCAAGATTGCAATGAGCTGTGATCCAACCACGGCCCTCCAGTCTCAGTGATAGAGGTCCTGTCTCTAAACCAAAACCAAAACCAAAAAAAAAAAAAAAAAGTCCTGAAAATTAAGAAAATAATATAAAATGTGCCATTTATGTATGCCAAGCATTGTACTATAAACTCATCACATTGTCACATACCTTATCTCAATCTCTCCAAACATTATGAGGTAGGTACTGTTACAAAAAAGAAAGTAATCAATCCCACCATCTAGAGGTAAATACAGTTAGCATTTTGATAAAATCTTTCTGGAACTTTTTCCATACATCCATAGATAGATGTCTACAGTTTTGTATTAATGGGATCATATTATACAGGTTGTTTTGTATCTTGATTTTTTTTCTCAGCTATATGAGATGAATACCTTCCCCATGAGGTTAGATATTACAAGTAGTCCTCCTTCATCTGAGAGGAATATGTTTAAAGCTCCCAGTAGATGCCTGAAACTGTGGCTAATACCAAACCCTATCTCTCTCTACCTCCATCTATCTATCGTCTATCTATCTATCTACCTATCTATCTACACACACTCTCTCTATATATATATATACACACACACACTCTCTCTCTCTCTCTCTATATATATATATATATATGTGTGTGTGTGTGTATACACATATATTTTTTTTTCCATACATATATACCTATGAAAAAGTTTAATTTATAAATTAGGCACAGTAAGAAATTAACAGCAATAACTAATAATAACATAGAAGAATTTAATAACATACTGCAATAAAAGTTATGTGAATGTGGTCTCTCTCTCTCAGAATATCTTATTGAACTGCTCTTACCCTTCTTGCTGTGATGAAGAAGGGACAGAGCCTGGTGGCACAAGGTTTCATCACACTACTCAGGATAGTGTACCATTTATAACTAAGGAATTGTTTATTTCTGGAATTTTTCATTTAGTATTTTCAGATCTTGGTTGAACACAGATAACTGAAACCATGAAAAATGAAATCATGGGCCAGTTACAGTGGCTCATGGCTATAATCCTAGCACTTTTGGAGGTGGAGGTGGAAGGAACACTTGAGCCTAGGAGTTCGAGACCAGGAGACCAGTCTAGGCAACACAGTGAGATCCTGTTTCTAAAAAAAAAAAAAAAAAAATTAAATTGTGGATTGGGGGGACTCCTGTACTTTCCTTTGTAATGGTTTCAGAATATTCCACGGTATGGATCTATCAGTTTACTTAATCCATAAGTGGACATCTAAGTAGGGTAGTTTCCTACATCTAAGTAGGGTAGTTTGCTAATAGTATTAATATAAACAATACTGCAATAAATTTCTTCGTGCATTCTCAAGCAATGATCTCCAGAAGGTAAATTCCTATAAATAGGATTGTTTACATTTCTATCCTAAATGCAAAACTGTTTTTTAGAAGAGTTGAATTCACTTCTATTCCTCCAATGATGTCTACTGTAGCTTCAAAGAACGCAAAAGGCTGACAGAAAAGTGCATGTGAATGTGTTCTTATATGGATACCTGTGTGTATATGTCAGCTTTCCACATGTGTGAGGGTTCATTTATTCATTTAACATTTTTGAGCATCTACCACATCTACCATGAGGCAGAGAGTCAGGGATTCAACTGTAACAAACTCAACATGACTCCAGCTCTGATGGAGTCAAACATATATCTTTTTAAAATAAAACAACTGCCATCAGTGCATGAAGAAAAATTATGTAAAGATATGACTGCCTGTACCAAGGGTCTGCCCTGGTCTGGTGATGATGTAGGGGAGATCAAGGAAGGCTTCTTTGAAATGGGAATATTAGAGCTAAGCTCTGAAGCACGAGAAGGCATTCACTAGATGAAGAGTAGGAGGAACCGTGTTCCAAGCAGAGAGAAAATTTTTATCTCTTGTTCCACCCTCAGCAGGAATATCTTGCCAAGCAAATCTACTGCCATTCCACACACACGAGCAGTCCTGCCTCTCCGCCTTTGTTCGCTCTTCTCCCAACTCTTTTTCCTCCCAAGGCAGGAGGCCTATGACTCAAAAAATGCAAAGAAGCCTGGAGAGGCTGGAGCCCAAAGAGAGAGTGGGAGAGTGAGGCCAGCAGGTACTGAAGATGTGCCTGATCTTGCGTGTCTGAGTGTGTACATGCAACGGTGCATGTGTGCACCTCTAAGCGCTGTTGGTAGGTGTACTGGTCACTGGCTATCAAGATACATTCCCCTGACCAGAAGTATAAACATTCCTTTGGGCTGGGCCCAGAGATCTGTGTTTTCACAAGCCTCTCAAGGTCTGTGAAGCATGCCCAAGTTTGAGAACCACTGGCCTGGAGGGCGTGTTTGTCTGATCGCACCTGTGTGCACGAGGCTTGGGGATATTTGACTTGCAGGTGGAGATTTGCATCTAGGCATCCTTGCGGCAGACAGCCCACTCTATCTCACTTGATTTTGTCCTCTCAGAGCACTCCTGAGGTTAGGGCAGGCACTCTGGGGCACTTAGCACATATTAAATGTTGATGGTAATGACAGCAGCCAGACGTGTCTCCAGCTGAGCCTCCGTTTCTTACCAGTCCCTGGGTAGAGCAGACACAAGTTGCCCTCCTTTTATCACCATAGAAATCTAATCTCAACTGTGCGGAAAGCAGGAGGTTCACACTGGGAGAGCAGGAGAAATGGCCGATTAGGAGTGGGAAAACATCCCGTACTTCTCTTAAGCAGATTGCAGGGACAAAGGAAACCATTTCTGCCCACCCCTGGCTGATGTCCCTGGGTGTGCAAAGAGAGACAGAGAGGGCAGGGGTAGGCGTCCAGATCTCAGCCCCACATGGGGCAGGGGTCAGAGATGGCCGGTGACTGAGAGAGGGAGTCCTTGTGTCACAGGATCAGGCATGGTGGACCCCCTGTGGAGCAGGATCTCCTCATGGGAAGAAGGCACCAGGAGTGCAGAATGCCTGAAGGCTGTGAGCCAAAGTCACATCTCCCCCAAACCAAATCCCAAGCAAGTACCTGCTTTGCAACCAGATTCCAGTCCTGGCTCTGCCACTTACCAACTGAGTGACTTTGGGAAAGTTGCTTCAACTCTGTCAGGCTCAGTCTCCTTGTCTCTGAAATGGGGATAACAATAAAATCTACATCCCAGGGCTGTTGTACAGATTAAATGAGATGACAAGTGTGAACTGATCAGTACCATGCCAGGCATATAGTAAATGCTCAGTTAAAGTTGGCTGCTGTGTTTGCGTTGCTTTCTTGAGGCCTCTCCTGCCCAGAGAGTTACATTTGGTCTTCTTGCTCCACTCCCTGAACCAACTCCATGATTTAAATTGGTATGGCCAGGGTCCTACAGACATGGGGATGGACCAATGGCTCTTTCTTTCCTCCTGGATCACTTAGTTTCTGGGCACCCTGTAAAGGCCTGAAGTAGTAGGCATATTCTCTGCCCCACAGTTTCTGATGGCTTGCATCTCTGCACCCACTATGACTTTACATCATAATGGTCTGCTGTGGGGTGAAGTTCGCCATAAAGAGAGTCATGGGTGAAATGGGGATAAGTAATGCCCAGCCTGCTACGTTGTCTAGGGATAAGGTGTGGGACATGCCCGGCTCCAGGCCTGGCACATAGTAGGTACATAATAGGTTGTTAAAGATTAAGTAGATTAAGTTCGATCTTGAGATGAATCAAAGTGGTGTGAGTTAGTATAAGAAAGTCAAGAGATGAATAGTTATTGAGCTATTATAGTTATAGTTATTATAATTATCAGCCTGCAGGTCCCACCCAAGTCATTCCTACCTCTGTGCCTCAGCTTGCCTGCCCCCACCCCAAACCCTCCTCCTCCTCCTTCACGGGTGGCTCTTCAGGGAGATGGCCTTGACCGGCCCCATCTCCGTTCTGATCCGTCTCTTACTCTGGATACCTTTGGTAGTAAATATAGTTATTATAATTATCATTGCCAGGCACCGCGGCAGGTATTTTACCTGTGTTATCTTCACGAATCTTCCTAATTACCCTATGAAAGAGGTGGTGAGTATCACTGATATAATCTTAACAGATGAGGAAACTGATGCTCAGAGAAGTTAAGTAACTTGTCCAAGACCAAAAGTAATTAAGTGGCAAGTCCTGGAATTCAATTAATGATTATTTGCGCTCATTCTGCTACCGCCCTACTGCCTTCCAAAAGACCCTCATTCTTTGGCATGGAAACTGCAGACAGCATTGTTGATCTCTCTGTTGAGCAAGAATTATTTGCCAAAGAAATAAATGTACCAACCTGGCTCATTTTGCCCACTCTGACCACAGGGTGAATTCTTCCTGCTACCTGACCTTGACCCTTCCTACAACAAGCAAAATCCCTTTTCTCTTGTTCAGTCCTCAGCAGGACAGCTGGGAAGATTTAAACAGCTTGCTCCATGACCAGTGGTTCTTCCGAGAATGGAAAACTAAAAATAAACTCTGTTGGGTGGCGTCTCCGAGGCCTCTTCCAATGACAAAGAGAGGCTGGACTTGGAGGGGAGGGGAAGGCAGAGAGCAGAATCTGGACAGCGGGTTCGGAAGCCCTCCGCCTCGCTGATTTAGTGCCTGGATCTGGTCCTCTTCAAGGCCCTGGTGAGATTTCTTATCAGCACAGTGGGGCCCAGGACGGCTGTGTTAAAGGCCCTCCCACTTGGGCGCCAGCCAGTCCTCTCCCCTCTCTGCTGGTGGACGAACCAAATAAGACAAACGGACTTCGTCTTATTTGGATGGAAACTTTGAAACCCCTGTTCCTTCCCAGTAGAACTTTCTGAACCTGCCAAGTAAGCAGCCTGCAGGTCCCACGCAAGTCCTTCCTACCTCTGTGCCTCAGCTTACCTGCCCCCACCCTAAACCCTCCTCTCCTCCTTCACGGGTGGCTCTTCAGGCAGACGGCCCTGACCGGTCCCATCCCCATTCTGATCCCTCTCTTACTCTGGATACCTTTGGTAGTTTCACCTTATTGGGGACATTAATAATCAGCACTCACAAATACATAGGTTAGCTAATATTTTTTAATGTTTTAAACATTTAGGAAATTCCGTGTTTTCTCACTCCTCGGTTAGGATGCAGAAATCACAAGGGATGGATGGGGCAAGGGAAGGGGGACTGAACCGATACTCAGGAGATCTTGCTCTGGTCCTGACTCAGCCACTGACAAGCTCTGTGTGACTCTGAGCAAGTCAGTTCCCCTCTGTGGGCCCTGGTCTCCCAGTTTGTAAAACATTCTCAAAGGTCTCATCCAGCTCATATATTCCATGGCTCGGTTTCCTTTGACTCACCTCGCCGTGTCTGGTTCAGGGCTTTGCACACAGAAATCTCTTATGCCCCACGTCTTCCAAGCTCTGCTTTTCTGAGGCTGCCTGGTCTCTCTTACCACGTGTCCCTGGCCCAGGCTGCTGTGGCTCAAGCTCACTGCATGTTCTAAGACTAATGCTCACTGTGTTGTCTGCGAGTCATGCATGAAGCAGCCCAGGGAAGAATTCAGTGGGAGCCTCAACTCATGGTCCCAGGGAGGACCTGCTAAAATACAGATGCTCAGGTCCCATCCCTGAAGAATCATGGGCTTGAGCTGGGGCCTTATCACCTTGCTTTAGTCATCTGCTGCTGCACAACAAAATGCCTCCCGATTTTGCATTTAAAAAAACAACCAACGAACTCGCTGATTTCTGAGGGTTAGGAATTAGGCAAGGCCCGGCTGTGTAGTCTCTGGTCAAGGTAGCTGGAGAGGCTGCCTTCAGCTGAGAGCTGGGTTGGGAATGTCCCAGAAGACTTCAGGTCTCTCCCCACATGGTCTCTCTCTCCCCAGTATGGTAGTCTGACTTCTTGTTTGTTTGTTTGTTTGTTTGTTTTTTGCTGGAGATGGAGTCTCATTCTGTCACCCAGGCTGGAGTACAGTGGCACAATCTTGGCTCACTGTAACCTCTGCCTCCCAGGTTCAAGCAATTCTGCTGCCTCAGCCTTCTGAGTACCTGGGACAACAGGAGCATGCGCCACACCCAGCTAATTTTTTTTCTATTTAAGTAGAGATGGGGTTTCACCGTGTTGCCCAGGCTGGTCTGGAACTCCTGAGCTCAGACAATCCGCCCGCCTTGGCCTCCCAAAGTGCTAGGATTACAGGCGTGAGCCACCGCGCCAGGCTAGTCTGACTTAAGAGGCAGCATTCAAACAGTGAAGGCAGAAGTTGCAGGTTTCTTAAGGCCCAGTTAAAAGTTATACAATGATAGGCCTGCCTCTTTCTGTTGCTCAGAACAAGTCACAGAGCCAGCCCAGATTGAAAGAGAGAGGAAACAGACCCCTCTCTCAGTGGAAGCAGTGGCAAAGCTTCATTGCAGAAGAGCACAAGGGAGGAGGACCTATTGCTGAGGCCATCTTTGGAAATATAACTGATCACAACTTTAAAAACACTTTCCAGATTAGTCTGATGTGCTCAAGGTCTGTGAACCACGTCCCGGGAAGTCTGGTCCCACCACCCCCTTTCTCCTTGCTGTCAGATGATGAGCAGCACCAGGCTGCCCCCAAGGCTGATGGGGGACTAATTATTGATGCATCTTGGTTTTCTCTGTCTATATCATTCCTATCTTTTGCATTCAACAAATATTCATCATACACCCATTATATTGACATGGGGGGAGGGGAGGGAGAGGGTTAAAAACACCAGCCAGACAGCTTTCCCATCCTCAGGTTACTTGCCATCTAAAAGTAAACAACTTAGCCAACTCTTGGGGCTGAGTCATTACATCCCTTCTCCTGATTCCTAATTAGAAAGTTCCAAGCTAAACTTAAGAAGATAACTGCGCATTCTCTTTTTAATAATGTGCCGGGAAGATGTGGAAGATGTGTTTTAGGGCTCTATAAATGTTTAATAATAAATAATAAGTGGCTGGAATAGTCAGTGTTTTACAGCCAGCACCTCCCACCGGCCATATCTAAGGTCCTTACAAGGTAAGAAAAGTAAAAATCAATAGAGGTAACATTTCAAATGGTGGACATCAAACATGCTTCTGGTCTGAGGAGCAATTACACTAACAGTATCATCAAAGAGATCATTAAATTACAGGAGGGTTGGGAGCGTGGAGAAGTCAATGGACCTAGGAGTCCATTAGAAACAGACAAGAGAGACAGTGCCTCTATGGCCACAGTGTTCTGCTGACCTGCCCAGCGCTCCACTTGGGCACCCAATGTCATCAGAAATGAGCTGCTTCCCCAAGAAAGGCCAGGCACAGCCCTGGGACGCCAGGCCTCTGGCCACTGTTATACCTTCCTTGGAAGAAATCCAAGTTTGTCTATAGGCACTGAATTTTCCCTACAGGGAAGGTCCTTTCTACCCTCCTGGCAGTTAGACTGCAGGCTTCATGTGACTTTTTCTCTTATAAACAAGTTCAATGATCTACCAGCCCCAAATCATTTTCATTGTTTGTCTAAACTCCAGTTCAGGCTTTGGGGTGGAGGTGGGAGTGGGAGGTTCCAAAGAGAATAAGTGGATTCAAATCAGTCTTATTTGCCCAGTAGACATGATTGGGCTAGTGGGTTATTGTCTAGTTGCAAAGCTGTTCTCCAGACTGAATGGAGGTGGCTACTGGGTCCCTACAATTCCTCCTTGCTTAAAAACTCAGCTACAGCCTCTGTTCTGAGCCTGGAGCCAGTGGGCTGGAAGAAAGTATATGATAAACAGGTGCCTCTCCCCACGAACGCTGGCTCCAAGCACTCAGGGAGGGGCGGGGAGTTCAGGCGCCTGCTTATGCTAACAGGCTGTCAGCTTCTCGGTGCAACAGGAAAGCAGAAATATGAAGCTATTCTGGTCTTGTCTAGGGAGCCATTATGTCTTGAATTTCCAATGTCATTATCTCCAAAGGGCAACATTGCTCCGTTTTTCTCCCATTTGCATTCACTGGGAAAAGACAAATGGGTGCATATTTGCAGAGAGGAGGGGCTTGGGGGAGGAGTGGTCATGTGCTCCGATTTGGATCACCAACAGCTTCTGGAAGATGCGTGTTCATAATTAGAGATCCGCACCTCGAGGTGACATTTCACACTTAACAGACAAGTTTAAGTTAATCAGGCAGCAATTGGTTCTCTAGACTAATGGGATTGGGGTGGATTTTTCACTTAGAAACAAATCTCATTCGTGTCTTGGCATGCCTAGAATAATGCTTTTTCCTTACATATGTTATGGTTTTCCTGCGGGAAGACAGAGTGAAATTTTATTTCAGACTTCCCTCACTCTGACTGCCTTTGCTTTCTCCCTTTCCCCAAAATCAAGATCCTGATATAAAGGTATCTAAGTAAGGAAACGGACTGTGCAGGACCCATTCTATGAAGAGGGATGCCGGTGTTTATTCTTCTGATGTGTGGGTACGTGTCAGGTGTGTGTTACTGGGCTGCAAGTGGCAGGTCAAGCACTTTTAGAGGAGAAGGACTTGTGCTGAATTTCTGCTTTCTCAGGATGAAAGCCTGTCCTCCCCAGCTGTTCCAACCCACGTACATCAGTTAGGCTTGTATTGGCTGTATGGAACAGAAAACCAGCTACAGTCACTTTATGTAATAGGAGTTGAATTTGCTCACATAACAAGGAATCTGGGATGAAGCCATTCAGATGTTGTTGACGGCTCTTACAGCTTCTTGTCCTGCCATCCTTACTCAAATACTTATTTTCTTCATGGTTGCAAAATGGCTGCTTCATCTCCAGGCATCACATCCATGTTTCTGACAAAGAAGAAGAATGAGGAGGAGGAAGACAGGAAAGAACAAAGGGCGGAGGGCAAAAGAAACATACCACTGTATTTTTCTTGGAGCAATGCTGTTCTAATCTCCTTGGCCAGAACTGGGTCATATGGACACCCAGAGTTGCAAAGGAGTCTGAGAAAATGAGTAGTTTGAGCATACTGCTGCTCAGTTAGAAAAAATGTTCTGACAGAAAGGAAAAAGAAGAGAACCGAAGTTGGCTAGGGACCGAGCAGTGTCTGCCACCCTATCCCGACAGCTCTGTGAGTAGTCAGGGAATACCTGCTTTTCATCCCCCAGGTCAGTGCGATGGTTACCTGCTCCTCCTCTGGAGGCAGTCTGGCCTGGGAGGTCCCCAGGACTCACCATTCAGGAGAAGGCCTTCATTTGAAATGATCACAGCCCTGTGAGGCTCACTATCCATCTCTCCTCTGGCTGTGGCCTCGAGCACCAACTACTTCCTCTCTTCATCTTGGCAAGAGAAAGCAAAGCTAATGAATTTCACAAGTGTGGTCTAGGCACAGGGTATCAGCACTCAGGGAACCAATTCTGAAGACTCTCTGAAGACTTACGGCTAAGACCTTTGGTTAAGGCAGGAGGTTGCTGGCTGGAGATCAAAATGAATGTGGAGAAGTTGGTTGGAGCAAGACCAGGCAGAGTCCTTCAAGTCAACAACTACAATTCACTTAAATTCAACAAGTTATAAGTGGGTCACCACACATGATAGTGGGGTCTATAAGTGGAGTGAGAGGCCAGGTCTGACCTTAAGGAGTTCTCATTCTATTAGGGCAGCAGACACATGCAAGTAAACATAGCAAAGTTCAGGCTATGATAAGTGCAATTATAGACGTAGAGACACAATGCTGTTAATTACAGCATGGATAAGACAGCTTTCATTTTTAATAAGGTAATATTTGAATTTAACTTTGCAGCATAGGTAGAATTCTTGTAAGTAGAGAAAATAGGCAGAGGATGTAGAGGCAGAGGATGTTTCAAGCAGAGAAAACTATGTAAACAAAGATTTGGGGGTAGGAATCAGGCAGCGTATGTGGATAACTGTGCACGGCTCTTTTGGTCTGGGACACGACATTTACAAGGATTGGAGTGATGAGGGTGATGGGGGGAAATAGGGCAGGGAATGGGTCACGAGATGAAGCAGGAGAGGCAGGTGGGTGTCAGGTTGTAAAGGCTGAATGTCGTGTTAAGAATTTTGACTTTAACTCGTAGAAAATACGGAGCCATTGAAGTTTTGAATCGCATTTGTATTGGGGAAGATAACTCTACCTAGAGGTAGGGGGACTGTGGCAGAGTCACCAGTGAGAATCTGATGCCAGAGACCTGACCTAGAACAGGAGTGGTGGGCAGGAAAGGAGGCACTGGGGGAGAGGTCTGAGCGTGGCATGTGTTCTGCAGGGTAACTGGATTGGGGGCAGTGCCATTCATGAATTCAAAGAAGACATGAGAGGGAACGGCTTCAAGCCGTGAGAGGATGGATAGGGAGTGGACTGGGAGGATGGATTGGGAGTGGGCGGTGCTGACTCCCTGGGATTACTTGCCTGGGTCTCCTGGGGAGAGGACCGGGCTGGATATTGTGGACTCATCAAGCCTAAGCGGGTGGTAAAACCCTGGTTGTGGATTTAGATTGTCTAGCAACTGCATAAGATGACCAAGGACTCAACACAGCTGCTTGAGGGAGAAGTTGGAGGAGTTTGACAAAGAAAGGTTGGAGAGAGAGGAAGGGACCCAGGATCAAGGAGTGGTTTGGAAGTGAGCAGAGCTGTTTCAGCCAAGGAGCTAGGAAACGATTCTGTCCTAGGGGTTGGGGGTTTGGCATTTGGCTGAGTGGGGAGGACACACATTCACACCTGTGCAAAGCCAAGTGGGTATGCATGGACACAAAGTAGCAGTCAGTGGGCAAGATCGGCTCCCTTCTGCAGCCCCACCCCAGGATGAAGTGGCACCCCACTAGAAGGGATGCCTGCTAGGAGGGGTGAGGGTCTCTTCTAAGACTCCTGGTCTCTCCCCTTTAACTTCCCCTTTAGGCCCTCCATGTCCGGTGTGACCAGGACACAGGAGGTCACTCTGTGACCTGTCCGTGGCTGTGTGACCAGGGCACTGACATGCGGAAGGGCTATTTTGCTGCAATACAAGGGGACCAGGGCAAGTCCTCTCCAGATGGGATTTTAGCTGCACATTTGTGAGTTACTTAGCCCAGAGCAAGCTTCAAAGCATAGAGCAGTCCCTGATGCTCCCAGCAGTTATGCTGTCCTCTCCAGCTCCAGGTCTTCCCATGGTTCCAGTTCTGGCGGGTGGGGAGTATTTCAGGAATGGTTTCCACCCTTTCTTACCCTACTTTCTCCATGGCTGCGCAGCCCTGCCCTGGATCTTTTTTTGTTCTTTGGGCTTGTAAAGAAGCAGGATTCTTTAGTGGGGATCAGGCTTATTTCTCAGCTTCATGTTAGTGCTGCCCCCACACAGCCCCCTGAACCCTGACTTGCAGGGTCCACCAGGAACATCCCAACCCAACCTCTCACCAATTCTTGCTCAGAACAGTTTTCATGATGCCCATCAGTGCTTCCCAGGATAAAAGCTGGAATCACCAGGAATTGTTGGGCCAGTCCCACCCTGGCTCCTTTCACACCATGCCCCTTCTGCCTCAGGGCCTTTGCACATACTGCTTCTGTTCCAGAGGCAGAATCATCTTCCCACCCTGACATCCCAATTCTTGGCTCCTTTACCTCATCTTCTTAACATCTCCTGACCTTTCTCAAATGCTATATCTTCAGGGCTCTGAACTGTGTTTTAATTACACGTTTATTCATGGGAACATTTGCTAAATCTCTATCTCACCCAGGGACCACATCTTTCCTCTCCACAGTATATCCTCAGATCTTGGCCCAGGTCTCAGTGAAGAGTAGCTCCTCCTGTCCATACGTGGTTGAAAGAATGGAACAGCTGGCGACCTCTTTTTATGAATGCCCACATTTTTCACAGGGGGTAGATGTGTTTATTTTCCTGCTAGAAGGGAGATGTGACTCACCCCAGAACAAGCTTGCGTGCTGCTTTGTAGCTGTAACACCCCAAATTCTTCCAGCAGTACCCTTGGATGGAACGTGATGAAGCACTATTTGAGAGTTAAGCCATGGCGGTTTCTCATGCACATTTAGTTCCTGTTATCCCTCTGCAGCCTGGGCTGGTCAGCATTAGGTAGGGGGACCTGGGAAGTCACTGGGCCAAACACTTCAGAACTCTCTGGCTGGAAATGGGGTTGAACCAGAAGGTGGCTTGGCTTTGGAGTTCTGAACTATCCTTTCCCAAATAGGCTTGCAAAGCCTGGGCTTGACGTGTCATCACTAGTAGGTGCTCTAAAAAGCACAGAGAGATGGCCAAAAGGCAGGATTCAAGGGCATTTGGAGGGATGAATGTACCTGCCTAAGGACATGGGCCTAGAAAGGGATGTGGTTTTAAATCTGCCACCTAGAATACATGAAAAGGGAAAACGACAGTTGGAATGCTGTCCTCAGTTTATAGAGGAAAAGACAGGAACGGCAAAGGGTTAGGCACGCAAATAGGCAAGATTTGAGTCTGGCTTTGGAGAAGGAGCTTTAGCATTCACAGGAACCCCAGGGAGTTCAGGACTGGGCCAGAGTGGCATCCATTCAGCCAGGTCCCATGATTAAGGGGCCAGAACTATCCCCTGAGGGGAGGCTTTTTGGGTGCTCTTTCTCAGTAGCTATTTATGGTTCCCCTACTGGTTCCAAAGTCTTCTTGAGTTCATGTATATTTCCTGCCTTGGGGTTTTGAGACCTGACCTTTTATTAAAATAATTAGATCATCTAGGGCAGAGCTGGAAGAGACCTCAGGATCATCTAGTCCATCTCCCTATTTTCCCAAATGAGAAAACAGGCCCAGAACTGAGGGCAGCAGAGGCAGGGCTAGGTTTCTTCCTAGCAGTACCCATCATCCCCGGCTTGGGGTTTGTAAGGAACTCTCCGTGGCCCTACCTAGGCTTGGACAATCACAGCCTTTCTCAGTAGCTCCTCCCTCCACCCGGCTCGGCCATACACACACCTTGACTGAGGCTGGACAGCCTCCATCTCAGCATGGCTCCTGGCTACTGACACTTGTGCCTGGCCTCTGCCCCTTCCTACAAGCTCTGCCCCTAATAGTAAGAGCCAATTTCTTGAGCACTCACTATGAGCTAAGCCTCCCATGGGGTCAGTCTCTAATCACCATTTTCCCACGTGAGGAAATAGACTCAGGAGCTGAGTGCAGAGATATGCTCCAAGTCGCGTCACAGGCAGGGTTGCCGAGCCAGGATTTATTTACATCTTCACATTCAAAGTTCGTCATCATGAATTTTGACTCTTGGGGACTGGGCTGAGGACGGGGTGGTACTGCTCCTGGCAGGGCCAGAGGTGGATGGGGCTTGAAAAGGGGGTTCAAGGCAGCAGATCTATGGTTCAGGTAAGGACCATCCCCCCAGCTCCCCACCTGGCTCTAGCTGAAAATGACAACTACAACTGGAGCTGGCTCCTGCGCCCACGACACAGCCATTCATGCTTTTGGTGCACATTCCCCTTAATTACCAAGGCTCCCAATTAACGTGGGCTGCTGTGTCTGGTGCTGGGTTATTTTCTCCTATTTTTCCGTTCCTCGGGGTTTACTATTGCAGAGAGACACCAGGTCTGTCATTGTGCCTGTCTTGCTCCCTTCCCACCCTAACCAGAGGGAAACCGAAAAGCAACAGCTGATGGCAAATCCGCTCCGGCGCTTGCACGCCTCCTCGGCGGCAGTCTCCTGTTGCTTCTCGGAGCTTGACTGCCCTTTGGAAAAATCTCTCCGCCCCTCGAGAGGAGAGAGGAGCAGAGGACGCGCGCGAGCACAGAGCGGGAGGACGGACAGGGAGAGGAGGAGAGGGGGTCTGCGCGCGGCCGCTACCCAGAAGCCAGCGGACGGCAGCACGGAGTGGGCTGTCCCCGAGCCCAGCCCCGAGCGAGCCCCCCCCCCGCCCCCGCAGGACGCGCCTCCCAGCCAGCCCGACTCCTAGGAGGAGGGGAGGCGGGAAAGCAGCTCAAGCCTCACCCACCGCCCTGCCCCCAGCCCCGCCACTCCCAGGCTCCTCGGGACTCGGCGGGTCCTCCTGGGAGTCTCGGAGGGGACCGGCTGTGCAGGTAGGCGGCTGGGGAGGTGGGCAAAGTTGGCTCCTTTTTCCGAGGAGGGGCGAGGCTCGGTGGGGACCGATCTCTGGAGCGCCGGGAGCGCCGGGTTTTGTGTGTTCAGTGGGTGTGTGCGGTCCTCCGCGGTCAGCTGCGCCGCGGTCCCCGCCTGGGCAGCGGGAAACCGGGCTGGGGATGTAAACAAGGAGATCGGCGTCGGAAGAGAGAGGAGCCTCTAGGGGAGGCAGGCTGTGGCGCTGGGGGTGACGCTGGTGGCTGGGAATTGCTCTCGGTGCTGCCTTGAGCTTGGGGTCAGGGTTTTCAGGAGAAGGGGAAAGGGCTGCGCCCACCCTTTATCCATGAGGAGTTTTCCCTTTGTTACTTGGAAGCTGTGGACACTTGGTGGAGCGTGGGGAATTACGGACGAGGGCGTGTGGCTGGGTGTGAGTGTGGACTTATGAGCGACACAAAATGGAACTTGCTGGTTTGGTGCTTGGGGAAGGTGGGGCTGGGCAGTGGGCACAGGATGGGGGCGCAGGGAAAGAAGGATTCTAGCGCTCGGGGATTCATGAGAGTGCATCATTTTTTCCCTCCTTCTTGTCTTATCCATCCAATCCTGTTTCCTTTCCGGGGGGCCCTGGGGTCCGCCATTGCCCCCTTTCCCCAGCAGGGCTGGCCCTGGCAGAGCCTCCCCTATTGTGTCTCCCGGGCTTCCGTGGAGAGTTGGGTGTGCAGCCTGGAGCTCCCAGCGCTGGCTTCTGGCTCTTACAAGTGGTGGCTGGTAGAGGAGGCACCCGAGGGTGGGAGCTGGGAGCAGCCTCGCTGGAAACATGGGTCTGCCGCGTCACCTGCTGCAAGCCTGCACGCTCGCGGGACCGTGGCTACTGGAGGCTTCTCCCCACCAGTGTGCTCTCTGCCACTACTTCCTTTGTCTCTGTGGCTTCGTGCTGTCTGGCTGGGCTAAGATTTCCAGCTTTGAAGATGGATCAGTGGGCATCTCAGGCCCTCTCTGAAAGGAGCCCCCTTTGGGGATCCAGCCACCCTCATATTATGGATGTGTATGTCTACGTCCGCAACTTAGCCTTTTGCACGTGACTTGCCTGGTCGTTGCCATGGAAACTCCTCCATTTCTCAGCCTCCCTCTTTCTCCTGCCCATTCCTCACCTCCATATCTCCTCCCCTCCCCCCAGTATGGTTGCCTAGATACTGGTTATCCCTGGCTAGGAGACCTAGATATCTGGCTCCTACACCCAATTGCAGTGGCCCCTTACTCACACCACCCACTTCACACACACTGCACATCACCAACACCACAAACACATACAGACATATACCACACTACGCAATCAACACACCCTCACACTCACACCACACATACATATACATCATACCTATACACACATACACACCAAACACACCGCATATATACCGCACCACCACACACCAGCTACAATGCTACACTGACACCCTACATGCGCACTGTGCATGCACACACACACACACAGTACATCTAAATAAGTCTCAGGCTGGGCTGAGGCAGGGGAGAGAGAGGGCAGTTTCCTTCCTTATCCAGCCACCTCCCTAGGGGTGTGGAGGGGAAGAGATGGAGGCTCAGGAAGCCCAGAAGGAAAACCCTAACATCTCCCTGGGAACCCTGCAGAGGAAGGTGGAGGGAAAGGCACTGCCAGATTCCCTCAAAAGAGGAGCCCCTTCCCTAAACCTGGAAGGGAAGGTTGGATAAAGAGTGGGCGCAGCCCTTTTCCCTCCTCCTCAAAGCCCCAGTCCGGAGCTCCAGGTGTTAACGAGAGCCATTCCCAGGTGCTGGGCTCCAGAAGCTGGGCACTGACCAGAATTTCAATCTCTCCACTGCCGCTGCTCTTTTCCCTGACCCAGAGAAAGCCTGAGGCTCTGGGAGTCATCCTCACCAGCAGAGGATCAGGCCAGCTCTGGGACCATCGGAGGCTCTGAGCCCTAACAAAGGAGAGAAGGAAAAGTGGTTACTGTCCCAGGAAAGCCAAGGAGGCCAGGCCAGGGAGGCAGGAAGGGGAGGGAAACCAGAAAGAGGGAAGGAGAGGGGCCACAGGAGTCAAGAAAGCGAAAGTTAGGGCTACCCGCCGTTGCCTGGGGTTCAGGCCACCCTCTCTTCCTGGCACGTTTTCCTGCTTCCCCCCTGGCTCCTCCAAACAGATCTGTGCATCTAGGAGAGGAAGCGGGTGTGCAAAGGGCTCTAGGCTTGCCAGGGTTCTCCCAAGACGTGTGGCTTCTATGGTTGACAGACGGTAGGCGCCTGGGGGAAGCGTTTCCTTCCTGGCTTCCATCGGATCTTCAGACTGACCTGAGGACCGATTTCATTCAATCATTCAAAGAACTGTTTTAAGTGTCTACTGTGTATTAATTGCTGGGGACATGAAGGTGAGGAGGGAGACACAATCCCTGACATCGGAATCCTAGGTTTCTCAGAGCCGGAAGAGGCCTTGAGGGAGCATCCAGTGGGAACACAGTGGGGGAAACTGAGGCTCAGCAGTCACGTGGCCAGTAGTCGCTGAGGCCTTCTAACTCCTCGGCCAGGATTTTGGCCTTCACACTGCCTGTCCTGCAACCCTTGCTTTCTTTTCTCAGTCACCATCAGAGATGGTGGGTTGATGGAAACCTATGGAGGGAGAGCCTTTGGTCGGCTGGTGACTGGGACGCCCTTCCAAAGTGAGGGTCCCTTAGTGGGCGGGTACAACCGAGGAGCCTGCTTCACTATGTTTTCTTGGAAGGCGAGGCTGGAAGCTGTGGCAAGGAGATGGGGGAGAAAGGGCAGTTTCCTAGACCCTGGAAATTTCCCGACAGCCTCGGGGGAGTCCACCCACCGAAATCTCCCCTAAATAAGAGCACCTCCTCTCTTCCTCCCAACCTTGTTGGACTTAGTCGGCCGCCATCTGGATGGCAGACTGTGCCAGGCAGCCCCCCAATATTCACCTTCGAACAAATCACCTTCTGAGCACCCTAAGGGAAGCAAACCAGTCAAGAAAGGCACAGCCCCAAGGAGGCAGGGAGCCTGCTGTGGAAAGGCCGGGTTCTAGCCCCAGCTCTCCCCCTGAGCTTCCGTGCTACCGAAAGGCAAATGCGTTCATTGCACAAATATCCCTTTGGATGCAAACTGGGCTTCTGGTGAAATCCAGAAATGGCTTGGACTGCTCTTCAGCAACTGAAAGCCTTTCGGATTTTAGACCTTTGTTTCCGCATCTGTCAATAGTGGGGTTTAGACTCATGATTTCCAAGGCATGTCTTCCTCTAAATTTGTGTGGATTATACAATCTTGAAAGAGATCCCTTTTCTCTCCAGGTACCAAATAGTACTCATTATTTCATAATACAGGGCTGCAGCTGAGCTGAGCTGAGCAGGAAGGGGCTGGGCTCTGGTTACCCTGGAGAAAGTTTCCTTTTCACCCAGTGTGGCAGAAGGTGCCCTAGAAGCTGAAACCAAGTTTTTTTCTTTAGGGCTGAGGGAGCCACCTCCTCCTGGATGCTGTGGTCTACCTGGCCTTTTCTACCAGGCTGCACACTGGAGGCGGGCGGCGGTTGGGGGGGGTTCTTTAAAGAGTTGTTCTCTGGAAGAGACAACTGGAGAGGACTGGGCTGTCATTTTGGAGGTCCATGAAATCTTCTGCAGGGAGAACCCCTGGCCAGCTGGAGAGTTGCAACGAGAGGGGCCGGTCGGGAACACAGTGCTCTGACACCGTCCCTGATGAGAGGCAGGACATCTCCGGCCGAAACAAAAGCATGGAACCAATTTGGCAGCATCATCTCTGCTCCAGAATCCGGGGAGGGAGAGGTCCCGACCTGGGAAGGGATGAAGCCAGCTTGTAGGCTGCGCAGGAACATGTTTGTTACAAAGATGTGGGAGGGAGCACACAGCCTGGGAAAGGGGCTGGGCCCCCACGGACCAGGCTGGGGCCATGGGAATGGGGCTGCCCCAGCTCAGAATATCTGATGTGGGCAGAGAGGGCCAAGGATGAAGGGGTGTAGTTAGAATAACAGTGACCCCCACGCAGCTGGAGGACAAAGCCAGGCCCACACTGAGAGACCAGAGGCTAAGGTTTCAAACTCCCTCGTTCATCCTTTTAATAAATGTTCCCCTCATATGTCAGGCAGGCCCTGTGGGCTTCTGAGGTTTCTCCTTTGCTGGAGCCCTCCTGCTCAGGTAGATCAATGGGCTTGTCCTGTTCCTTCCTCTCCCCTACTGTCCACCTCATGTCCACATCCTACCAGGAGGCCCTGCGACTTTCTTCCTCCATAGGAAGAGCCCCTCCATGCAATCACGGGTGCACTTACACTCTCACACACGTTCCCTTCCTCACACATATATAATCTCCCACACCCGACAGGGAGGCAGTGGCTCACACATTCTCACACGCCCTGTCACCTCTCCCGAAGAGCTGCAGTCTCTCAGACCATGGTGATGGCCTGTGAACGTCCACCCTCTCAGCCCATTCCATTTTACCCACTGATGTTACAGCTCAGGTCCAGGTTTGCCACTCCTCTGCTCAAAAACCTCCCCAGGCTCACCAGTGCCTATTAATAAGCACAGGTACATGGTGTAGGCACTCCAGGCTCAGCGTGACCTGGCTGCAGCCACCTCTGCAGGCACCTTCTCCAGATGGTCATCCGAAGCCTGGTACTGTCTCACCCTCTGCCTGAGCTCAAGCCGTTGCTGGAATGTGCCGAGTAGAGGGTGGCAGTCTTTGTAGACACACAAACTTGGATTCTAAACTGCATTCTGATGCTTCCTGGATTTCTTCACTTTGCTAAACCTCAGTTTCCTTACCTGTCAAATGAGTGTGAGGACAGTATGAGGCGAGCTGTGTAAAGGGCTCAGCATGCTGCCTAGCATGGAGTAAACACTCAGGAGATATCAGCTGCTGTAATAATGATAGTAATGACACATTATTAGGATTATTAGAATGGCATTATTATTGTTATATCATCCTTCGTGGCTCCTCCCAAGTGTTTATTCTTTCAAGTAATTATTCCATATTCCCAATAAACAGGCATTAAAATTCCCAATAAACATACTCATATACCGTGAATGTCCTGTCAGTTCTTCCTTGAGAGCACACACCTGCATTTTAGCTGCAGAGGGACACGCCCCGCCTCCCACCCCGCCCGCTCCACTGCACCGCCTCTCAATGGCAGGTCTGTTCTCCCCACGGTGCCTGGCACAGTGTCAGACACGTGGAGAAAGCCCAGTGAACAGCGTGTGTGCTGTGACACGCATGGGGAAGAGTCCTCATCACCAGGAGGTGTAGACACCTAGTCGCCCTTCCCGGCTGTCTCCCATACGCCGGTGCACACCACGCGTTCCCAAGATGCACATCCCTTTATTACCGTGCGTCACCTCAGTCTCCCACTTGCTTTGGTAGAGTCTAGAAACTAAGAATTTGACCCCATCTGAGGTCTGAGAGATGCTTAAAAGCTGAAGTCAAAGGAGAGAGGCTGATTCCTCACAGCATTTTGGTAGTTGGGATTTGACAGAGACACAGAGATTAGAAATGAGGCAATGGAGGAAGGAGGATACCGAGAAAGTTTTAAATGCCTGAAAAATTCCCTACAGATCCTTTGGTTGTTCTGAGCTTAGAATGGATTTGATGTAAAGGGATAATGATGCTGAAGCGTCCTTTCATTCACACATCAACATTTATTGAGCAGCTGCTGTGCTCAGTGCCAGGGATCCAGAGATGGCCAGAGTGTGCCTGTGCTCCCAGGGAGCTATGGTGTGATGGGGGCATACACTGGTGACAGCCCTACATGGGAAGGGGTGTAGGCCTTGGCTCTGTGGGTATGAGGATGCATTGAGGGGAGGGAGGGGATAATGTGTTTCCTGAAACAGAGACAGAGTCAGGTCAACAGCCCCCTCCTCTAAAGGCAGGGCACATTTCTGGGTATCCAGGCCCGTGGGTCAGGGTTCATCTTCATGCCACTTCTACCCCTAAAAGGGAGACAATATGAAATTGTGCAAAGTGCCCTGTAGGCTGAAACATGCAGGCCAGAGCTGTCCTTCTAAAGAGGTAGGCAGAGAGAGCAAAGGGGGCTGCCTGGTGCTGTGGCCTGGCTGTGGGCAGGGTGGCGTGGGCCTGGCTTCTGGGTTCCTGGCCCTGGCAGCTGCTCTGGGTTTCTGTGTCTGCTGCTGGGACTGCTGTCTGTCCTGTCTTGAATGGGCCTTTGTCAGCAGGTGTGTGGGGGAGGTGATCCCATCCTGGCCTGACTCCATCACGCCCTGCTGGGGCGTGCAGCCTGCTGGGGCCCCAGCCTGTGGCTTCTGTGCAATACCACTCACCATTCAGACTCTCTGGAGCCAGACCGAGATCTCCTGGGGAACCAGAGGGGCCTCAGCCCCTGTGCTGGCAGGCAGGAGGCCTGAATCCCACTCTGACTCCCTCTGGGCAAGGCGCGGCATTGGCCTGTGCCTGAGTTGGCCTCGCAGTACTGTTCTGTGTTTCTGCTTCTGAGGGCTGTTGTGAGAAGTCCATGGGTGATGGCTGGGATGCCACAGTGTCACGGTTGTCAGTGATGGTGAGGTGACAGCAAGACCTGGGAAGGGGGCTGGGGCCCCACGGACCAGGCTGGGGCCCAGAGAATGGGGCTGCCCCAGTTCAGAATATCTGATGTGGGCAGAGAGGGCCAAGGATGAGGGGATGTGATTGGAATGACAGTGACCCGCATGCAGCTGGAGGACAAAGCCAGGCCGGCACGCACTGAAAGACCAGAGGCTAAGATCTCTCCACCATGCCTCCGCTTATGGTCCAGCTTGGGATCTTTCCAGGGAGACTTCCAGAAAACAGGCCTGGATTTGTGATTTGTGAATTCTGTTTCTGTTTCTAAGGAAGAGGCCTTATTTCTTTTCACAGTCAGTTATTTTCTGTCTCTCTCTCTTCTTCTTCTTCTTCTTCTTTTTCCTCTGTCCAAGTTTCTCTTCCCTAGAAAGAACTTCATGTTTTCATGTTAAAGATAAAGGTGCCTCCAGGTTAAAAATAAGTCCCCTGCTATATGACAAGAGAGTTTTGCCTCTCCCGCTCCACCCTGTGCAGCCGGGCTGGGTTGGGTCTGGGCCGGTTGAGTCCAGGGTACCTGACGACTCAGCCTCCAGCACCCTCGCAGTGGGAGTGCCCCTCTTCCATGAATGAGGGTTGGAGGGGCAGCATTCGAGCCGTTGGGCTACTGAAGGCGCCTGACAGGAGAGGGAAAGGCCACCCTGGGAGGTGTCAGCCACAGTGATGCGCTGGGCGGAGGTGCCCTGTCCTGCTCCTAGACTGTCCAGCTGCCTTCCTGGCAGCTTGGGAAATTCAGCAGTGTCTGCAGCCTCCTTGAGCCATGGACTGCTGGAATTTCACCACCCTCTGCTCTGTCCTTTCCCTTGCCAGTCTCTGAGTCCAGTCTCCTCCTCGACTCCTCTCTGGAACATTGCTGGCTGGGCGGGGCGGGCAATCATTTCAAGTTAGGTGATTTAACAATAATTGATGCTTAATTGTTTATTTGATGGGCATTTAAAATGCAAATTGAGGGAACTGGTTGCATTTTCCACTGATGGATCTGTGGCCTCTGGTCGACCCAAAGCACTTGTTTTAAAAGGCAGCTTTAAAAGCCCTTGATGGTTGTTTGTTTGCTCTGAGGCTCTGAACCAGAGAAGCCCAGCTCCTGTTACAGATTCATCAAATGCCGGAAAGGTGAGCAGGAGCCGGAGTGCTGGGATGGGGTTGAGGATTGCTTTTAACTGAATTTTTGAATTTTTATTATTTTTCTACGAATAGACTATCTTTTTAGAACAGTTAGATTTACAGAAAACTTGGGCAGATTGTATGAGTTCCAATTTTCTCCCCTGGCATGCAGTTTCTGCTATTATTACGATCTTACATTAGGGTGGTACATTTGTTACAATTAATGAACAAATATTGGTACAATAATATTGACTAACATTGACACTTTATTAAAATGTCGTTCGTTTGTACCTTATGTCCTTTTTCTGTTCTAGGATCCCATCCAGGATACCACACTCCATTGAGTCGTGCCTCTTTTGGTGCCTCTGGGTGGTGACCTTTTCTCAGGCTTCCCAGGACTTTGACAGTTCTGAGGGTCACTGGTCAGGTGTATTGTAGGATGTGGCCCTGTTGGGATTTGTTCGATGTTCTCCTCATGATTAGACTGGAGTGATGGGTTTTAGGGAGGAAGATCACAGAGGGAAAGTGCCATTTTCATCACATCACACCAAGACGATACAATCAGGATGATTCATTGCTGTTGACGTTGATGGGACTGGGTTTTCCATCCCTTTCATGCCCCCCACGCAGCACAGTTTCAAGGCCTGGTGATTGGAGCTGTGTTCTCTCCGCTCCTCGAGACAAACATACCAAACCATCAGCCAGCACTTTCGGCCGTCCTCACCATCCCAGGTGAGGACAGATCATGGGGTAGCACAGAGACTTTTCCGATAGGAGAATCTTAATGAAGCGAGCATGAAACAGAATGTGCTATGCGCCAAATTAGTGCCAACGACAGGCGACAGGCGCTCTTGGAGTCTGGAGAAAGGGGTCTACGTGGAGTGGCAGCTGGACAAAGATAGCATTTATTAACCTTGGCTGCACATCAGAATGAGTGGGGGAGATTCTCAAAATTACCGATACCTTGGCTACACTGCCCTTGGCTACACTGCCCGGGTTTAGAGCTGAATGTGGCTGAGTTGATTTCCAGGCATCTTTTTTCTTTTCTTTCTTTCTTTCTTTTTTTTTTCTGAAGCTCTTCATGTGATCCTAAGGTACAACCAGGGTTGAGAACTGGAATAAACAAAGAAGGGAAGGGCATTGTAAGTAGAAGGAACAGAATATACAAAGGCACGCAGTTAGAGACACATGTGGCAGAAGATGGAACGTAGACCATCTTAGCTGAAAGTAATGAGAAGATACTGGAGGGGTAGAAGAGAGGTACACTTAGAGATTTTCATATGCCAGAAAGAAGTTTGGATTTTAAAAAACTAAATAGGACGTAGAGGCACCACCGAATGCCTTTGAGTTTGGGAGGGAGGTATTCAGAATACACTTTAGAAAGGTTAGTCCTGCAGTAATCAGTGTCCAGCACAGAGGGGAAGGAGGAGGTTAAAGATGGGTCCAGCTACTGCACTATTAGGTAAGTTACCCAGAGGAGTGACGGAAAGGAAGTTCCAATTAGAGAGATACTGCAAGTGCGAGCATGGCTAGGACTTTGCCACAGATGCAGTGTGGAGATGGGGAAGGAGAGAGGAAGCCCCGGAAACTTGGTGAGGCCGTAACCTCCGTCAGGCAGGGAGGCAGGGATTGTGTCTGTCTTGCTCACTGCAGTGTCCTCAGTGATGAGTGAAGTGCTGGAAAGCATTAGGCCATCAATAAATATTTGTTAACTTGGTTACTGGAAGGATAAGGGTGCCATTGTTTCCAAAATTACACCTTGTTCCAAAAGTACGCTCTTTCTCCCCCAATTTCTCCACCTAAATGCAGGCAAATTTCTCTGCTGTGGAAAGCAATCTGATTAAATAACTCAGGCCAAGATATAAATGACTGTTAGGATTGGGAGTATTTCTCTTGTAGTGATGCCGTGACATTTAAACGTCTCTCCTTGGGAAGAATTGTTGTGGAGGCAGATACATTTTTGAGTAGGGGTGGCCTTTATTTCGATTCTACACCCTCATCTAATTCTGAGCCATACCAGAAAAAAAGGTGATCTGCAGCTCTGCAGCCCACGGTGAAAGGCTGCCGGCTAGTAGTTCTGTTGGCACCCACCCTGAGCTGAGCTCCAGTGGACAGGATAGCCTACAACTGGTCTGGGACTCCATCCAGTACTCAGCATAAATGCACTGGTATTCTGCTAGGCAAAGTGCAGCGGGGCACTCAGCAGCTGTGAGATGGACAGAGGCTGAGAGGGACACAGGAGTGCCTGTGCTGATGCCAAAGCTCAGCTGGGACTGATGGGGCATCGCTGGGAACAGCTGGGATCTGACAATGGGTAACAGACATGCCACAACCTCTCCTATTAACAGGCCCCAGGGTCCCAGCTTTACCCCAACCTCAGTCATAGTCAGCAGAACAGAGTTGGGCAAGAAAATGTGAAAGGCGGAAAAAGGGGATAATGCATGCCAAAGTCTGAAAAGCTGTATTTTGGGTTATTCTTCCTTGGCCTGGGTAAGAACACCCTCATCAGGTGAGCCCAGCTTGGTCAGGAGTTAGGGTCAACATGTTTTTTCCCGTCACCTATACCCATTTCCCCCCCAGTTTTTTTTTAGTATGGTAAAATACACATACCATAAAATGTACTATGATTTTTAAGTGTACATTTCAGCAGCGAGGTAAGTATATCCATATTGTTGTGGAACGATCACCACCATCCATCTCAAGAACTCCCATCGTCTTGTGAAACTGAAACTCCATACCCATTAAACACTCACTCCCCATTTCCCCCCTTCCCGGTGCCCCTGGCAACCACCATTCTCCTTTTTGTCTCTGATTTTGACTACTCTACGTGCCTCATATGAGTGGAATCATACAGTACTTGTCCTTCTGTGACTGGCTTATTTCACTTGGCCTCACGTCCTCAAGGTTCATCCATGTTGTAGCTGGAACAAGTAAGGACATGGAAAGATGCTCAGCCTCACCACAGGCACTCTTTTTTGTTTTTTTTGAGATGGAATCTTGTTCTGTCGCCCAGGCTGGAGTGCAATGGCACGATCTCACTGCAACCTCCACCACCCGGGTTCAAGCAATTCTCCTGCCTCAGCCTCCCGGGTAGCTGGAACTACAGGCGCGCACCACCACGCCCGGCTAATTTTTTTGTATTTTAGTAGAGATGGAGTTTCGCCGTGTTGGCCAGACTGGTCTCGAACTCTTGACCTCAGGTGATCCACCCGCTTTGGTCTCCCAAAGTGCTGGGATTACAGGCATGACCCACCGTGCCTGGCCAGGATGCTCAACCTCACCACAGTCACTCTTATGTTCCTCCTCAGCCTCTGTCCATCTCACAGCTGCTGGGCACAAGATTCATGCATGTGTTGGAATTTCCTTCCTTTTTAAGGTTGAATAATATTCCTTTATGTGTATATACCACATTTTGCTTATCCATTAATCCACTGATGAACACCTGGGTTGCTTCTGTGTTTTAGCTATTGTGAATAATGCTGCTATGAACATGGGTTTACAAATATCTCCTCAAGGTTCTATTTCCAATTCTTTTGGGTATATATCCAGAGGTGGAATTGCTGGATCATATGGGAATTCTATTTTTAATATTTTAAGGAACCACTGTACTGTTTTCCATGGCAGCTGTGCATTTTACATTCCTAGCAACAGTGCACAGTGGTTCCAATTTCTCCACATCCTCACCAACACTTGTTATTTTCTTTCTTTTTTTTATAGCAGCTATCCTAAAGGATATGAGGTGGTACGCATTGTAGTTTTGATTTGCATTTTCCTAATTATTATTGAGGTTGAGCATCTTTCCATGTGCTTATTGGCCATTTGTATATCTTCTTTGGAGAAATGTTAGTTCAAGTTATTTGCTCATTTTTGAATTGAATTGTTTGCTTTTTTTGTTGTTGAGTTTTAGGAGGTCTCTAGCAGATGTATGATTTGAAAATATTTCCTTCCACTCTGTGGTATTTTTGATCTGTTGATTGTGTCTTTTGATGCACATTTTTACATTTTTATAAAGTCCAATTTTTCGGCCAGACGCGGTGACCCATGTCTGTAATCCCAGCACTTTGGGAGGCCGAGGCCTGCGGATCACGAGGTCAGGAGTTCGAGACCAGCCTGACCCACATGGAGAAACCCTGTCTCTACTAAAAATACAAAAATGAGCTGGGTGTGGTAGCAGGTGCCTGTAATCCCAGCTACTCGGGAAGCAGAGGCAGGAGAATTGCTTGAACCCCGGAGGTGGAGGTTGCAGTCAGCCGAGATTGAGCCGTTGCACTCCAGCCTGGGCAACAGGGTGAGACTCCGTCTCAAAAAAAAAACGTGCAATTTGTCTATTTTTTTCTTTTGTTGCCTGTGCCTTTGTTGTCCTATTCAAGAAACCATTGCCATATCCAACGTCATAAAGCTTTTGCTGTGTTTTTTTCTAAGAGTTTTAAGTTTTAGGTTTTACGTGTAGCTCATGGATCCAGTTAGGTTAAATTTTGTGTGTGGTGTTAAGTAAGGGTCTACCTTTATTCTTTTGCATGTGTACATCTGGTTTTCCTGGCACTTACTTGTTGAAAAGACTGTCTTTTCCCCATTGAATGGTCTTGGCACCCAAGTCAAAAATCTTTTGACCACATATGTGAGGGTTATTTCTGGACTTTATCCTACTCTATTGGTGTATATATGTCTGTTCTTATGTCACACACTGTTTTGATACTGTAGCCTTGTAGTAGAATTTGAAATCAGGAAGCTTGAGTCCTTCAGCTTTGTTCTTTTTCAGGATTTTTTTGGCTACCCAGGGTCCCTTGAGATTCCATATGAATTTTAGCATAGATTTTTTTATTTCTACAAAAACATGTCATTGGGATTTTGATAGGGATTGCATTAAATCTATAGATCATTTTGGATAGTATTAATATCTTAAAAATATTAGGTCTTTCAATCTACAAACATGGACTATTTTTTCCGTTTATTTACATCTTCTTTAATTTCTTTGAGAAATGTTTCTATTGCATGAGTTTCTCATCTTCTTGGTTAATTTCTAAATATTTTATTCTTTTTGATATTATGATATGGAGTTGTTTTTTAGTTTCCTCTTCAGATTTTTTATTGTTAATGTATAGAAATGCAATTGTTTTTTGTGTGTTGACCTTGTGTCCTGCTACATTGCAGAATTTATTAGTTCTTACAGTTTTTATGTGTGATCTTTAGGGTTTTCTATGTATAAGATGATACCATCTGTGAACAGAGATCATTTTACTTCTTCCTTTCCAATTTGGATGCCTTTTACTTATTTGTTTATTTTGCATAGTTGCTCTGGCTAGGACTTCCAATACTGTGTTAAACAGAAATGGTGAAAGTGGATATCCTTGCCTTGTTCCTGATGTTAGAGGAAAAGCGTTAAGTCTTTGACCATTGAGTGTGATGTTTGCTGTGGGTTTTTTTTTTTTTTAAACTTATGGCTTGTATTATGTTGAGGTAGTTTCCTTCTATTCCTAATTTGTTGAATGTTTTCCTCATGGGAGGATGTTGATGTCAAATGCTTTTTCTGCATCAATTGAGATGATCGTGTGGTTTTTTTTCCCTCCGTTTTGCTAATGTGGTATATTATATTGCTTGATTTTCATATGTTGAAACATTTTTGCATTCCAGGAATAAATTGGGGCCTCCAATTTTATTTCCCTTAGTTCCTGCCCATTTCCACATGTGCCAGGGAGGCAGCAAGAAAGAGTGGAAGGTGCATGGCACCAGCAGAATTAGTGACAGTTCCAGGTATGCTTTTGTTAGCTGTTGGGCCTTGGGCAATAGCATAAGCCTGAGCCTCTCCTTTTCTAATCTGTAAAATAGCAGTAATAACCAACATCCCATGGAGTTGTGATGTTTCTTTGAGCTAATGCTTGTAATGTTATCTGGTGAATAAGGTGTCTTATAAATGACTGGTGTATAACATCATCACATCATCATCATCATCATCATCATCATCCCCTTTGACCAATGTGGGCAGGGAACAGGAATATGCAACATGTAAGACACAGCAGCTCCCCTTTCTCTTTTGACAGTCACAGATACACTGAAGGGCCCAGGCCTGAGGGACAAGAGTTCCTATCTTGATACATCTTGCCGTGACCTCCTCAACCCAAGGAGGAGGGAGGAACAGGGCCATCTTAGGAACAGCACCTTGGTTTTGCAGAAGTCCATTTGGCCCTGCCTGTGTGTCTCAGGGCCCAACCCTTCTAGAGAGATACCCTGAAGGGGCCCTTTGTGGGAGGCAGTGGCTTCTCCTTGAATGACCTTGGTGAAGGAAGAAGATTGGGCATGGTGACCAGAGGAGGTGGCTGAGGACCTTGTGGGCTGGGCCTCGGTCTGGGATAGCCGCAGCTCCTGGTCTCTTTCCAGCAGAGACACTGTGTCTTCTGGGCAGCGGCCCTGTAGCCAGGGAAGGGCGTGAGTTGTTTTCTCCCAGGAACAGCAGCTGTCTGTTGACTTTTCCTTCTCATACCCTGCCCTGGTGCATTTTCCTGTCTCTGCTTTTAGGTGCATCTGTGTGAGTGGGGCACGCAGGGCATGGTGGAGGCACCTAGGGCATGGTGGAGGCACCCAGGGCAGCCGAGGCCTCAGAAGGAGGAGGATGACGTGAGGGCTTGCTTGATGCTTCCTCTAAAGCCAATTCTCTTCTCTCAGCAGCCTCCACCTCTCCTGGCTTCACCACCTGTGTCCCTCCTTCCCATTTTCCAGCTCAGTTTCTGCGGGGACTTGGCCCCTGGGCCAGCCTCTCCCGTCTCGAAGCCTCTTTCTTTCTCTTTCCTTTGCCTGCCTCTCCCACTTCCTCTGGGGCATCGCCTTTTCAGTTTCTCCTCCTCCGGGTTTTCTCTCCTCTCCTGCTGCCTCATGTCCTCTGTCTGTCTTGCTTCTGTGTCTCTCGTGGGGGTGCCCTCAGTTTGGGCCTGGGAAGATGTGTCCCTTGCTTTAGCTGTCCCAGCCAGATGTGTCCTCCCTGGGCCACATATCTGCAGCTCTGGATGACATAGGATGTTTGTCTTGAGGCAGGAAAAGGCAGTGGCCGGGAGCCAGTGTCAGCTGTGGGCCGAGGCCCCTCCACATCCTGTGACCTCACGAGGACCCTCCACGTCCTGTGACCACACGAGGACCCTGGAGCCTTCCAGTGGTTGGAGGACAATGTTAAAAGGAAGGGAAGGGGGAGGAAGTAACTGGGCCCTCTCCCTAGCCCCTATCTCTGTTTATCTTTCCATTTTCCTGGAAAAGGTAGAAATGAAGGAGGAAGCCAAGGACAGAGTTGGGCAGTGATACAGTAATGATACTAACAGGTGATGCTTCACCAGCAGTTACTATTCGCCAGGCTGCACTCAGCTCCGTCCACAGGCCGTCTCTTTTCATTGCAAATGACAGCAACAGAACTCCATCTAATTTAGTTGAAGCAGGGGTATCAGTTTACAGAGCCAGACTCGGGAAGGGTGGGGCCCTCTGGTGTGGGAACACAGGAGCCTGAGGCACAGCTAGGAAGCTCTCTGGGCCCCTCCTCCCTGCCTCTCTCCCCTGCCAGCTCTGTACCTGTCAGCTATTGGCCGACTTCTCCCCCAACAGACTCCTCCTCCTTTCATCCGGCAGGATGCTGAGGTCTTTCCTACCATGTCTTTTAGCTACAGGGAAGGAGCTGAGATTGGCAGGCTCCCATAGACCAGCAGGGTTCGAGTGGGGACAGAGCAGGCTCCCTTCCAAAAGGGGATGTCATTCACAGAAGAGGGGACTGATGTGGGCACAAAGACCACCTCATCTGACCCTCACTGATCCCGAGATGCATGCTGTTAGGCCCATCTTGCAGTTGCAGAAGCCAAGACTCTGAGAAGCCAAGTAACGCTCCCGAGGCCACAGAGCCACTGAGTGGCAGAGAGGAGGGAGAGCTGAGTGCTCAGAGCAAGGACCCTGGAGCCAGGTTGCTTGGGATTGAATCTAGGCTCTGCTACTTTCTAGCTCTGGAATTTGGGGCAGCTTACTTAATCTTTCTCACCTCAGTCTGCCCGTCTGTGTAAAGGGAATGATCGTAATAATAGTTGCTTCTTAGGACTATTGTAAGGGTAGAATGAGTTATATAACTATTTAGAACAACACTTGGTATGGCATGAGCACCTTACGAATGTTACATGTTGTTATCAGGGTGTTTTACAGTTTACAAAGAACCTTCACACCTATTATCTCACTTGACCTTGATCATAGCCTTGGAAAGTGGACAAGGGAACGGACTGGCAGATTCTGCACTGATTCTGCGCTGCCCGCACCCCATGCTCTCACCCTCGGCCTAATCAGCTTCAGGGTTCCGTAGCCTGTTTTTAAAAATCCCCCACCCGAGTAAACAGCTCTCTGTTCAACAAGTGAGTATCAATGCTTTCTCAGGGGTGAGCTGGCAGGATTGTACATTCTGCTGTCTCTCTAGCGCACGAATATGTATGAAGCTAGAGATGCTGGAAGCTTGGTAAATGTTCATCCAGATGCGGGAGCCCCTGCATTGTGGCTCTCTGCGCAGAGCTCTCTCAGGTACCTGTATCTCGCTGCCTCAGCCTGCTGGACTGGGATGGGAATGAGAAAACAGGGTGGCAGCTACCTAGAAAAGGTGGGCCCTTCAAAGAGCCACAGTGCAGGTGGCCCCTCATGGCTCTTTGCCCCCAAATGGATGTGATCCCTCCCTGTGAGGTGGGGCCCAAGGGCTGGAGTTTGGGGCTGGCTCTGGGATCGAAGGAAACCTACTCATAGCAGGAAGACTCCCTGCCCTCCACCAACAGCCAGGCAGACAGAGCAGGGCTGAAGTCCAGAATCCTGCACTTATTCTCCAGGGCACCTCTCTTTCCCTACCTCAGTTTCTTTCCCTGTAAAATGCTTTTGACGATAACAAAAGGCCTTCGGCAGACATGGAGCCCAACTCCTCACTCTCTCACACAGGGGAGCAAGCAGGTGATGAGAATAGGCCTCTCCCATGACCCCAGCTGTGCGGTAAGGTGAGCTTGGTGCAGGTGGCTATTGCTGTAGCGTGGATCTGAGTAGCGTACGACCAGACTAAGGATGAAAACAGGGAAGCTCCGGACTAAAAATTATCACAGACAGACTGGTCAGATGTACTGGGAGAGAGGTGGGATCTTTATATTCCTAAGACCTTAGCAAGTCTTACTGTTTGGAAGGAAAATAGGGGGAGGACAGTTTGATTTATTTGTGCTAAGCAAGAGCTTTTGGAGACAAGGGACTGGCTCTGAAGGCTTTTTAAGGCCTCCTTAGTTCTTGGATTTCATGAAAGGGCCACAGGTGCACATTATCAGTGTTAGCATCGGGTTATGTTTAAGGATTAAGTGAGAATAAGCATTTAAAGCACTAAGAATAGTGCCTGGCCTGTATCATTTGTCGTGATTATAATTATTACCTCTTGTATCCAATACAGACCCCCAGACTGGGCCTCAAGTGTGGGTTTTCATCTCAGAATTTTTAATTCCTCTTAGTTTCTTCTGTGGCATCCATAGAAGGGCTCCTATGATGCAGGCTGACCTCTGTGTCCAGCCTTCTGGTTCAAGGCCGCTGTCTGGGAAGTGTGCAGTGTGAGTCAGGGGTGTGCTTTGTAAAGGCACAAAGATCTCCAACCCCGGACCTCCCTCCTCAGGGGATTCACATTTGCCCGCCAGTGGCTCCACAGTGTCCTGCCGAACTGGGTGTGGCTGGACCTGCGGTCGGGACACACTGGCTTGGGGCGGGGGTCTTGCACAGTGTCTAGGAGGCAGGAGATGTATCTCATAGCCACATAAGCAAATGGACTTTCGAGCAGCCTCCCAGAAGGGGTTGAAAATGACACAGAATCGGCCGGGAGTGGTGGCTCACATCTGTAATCCCAGCACTTTGGGAGGCTGAGTTGGGCAGATCACCGGAGGTCAGGAGTTGGAGACCACCCTGGCCAATATGGCGAAACCCCGTCTCTACTAAAAATACAAAACTTAGCTGGGTGTGGTGGTTCGCACCTGTAGTCCCAGCTACTCGGGAGGCTGAGGCAGGAGAATCGCTTGAGCCTGGGAGGAGGAGGTTGCAGTGAGCCAAGATCGCACCACTGCACACTCCAGCCTGGTGACAGAGCGAGACTGTCTAAAAAAGAAAAGAAAGAAGGAAGGAAGGAAGGAAGGAAGGAAGGAAGGAAGGAAGGAAGGAAGGAAGGAAGGGAAGGAAGGAGAGAGAGAGAGAAAGAAAGAAAGAAAGAAAGAAAGAAAGAAAGAAAGAAAGAAAGAAAGAAAGAAAGAAAGAAAGAAAGAAAAAAGAAAATGAAGCAGAATCGACTCTCCGTTTTACAAAAACAGAGGATGAACCTGGGCCATGACTCTGGGTCCCTGTGGCTTGGGAACTTTGACAGGAGAGTGTTTAGGGCACAAAGTTGGGGGTGTGAGGCTGAGTGTGGTCCTTACCCCTGTTTCCAAGCTGGTGGTTACATGGGACCCAAGGTGAGAGGAGAAAGCAGCCCTGACATGGAGAGGGAGTGAGGGGTGCCGGGCTCAGCCAGGAGGGACCCTGGGAAAGCCCCCCTGGAGCTCTGCTCGACATACGTCCCCCAAGTGGATGACGACTGTCCTTTTGTCCTTCATTTTCCTTTTAATCCTGCAAGAGAACTTCAGCCAAAGCATCTGAGACGGGAAGCAGAAAAAGGAGGGACAGTTTGGAGAAGAAAAACGCAGCTGTGTGTGAGTGGGGAGGTACTTTGGTTGGATGCCAAGGGCACCAGGATGCTCCAGCATGGATGGGAAGCAGGGGGACGCTGGAGTGGGGCTGGGGTGGGGTGCCAAGGAAGATCGAGGAGAAGAACATCCAGCCTCTCCAGTACTGAGGCCTCTCTGGGATTCTTTATCTTTTGTCTGAAAGCATTATGAGGCTTAATTCCCATAAAAATAAAACACATTCCAAAGCCAAGGCCAGGGTTTGGGCATTCTCTGCTGGTTTATACTGACCACTCCCCCAGGTCCCGTTCATGAGCATGGAGAATAGAGAACTGATGGTAAGGCTGATATTGTGCAGGCATGGCCCTTTCATGGAAACAGAGGGCTAAGGAGGCCTTAAAAAGCCTTCGGGGCCAGTCCTTTGTCTCCAAGAGGTCTTGCTTAGCACGAATAGATCAGACCACTCTCCCCCTATTTTCCTCCCAGACAGTAAGACTTGCTAAGGTCTTAGGAATATAAATATTCCACCTGGGCCGGGTGTGGTGGCTCATGCCTGTAATTCCAGCACTTTGGGAAGTTGAGGTGGGCGGCTCACGAGGTCAAGAGATCGAGACCATCTTGGCCAACATGGTGAAACTCCGTCTCTACTAAAAATACAAAAATTAGCTGGGCATGGTGGCGCGTGCCTGTAATCCCAGCTACTCAGGAGGCTGAGACAGGAGAATCGCTTGAACCCGGCAGCAGAGGTTGCAGTGAGCCAAGATTGCGCCACTGCACTCCAGCCTGGGCTACAGAGCGAGACTCCTTCTCAAAAAAAAAAAAAAAAATCCACTTCTTTCCCAATACATCTGACCAGTTTGTCTGTGACTTCCCTGTTTTCATTCTTAGTCTAACCTTACACAACACAGATCCATGCTGCAGCAATAGCCACCTGCACTAAACTCACCACATCACCTGGGGATCATGGGAAAGACCTGTTCTCATCACGTATTTACTCCCCTGTGTGAGAGAGTGAGCATTTGGGCCCCATGCCTCCAGAAGACCCATTCTAGACATGATTCCATCCCTCACCTTCCCTGAAGCCAGCACTGTCACCTCCCATCTCCAATCCAAGGAGGCTATCAGTGGCAGTGGCTTCCCTCCTGCCCTCTCATGTCCCTGGCCACCCCATTCCTGCAGGGCCTCGCCCTCTTCCCTGGCTCCAGCCAGGCTACCCCCCTTCCCTTTGGCATTGGGGTGGGCTCAGCCTTCCTTCCCTCTGTTCCTCCTGGCCACTGCTCTGCCAGCCCTGTTCTGCCCACCTCCCAATCCCAGCACATCAAAACAGCAGTCAAGAGTGGGAAATGCATGTTCTGAGCCCTGCCCTGCCCCTAAATAACTGGATGAATCAGGTACCTCATCTCTCTTTGGGCCCCAATTTTCACAAATAAAAAGCAGGAGCCCAATCACTGTAACCAACTGTGATGAATTCTGTGATGCTAACTCCATCTGGTAGACCTCACATCTTGGTTATACTCAATATATACACAGTCGAATCTTTTTTTAATAGACTTCTTGGTTGCAAAGATCTAGATACGTCATAGGCTAAATCATATCCCTTTGCATATAATAATAGTCTAGGGTAACCATTTAGACTAAACTGTGGGGCCCAGGCATTCTGCGGCCTCATAAAAGGCCCCATTCCGGGACGTTCTGTATGAAGTGAGACCTCATCTTTCTTAGCAGGGCATCCTGCTAAGACCCAGGCCCGGTGACCCCTCAGAGCTTGTCATCCGTGGGCTGAGCCTGCAGGAAGGCAAGCAGGTGGGATGCCAGGGGAGGCGAGTGAAGCTTCGGGAGCAGGGGGAGGGAGGGATGAGGATGAGATAATGAAGTTTCACTGTAATTTGGAGCCTCTGCATTTTCAAGGGAGGTTGTTTCTGAGTTATTTTCACAATGGAACTGGGTATTCTGATCTACCTCACTGCTGCGTGGAATCAAAAATAATAGAGCATGTTGCTATATCATCAACTAGTGGCTTCTCTTTCTGAGCAGTTTTTACCCAGCAATTAAGTGAAATTATGTGACTCAGTATGGGAAGATAATTGCCGGAGAAACTCTTCTGATTGCTTTCTCCCGCACATGCAGCCAGCAACCAAGCAGGAGGATCAGAGAGGAAAATTAACATGGAAGTGCTGCTTCCACCCAGAACCTCAGCTGCTTGCCAATATGGAGATAAACAAGAGCACAGAAAGGAGAGGAAAAATGAGCGGAAACAGAATTCGTTCTCATAATACACCCTAGAGGAGGCAGCAACGTGTGATTGGTTCCATTCTCCAGATGGGGAGAGTGGTCCAAATGGTCTAGAGGGGAAGAGTTGGGGAGCAAGAGAGTGAAGCAGCCAGGGAGTCCCCCACTCCAGCAGTGATGATTTCTCAGGCCCCCTGTGCTGGCGAGCCAGGTCCTCAGGCCCCCAGGCAAAGGTCCAGGGCCCAGTGCGCAGGTGGCGGTGCATGCCCTGTTCCTGTGCCCTCTCCGCTCACTTCAGCCTTGGATCTCCTTCCCCCAGTGACTCCTCCTTCCTGTCTTCCATCTACTCCTTAGAATCTCTCGCCCGGAACTGAGATTTTTCACCACCCAGCCTCTTACCCTCCCCACCCCAGCCAGCCTCCAGCAGCCCAGCTTCCTCTCTGGAAGGAGGGAGAAAGGAATGTGTGGTCACTGGGAGGGTGGGAGGTGCAGAGGGGTGGTATATGAGATGGAAGGGAAGCCAAGCTGGGTGCAGCAGTGAGACAAAGGCATTCTGTGGCCCTTCAAAAGTTCTGTGTATGTACTTGGCCACTCGACTCAGGGGCAGTGCCAACGTACCACCGATGAGATTTTTAAAAATGGGTTTAGGCCCCCCTCCTCCCCGCTCCCGCCACCCCGAGGGGCCCATGCTGAGGTGTGGTTGATGTAGCCCAGGCTGGGACAGCAGCTTGCAGGAGTAGAGAATGGGTCACTTTTCAAATTTGTGACAGTATTTCTTTTCACACTGTCACTTGATCAGAAATGTTTTCTTTAGAATACAAAGGCAGGTCTTAACTCTTTAGCTTGGCACTCAAGAGCCTCTGCAATCTGATTCCAACCATCTTATCTGAGTTCTCACCACCCACCCCATCATGCTTTAGTCCAACTGGGTTGTTCACTGTTTTGGAAGATATCTTACACTAGAAATGGCAGCTATTTGGTAGGTTGCTGTCACAGCCCCCTCCTAGGCTAAGCAGACATTACTGGTGGATGAAGGCCGTCTCCTGTTGGACCTCATTTGGGGAAGCCACTTTGGACAGTTACTACTGCATGAAATGCGTTAAGGCTCATCTTGAACTGATCTTGAACTTGAGCTGAATCCCATTTGTTGTTCCTACTCTCTGTTTCCCCTCTCACTGCTTTTGCTCATGCTGTCTTCTCTACCGGAATGCCTTTCCTCTGCTCTTTCCTTCCCCCTGTCTATCAAAATCCTACCCTGCTCTTAAGGTTCCGCTGGAATGTCAGCTCCTCCACGGAAACTTCCCTAGCTCCCTGTTGAGCTCTCTGCTCCCCTTCTCTCTGTCTTTCTGGACTATTGTTGCATGGCGTCTGTACCTGTTGGGAAGTTCTCGTCATATTTGCTGATGGATCAGAGCCCTTTGCCACCAAATCCTACTTCTCCTTGGTAGCTAAGGCTGTATCTTGTTCACCTACTTATCCTTTGCAGAACCCAGAATAGTATGGCCCTTTCTAGGAGTTCAGTGTTGGCTTGTGTAATGGATTTGAACCTGAGCATCAATGGAGGTGATTGTTGGGGTTTGAAGGGAAGGCACAGCAGCAACCTGAACTGCTGCCCATTGTCCCTGGTGGCCCAGAGCCATTGACATGTGCTTTCCCTATTCCCAGGGGGCAGGAAGAGCCCTATTGCCAACACTGCACTCCCTCTTCCGGCTAGAGCTGGTCAAGAGGCCACTGTGGGAAGCCTGGTCCATTTGTCCTTCCCTCTCTCACCTCACATCCAATATTCACACCATGGCCCCTAAGATTTGAAGGCCTTAATGTGTTGTTTCATCTACCTTCCACATCTTGACTCCAGTCTCCCTCCTCACTGGCTAAGCAAGGAGCAGGTGTAATTTGGAGATGGGACTTGGGCTAGGAAGCAGCAGTAAACTGGAGAAAGAAAGAGAAGGAGAGAGGGAGGGAGGGAGGTGTTTTACAGATAGCAGATGCTCAAAACTTACCTTATTTCATACTTTGATTGAAGATATTTTAGGACTGTATGACTGCCTGAATCATAAGGGGACTTTCCACTTTAAAATAATTAATCCCAGGTTTACTATTACACAGCTTGGTTTAAAGAAGGAATGAAAATCATCCAATCTTAAGTCACCGTTACTCTCCCCACACCAAACACTACCAAAAAGACAAAACAAAACAAAAACCCCATGAGATAACTGGGCCAGGCATGGTGGCTCATGCCTGAAATCCCAACACTTAAGGAGGCCGAGCCAGAAGGATCACTTGAGGTCAGGATTTCGAGACCCAGCCTGGCCAACATGGTGAAACCCTGTCTCTACTAAAAATACAAAAATTAGCTGGGCATGGTGGTGCATGCTTGTAGTTCCAGCTACTAGGGAGGCTGAGGCAGGAGGATCACTCAGGAGGCAGAGGTTGCAATGAGCCGAGATTGTGCCACTATACTCCAGCCTGAGTGACACAGTGAGACTCTATCTCAAACAAAACAAAACAAAACAAAAACTAGCACTGGAGTATGTGAAGCTTAGCCAGAACTTAAGCCATAGTTACTCTTAGAATGCACCCTCATTGACATTACTGCATTCTGTAGGCTAATCAGCATTGAGTCCAGCAAGGTTGGGAAGCCAAACCTGAGACTACCTGCATGAAGCCAAGAACCCTTGAGAGGGGCTAAAGTGATCTCAGGTTGGTATCTGCTGCCCCCAGCCTCCATGAAAAAGCAAAGCAAATGCTCTCTGAAAGAAAGTGTCCCATTTTAGGACTACCAATTTCCCACAGATTAAAATCTAGCAAATATGAGCTCACAATCGAATATATTACCAAACACAGGAAAAAACAAGTCACTGTGATTGAAAGGCACAGAAACAAAAAGTAGATTTTGACCCCCAAGGATTTAAGAGTTTGGAATTATCAGATACAGAATATAAAATAACTGTAAGAAATGTTGAAAGAATAAGAGATGAGAACACAAAATGAGTGAACAACAAAGACTAACACAAATGCCCAGGCAATTTCAAAAAGAACCAGATAGAACCTTTAGAAATTAATAATATGACCATTGAAACACAAAAGTAAATGAGTGGGTTAAGCAGCAAATAAAAACAGTTAAAAAGGAAGTCAGAAAATGGAAAACAAATATGAAATAATTACCTGGAATGTAGCATAGAGAAGGAAGTGGAAAATATGAAAGAGCAGTTAAGCGATATGGAGAATAGAATGAGGATGTCTAACCTGCTTCTAGTCACAGTCTCAGAAAGAGAAAGTGGGGAGAATGGAGGAGAGGCCATATTTGAAGAGATAAGAATTTTTCATAACGATGAAAAGGATGAACCTATAGGTAAAGGACTTTCAAGTCTGATGAAACTCACGACAATCAGTTCTATGTTGTGTTTCAGACTTGTGATGAAACCCACAACAGCAAACACAAAAAGAAGAAAATAAAAGGAGGCAGAGAAGAAAGATAGGACATCTATAAAGGAATGATGATATAAGCAGCAGACTTCTCAACAGCAATCATGGAAGCCAGATAGCAGTGGAATAACATCTTAAAAGTGCAGAGCAAAAATAATTATCAGCCTAGAATTGTGTACATAGCCAAACTACCTTTCAAGGTTAGGATTGTATTAGTTTTCTATTGCTGCATAACAAACGATCACAGACCCAGCAGCTTAAAGCAACACATGTTTATTATGTAATGGTTTCTTTAGGTCAGAGGTCTGGCACAGCTTAGCTGAATTTTCTGCTTCAGCATCATACCGAACTACAGTCTAGGTGCTGGCTAAGGTTGTGGTCTGATAAGAGAATTGACTGGGGAAAGATCTGCCTCCAGACTCCCTCAGGTTGCTGGCAGTATTCATCTCCTTGTGGTAGAAGAACTGAGGTTCCCATCTTCTTGCTGGCTTCTGGCCAGGGGCAGCTGTCAGCTGCTAGAGGCTTCCCACAATTCCTTATCCTGTGCTTCTCTCCGTAGCCTGTCTCATGACATAGCAGCTTGCTTTTTCAAGCCAGCAAGGGAGAAAATTCTCGAGCTCCAGCCTGCAAGATTGAGTCTTATATGATATAACACCATCATCTGAGAGCTGTCCTTTTGCCACTTTTGCCACATTCTGTTGGTTAAAAGTGTGTTGCAGCTCCTGCCAGTATTCAAAGGAAAGAGATTACTCAAAGCATTGAACACTAGAAGGCTGGAATGACTGGGGATCGCCGTAGGGTCTCTTGCCATAAAGGTGAAATGAAAACATTTCCAAATAAACAGAAACAGAGTTTCTAACGAACAGATCTTCATTAAAGAAAATTTTGAAAGATGTTCTTTAGGAATAAAGAAAATGGCATGAAGGATGACTAACGTTCAAAAACAATGGTGAACAAATCAGTACATATGTTGTAAATTCATTATCTATTGCTGCATAGCAAATTACTTCCAAACTCAGCAGCCTAAAACAGCAAACGTTTGATATTTCACACAGTTTCTGAGGGTATGGAATCAGGGAGAATCTTCAGTGGGTGGTTCTGGCTCAAGGTCTTTCATGAAGCCGGAAGATCTGTTTCCAAGCTCACTTATGTGGTTCATGGCAGGCTGTATTTCTTAGCAGGCTTTTGGAGTGAGGCCACCACATGGGCCTCTCCACAGGGGTGCCTGAATATCCTTAAGACATGGCAGCTAGCTTGACTCAGAACAAGCAATCCGAGAGGGAGGGAGAGAGAGAGAGAGCACACAAGAGGCTGTGTTGCTTTTTATAACCTCATATCGAAAGTGACATACCATTACTTCTGCCATATTTTCCTGGTCATACAGACCAACCCTGGTGCAGTGTGGGAGGGGACTGTACAAGGATCTGAATACTAGGAGATACTGGGAGCTGTCTTGCAGGCTGGCTACTACACACATGGGTGAATCCAAACAAACATAGTTTTCATGAAGTACGAATATTAGTATCTATTTTATAGAATTTTAAAAAGAACTGAAATATTCTCCAATAATAGCATATGTATCAGGAAGGGGATGATTTGTATTTTTGTATTTTCAAGGAGGGTATTCTGCCTAATAACTATTATAAGTATTAACTCTGAATTTTTTTGGTCTTTTTTACATTGAATACACATGGAAAAATTACAAAGATGACCACTAAAAGATTAAAATAGTTTCTATAATTTCTAAACCAGTAGAGGGAGAAAAGGAATAAGAAAAAAAAAAATCACTAAGCTAGGGGCAGTGGCTCATGCCTATAATCCCAGCACTTTGGGAGGCCAAGGCAGGCAGATCACCTGAGCCCAGGAGTTCGAGACCAGCCTACGTAACATAGTGAGACCGCCCCCCAAAAAAATAAAAATAAAAATAACTAATCCAGAAAAAAGAAAGGGCAAGGAAAGAAAAAGAAACAAGCACATTCCCATAGGGAAAAAACAGATGGCAGAAAGCAGACCAACTACATCAATAGTCACAATAAGTAAATTAAATGGGGTAAATTTGACAATTAATACAGAAAGCCTGACAATACAGAATTTTTCAAAAATCCATCTCTTTGCTGTTTATAAGATGCACACACAACACATAAGGACACAGAAAGGTAGAGAGTAACATAGAATTTAAGACAGGGAGGATCACTACATAATTCTAAAAGACCCAACTCAGAGGACAGTAACAGTTTTAAACTATCTGTTAGAATATTCTAAGAGACATGTTATCGGCCAGCTTCAGGTCTGTTCTGCCCACACTCAGTAAATCTCAGTAAATCAATCACTGTGACACAGATTTTGCAAAAGAGAAAAGATTTATTCAGAAGACCACCAAGCAAGGAGGCCGGAGAACGGCTCTCAAATCCGCCTCCCCAAAGATAAGGCTTAGGGATATTTACTGTTAAGGGAAGTGGGGTGGTCTGAGGCATAGGGAAAGGTGATTGGCAGTGGGGAGAAATGAAATGGCAGATTCATTCTGAGCAAGCGTAGTCAGGGTTTGTGGCATTCCACAGGACATATGTACAGGAAATGGTGGCATTAGTGTGACCTGAGGGTGGAGTTTTTAGCCCTCTGATGTCAAAGGCTACCCTTCGGAGCACTTGCACATGCCCAGTTGAAGGGTGGGTGGTCTCATCCTGTTTGAACTGGACAGGAGCTAGCCCAAATTCCTGAAAAACAACTGAAGTAACCATTACCAGGGTGACCTATGAATGTTATCTGTAAAGTAACCAGTGAAGGTTAAGTTTCAGCATGCAGTGGCGAGGCCTTCAGCTACCGAGGCCTTCAGCTACCACGGCCTTCAGCTTCATGGAAAAAGGAAAAAAAATAAAATATAATAACAAAAAGCAAGCGACCAAAAGCAAGCAGTGCAGGCAGACCTGATCAGATTAACCCCTCTGTTTCAAATATGGGGATACATTTATAAATCCTTCCACTTAGTGGTAGATTTTAAAGTGCTGATCTTGATTTTTGGTAGGATAAACAGTCAAAAAAAAAAAAAGAAATTTAAACACAGTTGATAATGTTAATTTATAGGCATATAGAACTTTCTTCCCAACCATGAAGGAATTCACAATTTTCCAAGCACATATGAAATATAATTCTTTTAATAACTGACCATGTACTAGGTCATAAAGCAAGTCTCAACACGTTTCAAGGCATCTGTACATCATACAGACCATGTTTTGTGACCTTGGTGCACTTAAGTTAGAAGTCAATAACAAAAGCAAATAAAAATCACTATATATTTGGATATTTAAAACACACACTTCTTAATGCATAGGTAAAGCAAGAAATTGTAAGGAGGTTTAAAGTATACTGAGAACTAAACAACAATCCAACTATGATGGAGTACTTTCACCCCCTTACAGAAGCTTTGAAGTGTGGTTATTGATTATTGTTTAGTTCTTAGTATTATACTTTAAAAGCACTTAGAGGGAACATTGCAGTCTTAAATGCTTATATTGGAAAATAAGAAAAGCTAAATATTAATGAACTAGGTATCCAACATAACAAGATAAACATAAAAAAGAACAATAGAAGAAACCCAGAGATTGTTTAAGGGCAGAATTAAGAAAATTTTAAAACATACAATAAAAAGGATTAATGAAACCAAGAGTTGGTTTCTTCAAAAAAACTATAAGCATCGTTAAACCTCTGGTGAAACTGACCAAGAAGAAAGGGAGTTGTCACAAGTAACATTAGGAATGAAAAAAACAGGCATAACTTTATGGCAAAACATTTGAAAGCAGAAAAGGGAAAATTCCTTTAAAAATTATAACTCACTAAATTTATTAAAGAAGAAATAGATATCTGGAGAGTGCCATAACCATTAATTAATTGAATGGGCCATTTAAGATCTTCCCACAAAGAAAGTCCCAAGCCCGGATGATTTTACAGGTTAGTTCCACCAAACACTCAAAGAACAGATAATTCGAATCTTCTGCAAACTCTTCCAGGGAGCTAGCAGGAGAGTGGACACTTGTTCTGTGAGGCCAGTACTGCCATCCCCAAACCAGGCAAGGTTAATACAATAAAATAAAAACTGCAGACCAATCTCACTCATGCACATAGATGCAAAAATCCTAAACAAAATGTCAGTAAGCCAAATCCATCTGTTTATTAAAAAAAAAAAAAAAATTGGTTTCATTTCAGAAATGCAGGGATGATTTAACACTTGATAATCCATACATACAATTTACTTCATTGGTAGATTTAAGGACAAAAACCATAGAAATAGAACACTCGTTCATAATTAACATAAAACAGAAACAGCTTGGAAACCAGGATTAGAGGGGAACTTTCAAAGCATTAGAAAAACTCTATTTAAAATCAGTAGTAAGACTGTGTGTGAGTGTGCACGTGTTGTGTGCGTGTGTGTTTGCTATTGTTTTTATTCTGCATTTCACTGGAATTCCTACCCAGTACACTAGGACAAGAAATATAAATAACCACAATGAGATACCATCTCACACCAGTTAGAATGGCGATCATTAAAAAGTCAGGAAACAACAGGTGCTGGAGAGGATATGGAGAAATAGGAACATTTTACACTGTTGGTGGGACTGTAAACTAGTTCAACCTTTGTGGAAGTCAGTGTGGCAATTCCTCAGGAATCTAGAACTAGAAATACCATTTGACCCAGCCATCCCATTACTGGGTATATACCCAAAGTATTAGAAGTCATGCTGCTACAAAGACACATGCACACGTATGTTTATTGCCGCACTATTCACAATAGCAAAGTCTTGGAACCAACCCAAATATCCAACAATGATAGACTGGATTAAGAAAATGTGGCACATATATGCCATGGAATACTATGCAGCCATAAAAAATGACGAGTCCATGTCCTTTGTAGGGACATGGATGAAGCTGGAAACCATCATTCTCAGAAAACTATCATAAGGACAAAAAAACCAAACACCGCATGTTCTCACTCATAGGTGGGAATTGAACAATGAGAACACATGGACACAGGAAGGGGAACATCACACACCGGGGCCTGTTGTGGGGTGGGGGGAGGGGGAGGGATAGCATTAGGAGATATACCTAATGTTAAATGACGAGTTAATGGGTGCAGCACACCAACATGGCACATGTATACATATGTAACAAACCTGCACGTTGTGCACATGTACCCTAAAACTTAAAGAATAATAAAATAAAATAAAAACTATAATTTTCTAAAAAAAAATAGAAATAAACAGCGTGAGAATTAGAAAGAAGGAACAATATCATTTGAAGATGATATATCTACAGAGAAAACCCAAAGGCATTTCTAGGTAAGTTATTACAAATAATTCGGGAGTTTAACAAGATTATTGGATTTAAGATCAATATGTAAAGATCAGTTGCTTTTCTCTCTACCAGCAAAAATTAGAAAACACATACAAGGTGACATTGAAAGCAGCAATAAAAATGATAAGGCACTTAGGAATGAATCTAACAGAACATGTGCAACACCTGTATGAAAGCATTTATGGAACTTTATTGAAAAGGACCTAAACAAATCAAAAGATGTATTTATAGACAGGGGACTCAAGATCAGAAATATGTCATTTCTCCCCAGGTTGTTCTATAGATAGGTCCATTGCAGTTCCCATGAAAATCCTAACAGTTTTAGATGAATTTGAAAAGCTAATTCTGAAATTTGAGAGCAGAAAACCAAGAATAATGAAGACATTCCTGAAGAAAGAGGAGGAGAGGGAAGAGGAGAAAAAAAGATGGGAGCTTCTCTTACCATGTGGCAAGATTACTATGAAGCTATCATAATTGAAACACAGTAATTTTAATGCAGTACAGACAAATTGACCAAGAGACCCAAAGAGATAGCCCAGAAACTGATGCACACCAAATAGAAATCAGATATGTGACAAAGGTGGCATAGCCCATCATGAGGAAAAGGGGAGGCAGTCTGCCCCTGGAACCAGGTTACAGTACAAGTTATCATTACGGGAAAAAGTAAAACTAGACTCCTACCTCACACCATACACAAACATCAGTTTCAGATGTCAAATAGATTTAAATGTAAAAGACAAAACCTTGGGGTTTTTAGATGAAAACTCTGACCTCAGGGTGACAAAGGATGTCTTAAGACACAAAAATCACAGCATTCAAGTATGTTAGGATTAAGAAATTCTGTTCAACAGAAGACAATTTTTAAAAGTGAAAAAATAAGCCACAAACTGGAAGGAGATATTTGCTATACTTAATGACAAAGGTTTAGTATTCAGAATAAGAAATTAACAACAATAATAATGTCAACTCACTTGGAAAACGGGCAAACGGCATGAAAAACATATCACTGATGAAGAAACAGGAATGACAAATAAACACAGAGAAAAAAGTCCAGCTCTATTACAGTGTAATCACATTAAAGCCATCTTTTACCTCTAGATTGGCAAAAATGAAAATATCTGACAACAGAAAATATCCACAACAGGTTGTAGAGTAATGGGGACAGTGATATGCAGCTGGTGGGATATTATCATGGAGATGACCACTGTGGAAACAATTTTAAATCATTGTGTGAAGTGGACAGTTTGCATACTATACAACCCAATGAATGACTTCAGTCCTAGGCTCATGTCTAGAACATAACTGTTCAAACTGCCGAGTGTGACCCATTAAGGAGCCTGGAAATGTTTTTTGTAAAGAAACAGAATAAAATAGAAAAGAAACTATCTCATTCATAGTAAGTATTATTTTGTGATAATTGCTTCTGGTTACATGAATCTGTGTTATGCTGGGTTGCAATGTAAAATGTATTTCTTATGGGAGTGGTGATCAAAGAATCAAAAAACTGTTTCCTCAAAATTCTTGCATGTGTGCCCTGAGCAGTATGCACAAAAATGTCCACAACTCTATTTGTAATAGCATAAAATTGAGGGGGAAAAAGAAACAGACATCCATTGGCAGGAGACTAGAGCACTACATGATCATTTACCTGCACAATGGAATATTACACCACACTGAAAATGAATGCACTATAGCTAAATGTAGTAAGTCAGTGAACCACAGAAGCATAATGTCGGACAGAAAAAGCAAGTTTCAAAAGACTATAAACATGATATCATAATTATAAAGTTCAAAAAAGCTACACTAAGCAACATAATATTTAGATATATGTACGTGTTAAATATATTTTTAAGACAAAGAGCAAGGTGAATATCCATACAGTGGAATATTATTCAGCCATAAAGAGAAATAAAATATGCATACATGCTACAAGGTAGATGAACCCTGAAAACATTATGCTAACTTGAAAGCCAGACACAGAAGTCCATGTATTTTATTATTTCATTTATGTGAAATGTCCAGAGTGGGCAAACCCATTGAGACAAAAAGTAGATGAATGGTTTCAGGGTTGAAGGGAAGGGGAGTCGGGGGTGACTGCCGATGGATACAAGTTTCTTCTTGGGAGGATGAAATGTCTTGGAACCCGAGATTGGTGACGAATGCATAAGTTTGTAAATGTTCTAAAAATCACTGAATTGTACAGTTTAAGATGGCAAACTTCCTGATGTGTGAATTGTATATTTTAAATTGTGGAAAGAACACTTACTATGAGATCTACCCTCTTAACATATCTTGAAGTGTGCAATTCAATATTGTTAATTATGCTGTACAGTGTTATACAGCAGATCTCTAGCACTTACTCATTTTGCATAACTGAAATTTTATATCTGTTGATTGGCAGCTTTTTAGAAGAAGAGCAAGGGAATGATTAAAAATATGTATTTTCAGCCAGGCGCGGTGGCTCACGCCTGTAATTCCAGCGCTCTGGGAGGCCGAGGTGGGTGGATCACCTGAGGTCAGAAGTTTGAGCCTGACCAACATGGTGAAACCCTGTCTCTACTAAAAATACAAAAAATTAGCTGGGTGTGGTGGTGCATGCCTGTAATCCAAACTCCTTGGGAGGCAGAAGCAGGAGAATCGTTTGAACCCGGGAGGTGGAAGTTGCAGTGAGCCGAGATCGCACCATTGCATTCTAGCCTGGGCGACACAGGGAGACTCAGTCTCAAAATAAATAAATAAATAAATAAAAATAAAAATATATATTTTTGGGATACTGGCCACCTCTGGGAGAGAGGCAGGGGGATGGGGTGGAGGGAAATAGAGGTCACTGCAGCAGTCTTTGTAAAGCTCCATTTCCTAAGCTGCTGGTTTATGGGTGTTTCTATTATTACTATGCCTCATTATATGTGTATGTTACATATATTTTTATACATATAAGATACAGTGTAGCATTCAAAGGAAATACAAGTGTGAAATGAGACAGCATTGAAAGCAAATTACCACCTTTTGATAAAGGCTTTTTGAATCAAGGTTTGGGCCTTGACGTGGCTGTGGATGCAGTCGTTCTGACCCCTGGTGGCCGAGAGGTGAAGTGCAGTGGCGGCTGCTTGCTCAAGGCCGGAGGAAGGTAGTGACCGTGCTGGGGGCAATCAGGGTCTTGGACTGGACGGATGTCCAGGGGTTCAGGCCACTGCCAGTTTCACCCCACATGGAAAACAGCACCCAGCCTTGGGCTTTCCTGGTTCAGGAAAAGCCTCTCTGTCTCCTCTCTGGCTCTTAACCATGCTCCTTTAAGCCCAGGAGTGAGATGTGTGTCCTGCCATTGAAATCTATCCCTGGGTGCCACCTCTTGGCCCTGCCTCCTGCTTCCACCAGGATAGCCCACCTGGGGCCATCCACCCAGAGACCAGGACTGATGAGCTCCTGAGCAGAGACCTCCGCATCCTCTGGGGAAGCAGAGGCTGGGGTGCTGAGGCTCGTGGAACCAGCCTTCAAACTCCTTTTGTAGAATCAAACCACCTTTCTGGAGGATTCTGAACCAAAGCCTGTGGGAAGAGCTGACTTGGGGACTTTTGAGGTGGGACGTAAAGGGTACCTGAAGGAGGGCTGTCAGCGCTTCAGGGCCCAGGAAACCACAAGTCTCCTCTCCACCCAGCTGGCTAGACTAGAGGGACACTGGTTTACTGGCCCCATTTAGTCTGATATTAAGAGACATTTCTGATGGGGTATTGGCTGTCAGAATGAACTAGGGATGGCCACAGAAGGGTGGCCTGGAGAGAAGGACACAGTTGAGATCTTCAAAGTCACGTCCCAGAGGCAACGTGGTGGAGGAGTTACCATGCTGGGTTAGGATCTAGGCCCTGCTACTCACTCTGGTGCATGTCAGCCTCATTAAGCTTCAGGTTCTCGGCCTGCGTTAGTTGTAGTGCTTGCTAATTGTACTAACTCAATTGTGCCAATTGAATTAATACATGCAGAGCATTCTCTAAGAGTCCAAGAAATGTCAACTGGTGGTGGCTCACGCCTATAATCCCAGCCCTTTGGGAGGCTGAGGCAGATGGACCACTTGAGGTCAAGAGTTCGAGACCAGCCTGGCCAACATGATGAAACCCTGTCTCTACTAAAAATACAAAAAATTAGCCGGGCATGATGGCACACGCCTCTAATGCCAGCTACTCAGGAGGCTGAGGCAGAAGAATCACTTGAACCTGGGAGGCGGAGGTTGCAGTGAGCCGAGATCATGCCACTACGCTCTAGCCTGGGCAAGATAGCGAGACTCTGTCTCAAAAAAAAAAAAAGTCAACTGCTTGTGCTTAGGTTGTTTGAACCCTCACCAAGTCATGAGTGCAGAGCAAAGCTGGGGATTTGGCTTGGCCCCTGGTCAGGCTGACGCTTGGAGCTGACGGATGGAGGCTTCTTAGCCAGAGAATCATTTTTTCCTCCCTCTGTCCCCAGACGCCATGGAGTTGGTGCTGGTCTTCCTCTGCAGCCTGCTGGCCCCCATGGTCCTGGCCAGTGGTAAGTACCCCTCTGGGACCTGGCTGTGACAAGATGACAACCCTGTCCAGCCCTCTCTGCTGGAAGGTTCTGGGCCCCTTGGGACATTAGGGCTGGGGGACTCTCACGTTCTTCATGTCTAGTCAGGGGCCTCTCCCTTCAGTCAGCAGAGAAAGTCGTGGAGGTGGCAGCTATTTATTCACAGACCTCAGCACAGCCTGCCCCCTCGCCCCCTAAGGGTCCGGCAGGGAGTAGTTTTTAAGCCCCGCAAGCTCACTGCGCCTCTGTGGATTTGTGGCCTGAACCCTGGGATTCAGACCTGCACATCAGTCTCTAGACCATATTAGCAAGTGCTGGCCTCGTGCAAGTCATATGTCCTTCCTTGGTCTCGGTTTCTCCGTGTGTCACAAGAGGAAAACTGACCCTGCCTTCTGGGGATGATGTAAGAATACAAAGGGGCAATGAATGTGGGTGTTGCATGACTCAGAGCCTCACTGAGTTTCGATGCCTTCACTGACCTCGGCCCTTAGGGTTCCCCTAACCCCCTAACTGGCAGGCCCGCCCTACCGTGCACCTCTAGGCATCTCTGTTTAATGGGCCCTGCTCCTCTGGAATTCCTTTGTGGAGACTGAGGTCTGTGAGGCAAGGTTAGATATTTGGGAACCAGTTTGTGTAGCTTTCTTTCTCTTGACCAACTGTTTGTTTTTGCAGCAGCTGAAAAGGAGAAGGAAATGGACCCTTTTCATTATGGTGAGCGATGGCAACCCTGGGTGCAGGGGTCAGGGGGAATGCAGCCCTGCCTGGCAGGAGGGGTAGGGGGAACAGACACCCTCTCCCTGGCCCCTTCCTCTCTCACCCTTGGTTCCTTTGGCAGATTACCAGACCCTGAGGATTGGGGGACTGGTGTTCGCTGTGGTCCTCTTCTCGGTTGGGATCCTCCTTATCCTAAGTAAGTTTGTTCTTTTGCTCACTCTGTTAAGAGCAATGACTGAGGCTGCTAAGCAGGTGGGGACAGTGTGAGAGCCTGGTTGGTCCCTCTCCTGGAGAGGAAAGGAGGCTGCCTGCCCTCCGTGTTATCTTCACGACCCAGTAGAGTGCTGGGCACATAGTAAGTGCTCAGTAAAACAGTGACACGGGAACAAAGAAAATGTCATATGACAATGAGCATAGATAGGAACGAGCAGGGTGGCTTCCCAGTGCTGTGTCTATAGGGCATGAATGGGGCAGTCACGGAGGAAGGAGACAGGTGCTGCCCTAGTGTGCGAGGGATGTGCCTCCGAGTTTGTTGTTCCCACATGAGCCTGATCTGCACAGATCCCTCTTTACTCACATGATCAAGAGGGCTGTGGGGGTGTAGCCATTCCAGCTATAGAATGTATTTCCTTTGCCCCAGAAGAAGCTACCCCATCCGAGGGCCACTGTGTGCAGCTGTGCAAACTGTGCACTGCCCAGGTCTAGGGGGTGCCATTTACATAGTCCCACAACCTGCACAGACCCTTGGCCCTGCTGTGGCCAAGCCAGCAGCATGACCTTGGATGGTTTCTTTGCTTTTCAGGTCGCAGGTGCAAGTGCAGTTTCAATCAGAAGCCCCGGTAAGGATGCCGTGGCAGTGGCCTTGGGGGGGTGATACTAGGTGGGACAGGAAGGGACCCCTGGTGTGTGACCCCCAAATGGGCATTCTCTTGGATTCTTGTCTCGGAGGCAGAACGTGTGTGTTGGGACGTAGGGCTGGAAGTTTGAGGACTGCCAGGTAGACTCTGGGGCAAAGGAGAGGTCAAAACATTGAAGGTCAGCCCATCCTGTCTCTTCTGATCTATGTGGGGGACGGGGAGTGGACAAGAAAGTACTGGAACCTTTTCTGGAGGCCCTTGGGACAGTTGAGCTTGGGAGAAGGGAAGCAGAGGGCTTCCTGGCCTCTCTAGATGCCCAGGTCCTCTCTACAGGACCTGCGACACAGTCCCCACTTGTCACCTGTTCATGAGGCTCTTTGAGCTGAATAGACACTTGGACCTTCTTTCTACTCCCACATAGAGGTCATACCCCATTAGTTTACTATAATAGCCAAGGGTAGCTTGGACCCCAGAAGTCCAAAGCGTGTGGCAGGACACACCCAAGCCCCCATGTGGCCCTAGCCTCCCCTTCCCATGAGGGCTGACATTGAAGGGTGCCTGTAAGTTCCCTCTGAGTCTGACCCTTCAGTCCAGACCTTTCCCTCTGTCCCATGCATCCCACAGCAGAGTGAGCTCCAGCCCCTCAGGGCACTGGGAGGAGCCTGACTGCAGGCAGCTGTGCCCCAGTGAGGAGCAGAACGATGCTCTCTGGGTCTGCCCTGGAGATCTCTGATGGGGCTGTGTGTCTCTTTCTCCTGCAGGGCCCCAGGAGATGAGGAAGCCCAGGTGGAGAACCTCATCACCGCCAATGGTAACTGTCCGTGACCACCTGCCCAGGTGGAAAAGAGGGAACAGAGAGACCCCTCTGTGGCTCAGGAAGGGACTGTTGCCAGGTGCATGGCCAGCCAGACATGCTCCCGCAGTGCCAGGAGAGTGGGTCTCCAGGGCCTCTGCAGCATTGCCCCCTCACTCCACCAAACAGGCTACTACTAGTGTCACCTGCTATTTACAGAGCATCTGCTTGTGCCAGGCACAGACCCCATATCATTTAATGGGCACACAGCCCTGAAATAGGCATCATTGTCCCCATTTTGTAACCGAGGGACTGAGAGAGGTTACCAGGTTCCTGTAAGCAGCAAGTAGCAGGGCCAGGATTGAACCCAGATCGTTCTGACTCGAAATCCCATGCCCGTCACCTCTTTGCTCCCCCAGAGTCAGGCAGAGACACGGCTGCTGTTGGGGGTGGCCCACGGGGGTGAGGAGTCTATACACTATAATCCATTCTGGTTTTCTTTCCAGCAACAGAGCCCCAGAAAGCAGAGAACTGAAGTGCAGCCATCAGGTGGAAGGTGAGATGCTCAGTGCCTGGATTGGCCCCTGTTGCCATCACCGTCTGCATCAGGGCCTGGACAGGGGTTCAGGCGGGAAGGATGGGGCTAGCTTTTGCAGTGGGCACAGCTTTTATTATGGGCCCTGCCCTGAGGAGCCTTCAGGAGTCTGAAAGGGGCTGTGAGAGAGACCAGGACTAGAAACACCCGAAGTGTCCCACACACATGCATGCCAACACCAGGAAATGGGGCTTCCACACAGCCCACTGGCCGAGTGCATAGGGCGTCATCCCAAGTGCAACATGGGAGAATTAGAGTTAGTGAAATGCTCCTAATCTCAAAGTAGCATAAAGATAATGGCTTTCCGTGGTGACTCAGAAAGTACTTTAGGGCCACTTGTTTTTTTAAACACCTTATTATGAAACTTCCCAACCCTAACCAAAAGTAGAGCAAATAGTATATGATCCTTCCCTCTCCACATTTAAGGGCACTGATTTTAGTATCTATTTCCATTGTTCATCGTAGGGGGCACAGGAGAGTAGTAACTGGCAAATGCTGTACAGTTTTCAGAGTGCCACCACACACACAGACTCACTCGAGTCTGCCAGAAAAAGAGGATGGGACAGGTGGGGTTTAGCCCATTTTATAGGTGAAACCAAGATGAGAGGGAATAGCCCCGTGGAGAGTGACAGCCCGGACTGTGAACTCAGGCCTTTGCGGCTGTGGTTCAGCGCCACTGCTCCCCTCTGTCCTGTGCGTCTCGCTTTATGACATGCCCTGGAATATCCTAAGGGAAAAGGTTTGTGTTTTGTCAGCTCACTTCTGCCTTTTTTTCCCCCCATACAAGTAAGGCATTATAGAAAGGTATATAAGTTTATCTCACATTGTAAGGTAAAAGAGGTTTCTGGATGATGAAGTGCCCGATGCACCAGCTTTGACTGTGCGTAACAATATCGTGTGCCTGTGTAGCATTTAAATTCTTTCCTAAGTGCTTTTGCATCCTCATAGCGGCCCGTGATGGGCAGAGCAGGGCTCATTACTCCCGTCTTCTGGATGGGGCTCTCGAAGGCAAGTGATCACCTAAGTGCGAATGGACGAAGATTCCGATCTAGGAGGCAGGTGCCCTTCCTGGTAGCTTGGTGTTCTGTCTATTTCATCACAGACTGAGAATCTGGGAAGGCTCAGAGGAGGCAGCCTGGAAATGAAATGTCTTTTCATTTTTTTTTTCCCAAACTAGTTCTTTCTCAGAAACCTTTTATCCTAAGGCTCAGGACTGTGAGCAACCACTGGGGAGGTCCTGGGTTTAACAATTTCCTTTCCATGTCTGCCAGGCTCCAGCCCACCTGGGAGAGGCTTCTTCTGAGGTTCACCCCTCCCCTGTGTCTTTGTCTCCTTTCTCTGCGTCTCAGACGAGGCTGTCATACCGGGAATTTCAGTGGGCAGGTGCTCAAGGAAGGGAGAGAAGCAGATAAGGATACCAGAGGCAGCCGAAGTGTTTTTAATTTAAATTATCCTCCTCCTCAGCCTCTGGAACCTGAGGCGGCTGCTTGAACCTTTGGATGCAAATGTCGATGCTTAAGAAAACCGGCCACTTCAGCAACAGCCCTTTCCCCAGGAGAAGCCAAGAACTTGTGTGTCCCCCACCCTATCCCCTCTAACACCATTCCTCCACCTGATGATGCAACTAACACTTGCCTCCCCACTGCAGCCTGCGGTCCTGCCCACCTCCCGTGATGTGTGTGTGTGTGTGTGTGTGTGTGACTGTGTGTGTTTGCTAACTGTGGTCTTTGTGGCTACTTGTTTGTGGATGGTATTGTGTTTGTTAGTGAACTGTGGACTCGCTTTCCCAGGCAGGGGCTGAGCCACATGGCCATCTGCTCCTCCCTGCCCCCGTGGCCCTCCATCACCTTCTGCTCCTAGGAGGCTGCTTGTTGCCCGAGACCAGCCCCCTCCCCTGATTTAGGGATGCGTAGGGTAAGAGCACGGGCAGTGGTCTTCAGTCGTCTTGGGACCTGGGAAGGTTTGCAGCACTTTGTCATCATTCTTCATGGACTCCTTTCACTCCTTTAACAAAAACCTTGCTTCCTTATCCCACCTGATCCCAGTCTGAAGGTCTCTTAGCAACTGGAGATACAAAGCAAGGAGCTGGTGAGCCCAGCGTTGACGTCAGGCAGGCTATGCCCTTCCGTGGTTAATTTCTTCCCAGGGGCTTCCACGAGGAGTCCCCATCTGCCCCGCCCCTTCACAGAGCGCCCGGGGATTCCAGGCCCAGGGCTTCTACTCTGCCCCTGGGGAATGTGTCCCCTGCATATCTTCTCAGCAATAACTCCATGGGCTCTGGGACCCTACCCCTTCCAACCTTCCCTGCTTCTGAGACTTCAATCTACAGCCCAGCTCATCCAGATGCAGACTACAGTCCCTGCAATTGGGTCTCTGGCAGGCAATAGTTGAAGGACTCCTGTTCCGTTGGGGCCAGCACACCGGGATGGATGGAGGGAGAGCAGAGGCCTTTGCTTCTCTGCCTACGTCCCCTTAGATGGGCAGCAGAGGCAACTCCCGCATCCTTTGCTCTGCCTGTCAGTGGTCAGAGCGGTGAGCGAGGTGGGTTGGAGACTCAGCAGGCTCCGTGCAGCCCTTGGGAACAGTGAGAGGTTGAAGGTCATAACGAGAGTGGGAACTCAACCCAGATCCCGCCCCTCCTGTCCTCTGTGTTCCCGCGGAAACCAACCAAACCGTGCGCTGTGACCCATTGCTGTTCTCTGTATCGTGATCTATCCTCAACAACAACAGAAAAAAGGAATAAAATATCCTTTGTTTCCTAGTGGCTCGGAGGTGCTTTCCTTTCTGTGAAAGAACTTGAGTGTTTGTAGGGTCTGTGGAACTTAAAGGGCTAGAGGGAGTCCGTCCATGGTCAGAGGGAAGAGGAAGGACTGGATAGCCACCCAGGCAGGCACAGAGCCCCGTCAGCTGCTGTCACTGTTGCCTCCTCCCCGCTTCTCTTCCCTCCTTTCCTTTTCTTCCTTCACTTTCCTCTCCTCCTGCTCAGCCCTTCGTCCCGCACCTTCCCGCCATTTCTATTCCTCCCTCCCTCTCTCCCGCCTTCCCAGGCCACTGGGCTCAAGCCACATCCCATAGCAGGACCTGTACATTGCACACTGTCTTGGAGCAAAAAAGGGAGTCACAATGGCTTCTCCAAGTACTCAGTGGCCTGGAGTAAAACATCCTAACATTTCTCTTTGGTCAGTTCTGGGGCCACTACCTAAGGACTTGTAAAGAGAGCCAGGGGTGGTGACTCATACCTGTAATTCCAGCAACTTGGGAGCCTAAAGCAGGAGAATTGCTTGAGGCCAGGAGTTCAAGACCAGCTGGGCAACATGGTGAAATCTTAGCTGGGCATGGTGGCTCGCACCTGTTGTCACAGCTACTCGGCAGGCTGAGGCAGGAGGATTGCTTGAACCCTGGAGTTCCAGGTTGCAGTGAACCGTGATTGCACCACTGCACTCCAGCCTGGGCAACAGAATGAGACCTTGTCTCTAAAAAGAAAAAAGGAAGGAAGGGATCAAGGGAGTGACAGGGTGGGTGACGTGGATTGTGAAATACCCCTCCTCTGTGGAGCCTCCCTGGGCATTAGGTAGAATCGAATCCCTTTTTTTTTTTTTTTTTTTTTTTGAGATGGAGTTTTGCTCTTGTCGCCCAGGCTGGAGTGCAGTGGCGTTATCTTGGCCCACTGCAACCTCTGCCTTCTGAGTTCAAGCGATTCTCCTGCCTCAGCCTCCTGAGCAGCTGAGATTACAGGTGCCTTCCACCATACCCGGCTAATTTTTATATTTTTAGTAGAGACGGGATTTCTTCATGTTGTCCAAGCTGGTCTCGAACTTTTGGCCTCAAGTGATCTGCCTGCCTCAGCCTCCCAAATTGTTGGGATTAGAGGCGTGAGCCACAGCGCCCAGCCGAATCCCTTTCTTGTGCCCCAATCACACTTGTTTGCTGCCTTTATATTCACACTTCATACTTGGCATCCAGACTGTAGAGACCAGGCAGGTAATGCCAATATGTGAATCTGCTGGAGTGACGATGGGGCATGGCACCTGCAGTCACCTACGGTGTCCTCCCAAAGACACTCTGACTCAACTTTCTAAAAACCACTGTTGGCCAAACCAACACAGATGTGGGCAGATTCTGCGTGGAGGTTGCCTGTGTGCAGCTTCTGCCTCTAGTGTTTTGTGTCTTTATTGATACAATTCCTGGAGGGCAAGGACTGTGCCTGCTCTACAGAAGCCTGGAACATCTTAGGGTCTTGAAAAAAGAATCGACCCCTGGAACGTCTTAATATCTTCCATCTTGAAGCCAGCACTTAAGGAGCGGGACCCTCTGGGCCCACCTCCTTCCAGCCCCAACTTCTAAGACCCCAGTGAACCTGGCACCTGAAGCTATAGCAGGAGACAGAAGTCAGTGCTCCTTGTGGTTTCGATGGGCCTGGGAACCACCACCTTCCCTGCCCAGTGGCCACACAGGCCCTGAGTCCGCCTGGATTCCGCAAGTTGTTTAGAACCGAAGAACCGCACAGATCCGCTTGCTCGGTGCCTTCTCTACGTGTGCTCTTGCTTCTGCCTTCGGTCCCCCAGGCCTTTGGAAAGACACAGGCTTATGGTAGAGCTCAAGCTCAACCTGTCAACCCAGTGATCATGGCGATTAAAAACTATCTGGTCACAGCAAGACCTGGTAAATGAGCTTATTGTTCGGGAACACTCGTGATACATCAGGGAATTGACAGGCCTTGCAGAAATTTCATAGCGAGGCCAGGCTGAGATCCCTAGAGGCCCTAGACATGCAAAGCTTTGTGTGTGCCGCCCCCCATACGTTAGTAAAAACAGAACATTATACTTCGACATAGGAATAAGGAAGTCCAATGAGGAGGTTCTAATTTTTCTCATAATAATTATGTTAAGAGTAAGGAATGATGGTCAGCATCTCTAGCACATCATCTACAAATGGTTATCCTTACTTTGCCCGCCTCTAAGCACTCACTTAGTTTTCCTCCTAGTAATCCAGCTATATTCTGAGATTGGTCAGAGATACAATCGTCCTGGTCCAGGTTACACAGCTGGGGGATGGAGGAGCTAGGACTTGACCCCGGGCTGTCTGTCCATAGTGCTTGTCAGCACATGGCCTAGCCTCCTTCAGCAGGCAGATGCTCAGAAGAAGGGACAGTGATCAGATGGCTCCCAAGACTGCACCTGGAGCATGGCTGCCCCTTCAAGACATAAACTAGCTGGACCATGCTCCAAGGAGCCTCCTGTGGGAGTCTAATGGTCTGGAAACAAGACACATGAAGAACAATCGAAGAAATGATGGTCAAAATGGTAATAATTAAAAAAAATGAGCAGCTGAAGTTTATGGAGCACTTACTATGTGCTTGTTTGAGGACTTCACACAGATGAGCTGGATCAGAACTCAGAGTGCTATATATCTCCATGAGGAGGACCAGGAGTGTCCACTCAGCCTCCAGGCATGTGGCACTGGTTTGTAGCTGTGATTTGGTTTAATGAGGCAATGTAGCTTGACTGAATAAGAAGGACAGCTGCCATGCTGTGTCATTTCCCAGAAGGGAATCCCAAGTTCCCTGTCTCAGTAACCTCAGGTGTCCCACACCTTTTGCCTCCCAGTGACTCCCTCCACCCCCCATTCCATTTCGAAGATCTCCATGTCTCTTTGCCTGGAGGTTTTCTGCGTTACTTACCCCTGCTGTAGGAATAGGTCAGTCTGCCTTCTGGGACCCCAGGTGCTGTGGCCCTCCTACCTCTCTGTTTTTTGTTTTTTGTTTTTTTTTTGCAAGATGTAGATTAGAACTTGCCAAATTGTTCTTGGAAGAGAGTCAGAGGCAGAGTACAAGCTGTAGGGAGCGGTGTGAGGGGAGTGCCAGGCGAAGCACACTCCAAGGTCACCGGGCTGTTGGCCCCTTCCTCTGGGAGGAGGGCCTTACCTTGCTTGGAATCATGGGCTTGGCGGGGAGGCTGGGCAAAGCAGGGGTGGGAGAGCACTCCAGCTCTGTCTGGTTCACCCCACCTTGTTCCTGGCTGCTCTGCCTCACCCTGGGCCCAGCGAGAGAAAGGTCAGGTGTGTTTGCCTGAGCCAGGGGAGGAGCTTTGGAAAAACCTGTCTCCAGGCCACAGAGAAGGAATGGCCACCTCTCTCCATTAGTGTGATTTATTGCTGTCACAGCTGAGCTCCAGGGGGGCAGACTCAGCCGGCTCAAGCCAACCAGCTGTTGATCTGATGGGGCCAGCCCAGCCCCGGGCCTGGTTGCACAACAGTGGGGCACCTGCCAAGGCAATGATGGCAGAGCAGGTGATGCTGTGATCGCATGTCCTGAAGGACCTGGATGGCAGGGACTGGAGGGGGTGGGCCCCCCTGCACTATCCAGAAGAACGGTTTCCTACCTCTGAGCTGGGCTTGGAGGCAGTCTGGTAGAGCCTGAGGCTCAGAACATCCCCGAGGTCCCTTCTGCTCTAACAGTGTGAGCTTGGAAAGACCCCAGCCTCTCTGTCAGTTTCCTTTTCTGAATAATCAAGTCCTTCCTAGCTTTGGGGTAAGCTGGGCCTCCTGCTCACTGTGTAACCCTGGAAAAGCCACTTAAGCCTCAGTTTCATCACCTATAAAATAAATGCATCAAGATGTTTTCTGTTATCTCACAGGGTCAAAGTGATACAATGGACATCGAAGCACCGTGACAATTCTCCATGTAGCCATTATGCTATAAATGTTGGCATCACTATCCATTTCCTTGTCTCCTCATTCTCTGATGGCCGGGTTCCTCTTGTCTCTGTTAGACTTGGGTTCATGTTCTGACCTGTTTGCAGACCACCTGCAGTGTCCTCTGTAAAATGGGCATCTCACAGCCTGCCTGGCTGAATTGTTGGGAGGCTCTAAGCAGCTCTTTGGAACCACTGAGACCCTGGAATAGGGTGGAATTGCTGCCAAGTGTGGAGAGTGGGCACCAGGCTCAGTGCAGGTACAAACGTTTAACAGCTTACCCGACCTGAGGCCTCAAGGAGGCCAGGGACTTGGCAATCTGTGCTATAAATGAAGAGAATGGTGACACGGCCACATGCTGGCCATTCAAGCCATGTCAGTGGCATCCGGAAGGTGGTGGAGGGAAGGTAAGAGTAACCAGGGGTGGGCTTGCTCCGCGAGGTCTTCCCGGAGGTGGCGAGCCTCTCCCAGAGGTGAGAGGGAGTTTGGTTACTGGGAGGAGAAAACCAAGAAAAGCTGGAGAGGAATGGGCTCTGTTGTGGTTCAAGCCTGGATGTGAGTTCTGAGAACAGTCAAGAATGCATTTCTCTCCAAGGCATTCACTGTGGGGGAGGTGGGTCAAATGGGTTTGCCCTTGTCACCAGCTGGTGACCTTGACTCTCAGAGTACATTGCCCTTTGGCAGTTCTCAGAACCTCTGTGCACCATGGCTCAGGCCTTCTTGAAGCCAACACTTAAGGAATGGACCCTCTGGGGCCCACCTCCTTCCAGCCCTGCCTTATAAGACCCCAGGGACCTGGCACCTGCAACCATAGCAGGAGGCAGGAGCCAGCGTTCCTCAGGATTCAGGACCTCTGAGTGGGACAAATGGGGCTTGGGAACTGCCACTTTCCCTGCCCAGTGGCCATACGGGTTATGCAGCTGAGGACTGACTTGGGCCTGGGGTCATGGCTTTCTAGGTGCTTCTGGCTTCTGCTTCATTGGAGCCCCTTTCCAGCTGCAAGCCAACACCAGGAGGAACTGATCTGGGGACCTGGAGTTCAAGGCTGTAAACTCCCACAAAGGCCAGAGCTGGCGGAGCTGGAGAACCCCATTCTGGGAAGCTGGTGGTGAGGGCCTCTGCCTTTGATCACCAGGAAAACAGAGGTCAGCTGGATTCCAGCCTATTTCCTCCCTGCCCCACCAACCCAGCAACGACCACCCCAAATGACTGCCCTGAGACTTAGGAGTCAGGAGACAAAAGGGAGGCCTGCCTAGGGGAGACAGGGGAGATGGAGGCCTCGCCACTGAGGGCACGGTCCCATCAGCTGTGACAGTGCTGACGCATCCAGGAGTGGGCACTGCCTCTACCTCCCAACATCTCCCAGAGCTCTGGGTCTTGCAGAGAACAGGAGAGCACAGCTGGATGCTCCTTTGTCTCCATCCTGGAACCATTAGACAAAGGAGGTTTCTTGGTTTTGTGTGGAGAAGAAAGGGAGGCTGGAGATGCAGGGTGAGTTGTGGCCAGCAGGATCATACCAGGGCAGGGTGCTCCCAGAGGCCTGCTTTAGAGATCACCGCAACTGGGGACTGAGCCAAGGGAAGGGATTGCTGTGAGTGTTCTTGTCTCCTGGGGGGCTCAGTTCGGAGTAAGGAAAACACAGCCATCAGTTTTTAGGACCTTCTCTGGCCAAACGCTTGACCTACCTTGCCTCTGTTCCCACAACAATACTGCAAGGTAGGTGTTATTACCCTATTTTACAGGTGGGAGGAGACCCAGAGGGGTGCCCTTGCCCAGGGTCAGGCAGTCCTCAGCAAAGTCTCAGGATGAAAGGGGATTTATGCATGGGTGTGTCTGGCCCTCAGGGTGCCTTGCGTGGTGTCTAGGAGGAGAGACCCTCCTGAACTGAGCTGCTCTCAGGAACATGGGCCACAGGTGGAAGGGCCGCAACCTCTCTGCAGGAGAGCAGGTGTCTCAGAGAGGGGTTCCCTGTCCCCAGTGCTAGCTAGGACCCATGACCTGAGCTAGCTGGGGGAGGACAGGAAGGAAGTCTGAGAAGGACTTAAACATGAGTGAAGCGAGAGGGGTGGGACCTGCTTGACTTAACAAATGCCTGGGCTTCCCCCAAAGAACAAACAGGACAATTTCTGAAAATTGCTGCTGGGCTGGAGAAGGAAGGGGAGGTTAGGGGAGTGGGGGGATGGGGTGCAAGAGGAGGGAGAGAGAACCCCGAGAGGGACTCTGGGGGAGCTGTCAGCAAGGTGAGGGTTGCTGCCTCTGTGAGGGCAAATCGGGTCTTGTGACTCCTCACAGGGCAGGCGACAGCATGGAAGGAGGCTGCCTGAGGCAAGTCCTAGGTCTGCCTGCAGCATGGGAGAAGTGATTTCCCCTCTATCCTGTCCCCATCTTTGCCTGATTTTTGCCTGGGACTGATTCATTCATTTAATAAAACTGGGTCCCACGATGCACTGTTCCAGGCATGGGGGAATGAACAAACAAACAAAAATCCTTGCTCTCCTGGTGCTTACATTTTAGTTGGGAGAGGGACAAACAAGATAAGGGAAATACATACCTTAGTTAAGAACAAGTGCCACAGAGGAAAAGCCAGGCTGAGGCAGTGGGTGTGAACATTTTATACAGGGATGTCCAGAATCAGGGCTTTGAAGAAAGCCCTGAAGGCAGCGTGTACCGAGCAGGAAGCCCTGTGGAGGCTGAGCATTTAGGAAGCGGGAACAGCCGGTGCGGAGGTCCTGGAGGGTGAGGGGTGTCAAGAAGGCCAGCATGGCTGGAGCAGAAAGCAGGGCGGGGAGGTGGGGGACCAGCTCACAGGTGCCTAGAGCCAGAATGAGAAGGGCTTCTTGGCTGGGTGCGGTGGCTCGCGCCTGTAATCCCAGCAGTTCGGGAGGCCAAGGCGGGCGGATCACCTAAGGTCAGGAGTTTGAGACCAGCCAACATGGCGAAACCCGGTCTCTACTAAAAATACAAAAATACAAAAATTACTGGGTGTGGTGGCGGCTCCTGTAATCCCAGCTGCTTGGGAGGCTTAGTCAGAATAATCGCTTGAACCCAGGAGGCAGAGGTTGCAGTGAACTGAGATCGCGCCATTGCACTCCAGCCTGGGCAACAAGAGCAAAACTCCATCTCAAAAAAAAAAAGGGGCTTCTTTTTTGGACACACAAAGATTTTGCGTATCATCCGAGCCCTCTCTGAGGATTTTGAGCAGGAGAGGGAGCAACTTTTAAAGGGAGGGGTTGGGATGGGATGGCTTTGGTGTCCTTTCTGGTTGGACCATCAATCACACCGGGCTCTGAGATAGAGATGCCTTCCTTCACAACACTGGTGGCGGGCAGGGAACAGAGTGTGTATACTGGCGGTGTGGGTGGGGGGGATTTGGCTGAGAGCTCCACTTTTCTGGACCACTTAGAATATGTTTGGACCAGGTACCTCTAAGTCTCACCCAGTCCCGAGGTTTGTAAACTTCTCTAACCCCAGCTTGGGGAATTTCCACTCAGCCGCTCTGGGCTGAGTGGGCAGGTTTCCACTTGGGAGCATGGGACAGGCCCGCCTGCCAGCCGAGCTGTTATCCACCCCAGGACAGGTCTGGCCCTGCCTCCAGGGTGGTCTGGAGGGAAAGGTGCAGAGAGCCTGGAGTCAGGGCTGTGCTCAGGGGCCCCAGCGCCGATCTCAGCCCATCCTGATAACAAATAGCACCTCTTAGACCTCCTGGTCTCTATTTCAGCCCTGAGAGGGCTCCCTGGGACGTCATGAGTCCTCCCCTCAGGACAGGGAGTGTTGCAAAGGAGGGACAGAGAGGCGGGAGTCAGAGTGACCAGAGCCCGGGTCAGAGGCTGGGGCCAGAGCCAGCCCCTCCTAACTCTGCTTCTCAGTGTCCACGTTGGGGTGGCCGTGCCAGGGCGGCTACAGGAACCTGACGGAGACCCTGTGGTCCCAAGTCAGCCACACAGAGACTGCTCACTGTGGCTTTGCTGTGGGCAAGGCCTTGGTGGCCGAGGAACAGAGACTGCCTGGGCAGTGTAGTGGGCTGCCCTGCATGGTAGGACACCCTGCCTAGTGGCCTGCCCCGCCTGGTGGGGCTCCCTGTGGCTCCCTGCTGGCTTCTGGCTCTGACCATGCCCTGGGCCTAGCAGTGTTGTCTTCTGGCCATTCCCCTCTGATACCAACCAGCAGCCCCCAGAGGACTCATTAGGCTGCTGGTGTCTCCAGCTGAGCCCTCTGAGGTGTGGCAGGCAGGCCTGACATCACAGCCTGGGTGAGTCACTGTGGGCTGGGTGAGTCACTGCGGGCTGAGTGAGGGGTCCCAGCTGAGGAAAGGGCAGGCCACAGGAGCGGCCCCCATCACAGCTCCGGCTCCCAGCCCCGCAGCTGCTCCCCATCTCTCTGCCAACTGCCAGAACGACACAGGAAGCTGGGGCCGGTGCCTCAGGTGCCACGACAGGGTCCTGGAAACCATTCCCACCCCTCTGAGAGGCTGCAGCTGTGCCTCCCAGTCTCAGGGGATGCCTAGCTACAGACCGGGGTCTTGGGCAGGATACCTCCGGCCAACGGCCCAGCTGGACTGGAGGGCAGAGGTGCAGCGGAGTAAAGCTCAGGGGACCCACACATGCCCCTAAAGGTCTCCCTCACATGCCACCAGCCCAGGGGCCTGGGGAAGAGTGGGCTCCTTGATTCCTCCCGGCTCCTGTACCCTTTTCGGGCACCCTGGGCTGGCTGCAGTGTGGAGCCCCTCGAGGGAGAGGGCCAGGGCGGGGGCTGTGGTTGGCTCTGCTGCATCTGACAGCTTGCCCATCCTCAAGTGCCAGGTGGAGGTCAGAAAATCTCCCCTGGCTTTCACGTGCATCCCTTGCCCCAACCCGCCCCAGCAAGTGGGCACGAGGTAAGGGCTCCTTTGCCAGCCCCTCCTCCCTCCCTGTGTCTCTTCCTGTTTGTGGGCTCACCTGAAGTGTGAAGAGGGGGAGTGCCACTCTCCATCCAGGCCCCAGGCAAGCAGCACCTCCCTGCTCTCCTGCACTCCTGGACACAACCAGCAGCTCCTGCCATGGACAGGTGGTACCTGGGTGAGTCCTCTGAGCCCCATTCCTCCTCCCTGCTCAGGCTCTAACACAGGTGCCAGCCCCGTCCCTTTCAAGTGCACCCACAAGCTCCCCAGAAGTGCAGGAAAAGCAGAAAGGAAGAGAGGCAGAATTTCCAAAAAAGAGCATCTCCATACGGAGTCACTGGCCTGCTGTAACGTGTGTGCAGAGCATATCTGAGCTGCGAGGGCTGGGAAGGCAGCTGTCCAACTGCCTCATTTACTTGTCTGTCCATCCGTCCCTTAGAGATGCAGGAACTCAGAAGCCAGGCTGCTGGCTTGAAATCTTGGTTCCCCTACCCTCTGGCCATCTGACCTCTGGCAAGTTATTTAACTTATCTGGGCCTCAGTTTCTTCCTCTATGAAATGGGGTGATAATAATGCCTTCTTTACCTTCTAAAACTCATTGTGATGACTAAAGAATTAATTTCTGGCCAGGCATGGTGGCTCACGCCTGTAATTCCAGCACTTTGGGAGGCCAAGGCGGGCGGATTATCTGAGGTCAGGAGTTCGAGACCAGCCTGACCAACATGGTGAAACCCCGTCTCTACTAAAAATACAAAACTAGCCAGGCTTGGTGGCACATGCCTTTAATCCCAGCTACTCAGGAGGCTGAGACAGGAGAGTCACTTGAACCCGGGAGGCGGAGGTTGCAGTGAGTCGAGATCGCACCATTGCACTCCAGCCTGGGTGACAAGAGCGAAACTCCGTCTTAAAAAAAAGAATTAATTTCTGTAAAGTGCTTGAAACGGTGCCTTGCACACAGAGTTTAAAAATGTAGCCATCAACTAGCTTTCCCTATTGCTTCCTATTCATCTATCTATTGATCGATCTATCATCCATATCTATCTATCTATCTATCTATCTATCTATCTATCTATCTATCTATCTATCTCTCTATTTATCTATCTATCCATCCATCTGTTGGTGCCTCCCCATGCACCTCCTCCCCCCCGCAGTGGGAGCCCTTCCATCCACACTGCAGCTTTGTTTGTGACCAGGGTAAATATTACCTGGCACTGTTAATGTTTAATGCCCCCACCTCATCCCCAGCCACCCCACCAAGGAGCAAAGACAGCAGGAAGAGGCAAGTGGAGACAGTCCATTTGGGTGGGGAAATGACTGGGTTGTCAATGGATAGATAGATAGATAGACAGATAGATAGATAGATAGATAGATAGATAGATAGATAGATAGATAGACAGACAGACAGACAGACAGACAGATGAATTTATTTAACTTCCCACTTATTTTTACATCTCTTATTATTCCCGAAAGACTCCATGGAGGCTTACAAATACAGACCAAATGCAATAAGATAACACAATCCTGTATAATAAAGGGAGCACCCTTGTCTTGTGTGGAGATGGCAGTAGCTTTGGTAGCACATCTTGGAGGATCTGGGCTTTCTACCTCCAGTTTGCCATTAACTGTGTGTTTCAGGCAAGTCCCTTCACCTTCCTGCCCTCGTTTTTTCTGGTGTACCCAGTGCCCTGGCCACGTCCAGGGGCTATTGTGGAAAGCAAATGAGCAGCCTCAAGTTTCTTTATCTGTAAAACGCCATTAGTAGGAATTAAGTGATGCAGTGCATTCCAAGAGCCTGGCACGTGGTCCATCTTCACCAAACGCTGGCTCTGCTGTGATGTTTGCACGAATATATATTTCTTGGCTCCAGAAGCAGAAGGGAGCTGAACGGGTATTGCAGCGCCTGATCTGCAGGGCCATGCCATTCTCTCCGTCTCACTCATTCGTGCCCATTTTCATTGGAGGGTGGCTGGCTTTTCCATGTCCAACAGCAAACATTTGCCAAAGGCTAATGCTTGTCATTTCTTCAATCAACACACATATAACAGTAAAAATGATGCCACTCACCGTGTGCCAGGCCCTGGGATATGCTCTTTGCATGCATTATCTCACTTCCCCTCACCACCACCCTAGGAGCTGGGTACTGCGCCCATTTTACAGATGAGGAGACTGAGGCACAGAGAGGTGAAGTCATTGACTGAGACCACACCATTAGCAAGTGAGAGGGCCAGGGTGTGAACTCAAGTGCCAAGCCCTGCCCCTGCTTGGGGAGGATTCATGGATACAGTGGCTCCCTTCAGAAGGGCTCAAGCTCCCCTGCTGTCCGCTGGCCACTGACCTTGGCTGTTTTGTGGCCATTGGGCTTCAGCCTTTTCTGGAGGCCAATTCAATGGACTAGAACTCAACGAGGATTCTACAGTACCTGTGACTACCCGGCACAGGAGTCCTGGGGCGAAGGAGGTCACAGCGGAGTGGGGAGGCTGCCTGCGAGGTGTGGAAAGCATCTGCCTCCTGCAGCAGGAGGCCTGATTGTCAGTCTCCACTTCCCCCACACTGGCTGTGTGACCCTGGGCAAGGCCCCTACCTCTCTGTGCCTTAGACACCTGCCTCATCAGTAAAATGGGAAACATAAAGCTTGAGGAGAAAAAACAGTGAGGAAAGTGCTTGGTAAACCATAAACGCAGGGGGTTTTCCCCACGATGAAAGTCTTGCCCTGTCCTTAAGGATCCTGCATGCTCCATGGTAAACTGGCAAGGACACAATCCGAGAGCCAGGCCAAATGGTGGTAGGAGGAAGTGCCAGGGCGGCAGGGAAGGAGAAATTAGTTGGGGATGACTGAAGCCCTTCTGAATGAGGTGTAACCTGCAGGGTGCACGTTGATGGGTGAATAGGATGACAGATGAAGGGCCCTTCTGGAGGATCTACTGCTGGTCAGCTTTGGCGGTGCTCCAGGGATGTGGTGGGGGAGCAGTGGGCCAGGCTCCTAGGGACCACTGCAGGAAAGCCTCCAGTACCACATAAGGAACACCAGCTGCAGCGGCGGCATCCATGGTGGCTGGTGCGGTGGGCCCTGCCTGGGCTGGGGGCCACTGTGGGCCACTGCCCCCAGAAACTCCCAAGTACAGTGTACACTGAAGAGATTGTGCAACTTCCACTTTCCTGTTCCCACCGCCCCAGCTGTAGCTTCCCCAGCTGGCAGAACAGCACGACTGCTGACCCATCCCAACCCTTCTCTTTGGAAATTTCCTTTGGGAAGGTTTGGAAACTCAGCCAGCTCCTCCCTGCCCCTGCCTCCCCACGCACGTCCTCACCCTGCAGAAGGAGCCCCTCCATCCACACTGCAGCTTTTCTTGTGACCAGGGTAAATATTACCTGGCACTGTTAATGTTTAATGCCCGCACCTCGTCCCCGGCCACCCCGTGGAGGCAGCCAGACACTCTCCAAAAAGCAGAGACAGCAGGAAGAGGGGAGTGGAGGCAGCCCATTCACCTGGGGAAATGACTGGGTTGTCGATGGACGGTGGTGAGTGTGCTGGTGTGCGTGCCCGGGCGTGTGCAATGCTGGGTGGCTCTGATTGGCCTGCCTTTGTGGGGTCAGCTGGACCCTACTCTTCCCTCTCCTGCCACCTCAGCCTTCCAGAGTACCCAGCCCCTCTTCCTGTCGGCCTCCTCTCTAAGAAAATTTGCAACTTAAAGGAGGACCCTGCTTTAACCCCAAAGAAAGATAGCTTGAGTGGCAGAAAGGCAGCAGATAGAAGCTGGAGAGCTGAGCGTTCCTCCTCGGCCTCCTGGCACACACCCGCCCTGAGTTCAATGCATCTTGCTAGACCGTCTGAACTTGGGCGGGAGGCAGACGGCGTCCATCTGGCTGGGGAAGGAGCAGGCCCCTCTGGTCAGCCTTCCTAGGCTGGATTTGGGGTGAGAGCCCGCCAAGTTCAAGTCACACTCTCCAAAGGCTTCCTGTCACAGGAACTGACTCAGGCCTGGAAACCAAGAGGGGCACTTGCTGACAGAGGTGGGTTTTGAGCCAGATGCAGAAAGGGGAGGGTGCTGGGCAGGGAGGGTCTCAGCAAGCGGCTCAGGGCCAGGTGGCCACGGAGGAGGAGGTTTCCTGGGGCGTGTGGGGAAGCCTCAGCTGGCGTCTAGCTGTTGCTCTGACACTTAAATCCCCATATGACCTTAAACAAGGCCTGAACCAAATCTGGGAAGACAGCCCTGACGGCCTTCTGTGTGGGACCTGGGTCCTTCATGGCCTCCCTGAGCACCCAGCACCTCAGGCCCGTCAGGATGGGCACTGACTCTTCCTGGCCTGTCCTTTCCTGGCCCAGGGACTGGCCGCTGGGGACAGCTGGGCTTGACAGACCCTAAGTCTCACTGCTGCTCAGGGGCACAGTTTGGCACAGCCCGGAAAGTGCTAACTTGCGCGTTCCTTCCTCCTCGGGCTCCACTTCCCTCGTGCGAGAAGGGGCTCCGGCAGGGCAGGAAAGAGTAGCGGCCCTTAGCTGTGGCAGAAGCGTCCTGGCCAGGCCACCGTCTGGCTGTCCGGGGCAAGTGTACTCAGTTGCAGGGCACCACTGTGAGACCTGCCTGCTGAGCGGCTCCAAATCCGGGGGAGGCCACCAGAGGCAGGGGCAGGACCTTACCTCTAACGGGCTCCTTCCCTCCCGCCATTGAGAGGTGGCAGATCAAAGGGCTTATGCACCTCCATTCTCAGCCCCCTGCTTCCTGGGTTCAAACACCAGCTCTACCCCTGACTTGCTGTATAACTGTGGGGGAATTTCTTCTCTGCACTTCCACCCTCTTGTGGATTACACCAGAATGACATTGACGCCTCATAAGGTTGCCATAATGGTTAGATGAGTTAGGGTTTGTTAGTTTTTGCCCGGTGCCTGACCAGCACTATATATTAATGTTTCTTAACTAGATCTGCTTCCCCTGAGGATGGTAACGCAGGAAAGGAGGTCTGTCTCAGCTTTCATTAGGACTTTGAACAAGTCTACACATTGGGCTCGGCTTCCTCCTTCTGTCTGATAAACTTTAAGGTTCTGTTTTATTTATTCATGCATTTCCCAAATAGCTGCTAAGCACCTGATAGCCAAATGGTCCTGTGGAGAGAGGCCGCTGGGAGTCTAATGGGAGAGGCTTCTCCTGGCCTTTTCTACCATGGTAGGAATCAAGGAGCAGGAGAGAGCCACCCTTCCGGAGTGGTCAGAGGCCCCCCAGACAGCACGGATCCCCCTCGGACACTCGGTATTTGGTCCCCAGTTGAGCGTGTCTGAAGCCGCCTGGAGCAGAAGCCTGCTGGCAATGGTTTTAGCAACACCCCTGCTCCCAGCCTCCCCTCGCCTGCTTGGACCCTCGAGGGTCCTCTGGGAAGGGAAGGACAGGGAATTCCAGCTGTTCCTGTGGCTGGCTCACCATCGGTGACTCCTCTCATCCCACCTCTGGCTCTCTCCTAGGCGGCAGCCCCAAGGGGGACGTGGACCCGTTCTACTATGGTAAGCCTGGGCCCCTGCGCACCCTTCCTGAGCCCTCAGGACCCCTTCCACCAAGCAGCGGCCTCTCCCAGCCCCAGGTCCATGCTCTGTGCCCCTTATCTCCCCTGGTTACCACGGGCTGCTGCGGGCAGGCTGCGGAGAGAGACAGCTGCTGGGAGAGACCACCCATCCCGCTCCTCTTGCCCTCTCTTTCCGGAGACTATGAGACCGTTCGCAATGGGGGCCTGATCTTCGCTGGACTGGCCTTCATCGTGGGGCTCCTCATCCTCCTCAGTAAGTGGGGTGGCCTCCAGGGAAGGGGTGCTGACCAGGGCACCTCTCTTCTCAAGGCCGCTGAGCAGGCTGGCTTTCGGGAGTTGCCAAGGGAGGGGTGAGCCTCCCCACCACGCCCCCCACTGCAGGATGTGGGAATGGGTGCCCGGTGGGGTGCCAGGCTCGCTGGGAGCACAGTGTGAGGTTCCTGCTTGCTCAAGTGCACCCTCCAGTGGGCCCGGGAGGAGCCGCAGAAGTGAGAGCAAACCCACGGGGTAACTGGGTAACCGGAGGGCCAGACAGGGGGACTAGGCCCCCCGCTGCTAACCATGGTCCCAAACTCATTTGTTAAATAGGGATGATCCCACCTGCCTCACAAGATTAGGGCTAGCATCCAAAGACATGGCAGTCAGGACAGCGCTCTGAGAACGGTCCAGTGCAGACTCGGAGTGTTCTGGGGGAGACAAAGAGAGTTATGTATCCTCAAGCCCCGAGGGGCACACAGCAGGAGCTTAATAACTGCACATTGACTTGTTTTGGTCCAACCCAAAGAAAAATACACAGAAAACACAACCCATGGAAAGAAGATACAGCAAGCACACCTGTGGGCTCTGGACTTCTAATGCACGTGTGCCACTGCCACCCCACCCCAAGGCTCGGGCCACAGTCCTGCGGGTCTCCCCATTTTCCCGTGTTGCCCATGGCAGCTCTCTCTACGTGTGCCACTGCCAGCCCACCCCAAGGCTCGGGCCACAGTCCTGCAGGTCTCCCCATTTTCACATGTTGCCCGTGGCAGCTCCCGGAGGGCAGTGCCGGGTGGCAGCTGATCACATAGGCACAGGAGGCAGGTGGCCTAAGCAAGGGGCTCCACTTTGGAGTTGCTGCCATCCTTCTCCAGGTGTTCATCGGGCAGCTGTGCTGGGGGCACCATGATGGCCCAGTCTCTGCTGCTACTCTCGATATGCCAACAGACCACCGTGGATCTGCTCCAGTAAATATTTGCTGACTGACTGACTGACTTAGGTTCTTAAATGCCTATGGTCCAGCCTTATATAAAGAGAGAGAAGGCTGGGCGTGGTGGCTCATGCCTGTAATGCCGGCATATTAGGAGGCCAAGGCAGGAGGATCTCTTGAGACCAGGAGTTTAAGACCAGCCTGGTCAATACAGTGAGACCCGATCTATACAAAAAAAAATTTTTTTAATTAGCTGGGCATGGTGACATGTACCTATAGTCCCAGCTACTTGGGAGGCTGAGGCAGGAGGATTACTTGAGCCCAGGAGTTTGAGGCTGCAGTGAGCTACGATCCCACCACTGCACTCCAGCCTGGGTGACAGAGTAAGACCCCGTCTCAAAAAATAAAATAAAATAAAATATAAAATAAAATAGAGACAGTCAAACGTGGCCTCCAAGCCTGACCCTGCGATGATACTGGCAGGAGGGAGGTAGGAGAGACTGGAAGAATTTTGAGTCTTCCAGGGTCTCCTTGGAAAATTAGTCCATGGAAACAAATCTCCTTTTCTCTTTTCAAGGCAGAAGATTCCGCTGTGGGGGCAATAAGAAGCGCAGGTGAGCGCTGCCTGGGGTGACCGATGAGGGGGTTGGGGCTGGAGAAGGAGGGGCGGGCTGAGGATTTTGTCTCTGACACAGTGGAGGATCCCCAGCCTCAGAGATCCCTAGACCCACCCCTCCCCCTGCCCTCTCACCTGTTGCTTTTCCTTCCCCCACCAGGCAAATCAATGAAGATGAGCCGTAACAGCAGGTATGCTAGGAGGGCCTGGGGAAGGTGCGGGGAGGGCAGGGCAGGCTTGGGAGCAACAGGGAAGAATTCTGGCTCCTGGACTCGGTAAATAAGAATTTTAGGGTCGTCCACACATCAGCCAGGTGGTCTGTCACCCATCGTGTGTTTAAAATGATGGCCAAGGGCCTGGCGTGGAGTGTGTGCCGCAGGAGATCACAGAGGAGCCCTGGAGAAAAGTGAGATGGACAAGGGGGAAGTAAAACCCCAACCTCTGCTGCCTCCCACCCAACCCCATCCTGCCTTTGTCTTCTCAGCCTCGGCGGTGCCACCCACTGCACTGGGGCCAGCTGGGAAGCCAAGCATGGCCCTGCCTCTGGCGCCTCCCCTTCTTCCCTGGGCTTTAGACCTTTGTCCCCGTCACTGCCAGCGCTTGGGCTGAAGGAAGCTCCAGACTCAATGTGACCCCCAGGTGGCATCGCCAACTCCTGCCTCGTGCCACCTCATGCTTATAATAAAGCCGGCGTCAGAGACCGCTGCTTCCCTCACCTGCCTGCCTGTCTCCCTCCTCTGTCACCACCAGCCTCTCCAAGCTCAAGTACAAATACAGCCGGGTCTCATTTGTTTTTTCAATTAATTGCTCAGGCACCTGTCTGCCTGTAAAAGCAAGAAGTTCAGTGTTGTCATCTGTAGGCCACTCCTCACACCCCTTGAACTGGCAGAAGCCCTGGGGACAGAGGCCTCAGCCTGGCTTTTATACACCTGGGAAGTCTGAAAGGCCCAGAGGTCAAAACCACAGCCCATTGGATACCCATGAGGCCTCTGCCCCAGGCACCACTGTTGGGTTCCTGGAAGCGACCCTGCTTAGCAGTTGCTGTGGAGAGGCCCCAGGCTACCAAGATGGGCCTCTGTGTGGTCACATTCCTGTGCTCTGCCGTTTTCCATATGTACCCCCCTGGGCCAAGGTGGGTGGGTCCGGGGAGCCTGGTGCTGGGCCTCTGCACATGTCCTGAAGGAGCCAGCCCTCTTCCCAGCCCCCTCCTGGTACTAAGCTCGGGCCACCTCTTTCCACTCTTGGGGCCACCTATTTGGAGGGTTGGTTAATTCCAGGGCCTGGGGCCAGGGAACAGATGGTGAGAGTGAGACCACTGTCACACTTGCTCCAGCCCCCGTCCATGCAGGCAGGGACCCACCCAGGGCAGCCTCAGCCTGAGATGCTTCCAGGTCGCTCCACCTAGTGCGGACTCCTAATGTGCCCGACTCCTAATGCCCATGCCCCCTTTGCTGTGAGTCCAAGGCCATGGCCATGCAGGGAGGCCTCTGGGACCTTCTGCACTCAGGAAGGAGCCCAACTTTCCTCTCCCTCCCTTCACTCAGAGGCCTCGAAGGCTGGAGGGATTGTGGGATTCTGGCACCACCTAGCGTCTGGCTTCCTCATCTGGGCCTGCAAGCTTTTGAGGGAGGAGAGGGGAGAACTGGCAGGAGAACCAAGCTACAGGACCAGGAAATGAACAGGGTGTGTTTGGGGGCCAGAGGCAGGATAGACCTCACTCCACTTGGGAATTAAGCTCTTTGTCTTAATCCACTGCCCCCAGTCCCTGATAACCACCAACTCTCCTAGAAACACAGAAGGCTTGAGCAGGGAAGGGTCCTTAGAGAGCAAAACAGACCGTCTTCAATTTACAGAAGGGGAAACCGAGGCTCTAAGAGAGGCCGTGGCTTATCCAGAGTGACATGGCCAGCCTGAGTCGGAGCCAGAGGTAAACTGCAGGTCTCTGGCTCCCCTTCCAGAGCTCTTCCCACCACACGAACATCCAAAGGACGGGAAGCGGTTGGTGGGGCAGGGAGGTGGACTACCCACTGACTGCCTGTGGGTTTGGAGAGTGAAGGGGAAACAGAGAAGGCCTGGGGTTGTGGGGAGAAACTCCAGAGGAGACCAGGAGCCAGGCAGGGGAAGGCCAGGTGACTTACAACTCAGCACCAAGTCCTTGTGACACCCCACTCCAAATGTGGACTCATTGGTGTAGGCCAAACCCTTAAATGGAATTCAGTTTTCTTTGCAGGAGATAGAGGCACACACTTGAGCTCTCCCTCGAGGGTGGGAGAAATGAACTTGAATGGGGCAGGTCTAGCCAGGGGGGCTTTCAGGAGGAGGGAGGCTCCCAAAGCCTCTTGGATGCAGCAGCAAGGCAAACAGGAAGAGGGGGTATTCAGACCTGTGGCCCACCCCAGGAGAAGTAAGAGCACTGGAGAAGAATCACGTTTCTAGAATGTTCTAGAATGTTCCATACAGAGGACAATCCAGCCTGCCACCCTCAGAGGGAAATTCCACCTGCTCTGGATGAGTCACTTCCCTTCGCTGACCCTGCCTCAAGGCCTCCCTCCTTGTGAAATGTGAGGCTTTATCAGGTCTGAACCTGAGGGGCTTTTCAAACCACCACGTACCCAGATTTCCCCAGCCCGGTTGAATATGAGGTTTGGGGGGTGGCCTCTGCAGGCGGAGGCTTAACGAGCCCCATGGCCCCAGGTGGTGTTCAGAGGCCTGGGACCTGCTTCCTAACCAGGACTCTTGTGAACATTTCCCTTCTCTCTCCAGAAAGGTCACATGGGCTGGCAGTTACTGAACTTTCACTTCACTTTGGGATTTTCCACAATTCAGACCTGCATTGAGTCACAAAGATCTACCAAGCCTAGGAAATTATTGGGTGAATTACTCTTAATCAGACAACTCCGACCATGACAGTCTTCGTCTGAGGCCGCAATTCCCTTTCTGACCACCAGAGGGAGCACGTGGCTTGCGCCGAATCCCCTCCAGCTGTGTGTTTTCAACTCAATCTTTCCAAGGGCCTTTGCCGGGAGGAGGGGCTCCTGGCTCCTGAATGGTCCGCCCGGTGCCGTGATTTCCTAGGAAAGCCCTCAGCTCTTCTCATTCCGCTTGTTCACCCCCCAGGTACAGCACTTGCCCCACTCTGGGGTAATTCTTGGCTGTGGGGTCTTAAGTGCTCATTCCTTCCCAGAGGCAGAGACCCCACGTGATCTACACATCTTCCCCAACTCCTGGGGAACGGCGACGCCTCTAACCCTGTAGTCTGAGTAAATCAACAACAGCAGGACATGGGGAGGGGCAGAGAAGTCAAGCAGGGACGTTTGTAGGGTGGGAGGGGAAAGAGGCTTTGCCTCAGTAGCTCTTCTCAACCCCAGCTGCCGTGAGTCTGATTCAACTGATGGGGCATCGGTGGTTGTTCAGCCTCCCCAGGTGAACTCGAAGTGGAGCAAAAGGTGACAGTCACAGCTTAGTAGGTGAGCATGTCCAGGTGAGGGTGAGGGGAACGCAGCCAGGCGGAGCAGGTGAGGGCCCAAGGGAAACTGGACTTGTTTCACCATCTGGGGAGAGGGCAGGTAGCTCTGCCCTGCCAGCCCCTGGGAGAGCACTTCCAGAGCCCCCAGGCCCAGAAGTGCTGGCCTTGGGCAATGGGGTTGCAGGGTCTCTGCTAAGTCCGCTGAGTCCTGGCCTTCCTCACAGCACCCATGAACAGGAAGAGCTGGGTAGGAAGCCCAGGGAGGGCCAGGAGAATTAGCCTGTGAGCCAGCAGCCAGTCCCACACCTATCCCTTGCTAAAGGGTCCACCATCCAAACCCATCCAGCCTCTGAGCAGCTCCAGAGAAAGAGCCCTGTGGGCATGGGGGCAGGAGGGCTTCTGCTGGGTTCTGGCAGGCACTTCCTGGCTGGGTGGCCTGGACTTCCCCATCAGAGGAAGAAGAGCCTCAGACAGGCCGATCGCTAGCTCCTACAGGCTGATCTCCTGTCCAGGGTGAGGGTGCCCCTGGCATGGGCCTCCAGTTTTTCTAAATGCTTTGGGGCATCAGGAGAAATCTCCACCCCACCCCCCCAGCAATTCCGAACTCTCTCTCTTGTACAGGGAGCAAGGAAGGGGTGCCCCCAAAGAACTGAGCGTCTCCACTGGCGCTGCGTCTAGTGAAGGAAGTGGGCTCCCTGGACAGACGGGTGGGAGTGGAGGGCGTGAGGGGTGTTGTGCTGAAGAAAGGCCCAGGGCAGGGGGTGGTGTAGCGTCTCCTCCCAGACTCTCCAGGCTTCCACCCTCCCTCCGCTCTGCTCGGCAGGGCTGCTGTGGGGGAGATTAGTCGCCTCCCTGTTGATCCATGGCCCCAGGCAGCTGAGCTCTGAACTGCAATTCATCAGGGGCCTCTGGGGCGGGTAATCTGTGCCTCACCAAGCGCCCATTCTTCATTCCTAGCAGGCTGCCTGACAAATGCCTGGCCAGCGGAGATCAGAGGCAAATGCCACGGCAGCTCGGCCCTGTTGTCAGAGCGAGTCACTGGCTGGGAAGATGGATTGGGCCTGGGCCTCGGAGCCAGGGCCACAGCGGCCTCCTTCCGGGACATTGGGAGGGCAGTGCTGAGCCCAGGGCTGCACTGGGAGAGCCACGGAAGGGCCCGAGTGTCCTAGCCTTGGAAGAAAGCCTGGGCCCAGACTCAGTGCCCCCTCCCAGTTTTGGCTGCAGGAGGAGCCTCACAGGCTGGGGACACTTCATAGTTTGCCGTTGAGTGACTGAGGACTTGGGAAGAAATCCTGTTTAGAACTTCAAACGTTCATTCCCAGAGCTTCAACCTGACACTGGAGGGGCAAAGAAGGTGGCATTGGGAGATTGGGGGAGGGTCTCCCCCAGGTGTGGAGGGACCTCATGCCTAGAAGGGACTGGGACGAGCTATGTTCAGGAGTGGCAGCTCCCCAACCCGTTTTGGCAGATTTCATTTTCAGTTTGTAGGCAGTGGGGCCTCAGATGTGAAGGCAAGCTCAGAATTTAGGGAGACTTAGGGTCCCCTGGCAGGGCGGGAGACCAGGGCAGAGCACCTGCCAGGGGACCCTGAGTCTCCCTGAATTCTGAGCTTCCCTTCACAGGGTGCAGGTGACACCAGGTCAGGAACAGTCCTGGAACAGTGGAGGCCCAGCCTGGCCTGTCCTGCTCCTATGGGCTTGCTGGGCTACCTGCTGTCACCCTGAGTGACACCCCGAAGTTCCTCAGCCCCAGGAGGCCGCCAGTCACCGCGGCTGCTACTGTCTCTAGATGTCTAAACTTGGTTCCCTTTTCAAGAAATGCTCACTGTCACTTCCCCAAAGGGCTTCTTTGGTGTCACTGAGAGGAATTCCCCCTGGTGAGCAGGGCAGCAGGGAGGGGAGAAGAGGGCAATGTTCTGAGCTGGGGAAGCAATTTGTGGCCCCGGAAGCCCTGCCTGCAGCTCAGTGCAGACCACACCGTGGAAGGTGGAAAATTGGTTTCACTGCCAGCTCTGCCCTTGGCTTGCTGTGTGACCTTGGGAAGGCCCTGGTCTGTCTCTGGACTTGGCTTTGGAAAAAACAGACACAAGACAAAAGTCCCAAGCTTCAGCTCACACGTCAAGGAGCTGTGACTTTTCAGGGGAAGGGGTAAGGGGAGAGCTGTGGCTGACCCCCTTGTTCCCTCCCGCCCCTTGGATAGCTGTTCTTAGAGAAAAGCTGGATACACCCCCACAGCCCCTGCAAATACACACTTGGCTTCCTCCCGGCAGTGAACACAGAGGCGCCCAGCAAGTGATGAAGGCAGACAAAAAGACACACTTGACAAAGCAAAGGAGATGAGGCTGGCTTGGCCCCGAGCCAGGAGCATGCTGAATTCTCTTGTGGTCTTTGTTTCCTGAATGGCCTATCAATCAGTAACCGAGTGCGTGCCAAACCCAGCCCACACGGGAACCCGGTGTCCTCGGCTCTCCAGTAAATACTACTTCAGGTCTCATGTCCGAGGACCATATGCTCCCAACACAGCTAATAAAATCATCCAGGAGTAGCCTGGAGGCCGCAGACACCCGCCCCAGGGGGCAGGAGGGGGACGAGCCAGGCTGGGCCTCCGCTGTTCAAGAGTGTTCCTGACCTGCTCTCTCTAGCACCCTGGGCACCTGCCAGGGGACCCTGAATCCCCTGAATTCTGAGCTTTGCCTTCACATCTGAGGCCCCACTGCTTATAAGCTACATGAGGGAGGGATTGCATCTGAAAGTTCACCCACCGATCCCAGTGCCTCACCCCCCTTTGGGCACTTAGTGCACCCTCCATACATGTTTACTGAGTGCACACGTGACTGGTTGAGTAGAGGAATGAATGAGTGATTGATTACCAACCAGGTGGACCACCCCTGTCCCTGCTCCATGCCTCCAGGAGCAAGGAAGTTGTGGGGTCAGGGTAGGCAGCTGGGGTGGTCAGAGGTGTGCGTGATCCCTTCTTCCTTGGCCTCACAGCTAAGGTCACAGGCTTTGGAATCAGCAGACCTGGATTTGAGCCCTGGCTTAGCCAATTATGAACTAAGTTTCATGCGCATCCGTGTGAAGAGAACCACCAAACAGGCTTTGTGTGAGCAACATGGCTGTTTATTTCACCTGGGTGCAGGCGGGCTGAGTCCAAAAAGAGAGTCAGCGAAGGGAGATAGGGGTGGGGCCGTTTTATAGGATTTGGGAAGATAATGGAAAATTACAGTCAAAGGGGGTTGTTCTCTGGTGGGCAGGGAAGGGGGGTCACAAGGTGCTCAGTGGGGGAGCTTCTGAGCCAGGAGAAGGAAATTCACAGGGTTAATCACTCAGTTAAGGTGGGGCAGAAACAAATCACAATGGTGGAATGTCATCAGTTAAGGCGGGGCAGGGCCTTTTCACTTCTTTTGTGATTCTTCAGTTACTTCAAGCCATCTGGGCGTATAGGTGCAAGTCACAGGGGATGCGATGGCTTGGCTTGGGCTCAGAGGCCTGACATTCCTGCCTTCATATATTAATAAGAAAAATAAAACAAAATAGTGTTGAAGTGTTGGGGCGGTGAAAATTTTGGGGGAGTGGTATGGAGACAGAATGGACGATGTTTCTCCGGGCTGCTTCAAGCGGGATTAGGGGTGGCGTGGGAACCTAGAGTGGGAGAGATTAAGCTGAAGGGAGGTCTTGTGGTAAGGGGTGATATTGTGGGGTTGTTAGAAGAAACATTTGTCATGTAGAATGATTGGTGATGGCCTGGATACGGTTTTGTATGAATTGAAAAACTAAATGGAATAAGAGAAGGAGAAAAACAGGTATAAAAGGTCTAAGAATTGGGAGGACCTAGGACATTTAATTAGAGAGTGCCTATGGAGATTCAGCATAGTCCTGCCAGCAAAGATTATTTATTTACTTCAAGAGTTAAGAGTGGCAATTTGGAGATAGCACGAGGAGATATCAGCTGTGATGGCTTGGAGAAACAGTATAAACCGGCAGTGTAAACAAGAGCAGGGCATGTATGAGTAGTTGAGAACGGTGAATAGGAGTATGACTAGACAGAAGATAGTAGGGATGACAAGTTTTTTGGGGCACAGTCGAAGTTGGTCTGGTGTCTGGAATGAGACTGGGGCCTAATAAAAAGGAGCATCTATACAGGAGGTTAAATGGGCTGTACCTTGTAGCATTCTGAGGACATGTCTGACTTCTGAGAAGGGAAAGTGGTAAAAGTATTGTCCAGTCCTTTTTAAGTTGGTGGCTGAGCTTGGTGAGGTGTGTTTTTAATAGACCATTAGTCTGTCACTGAATACTAAGAGCCTGAAAAAATGCTTGGCTGATTTGACTAATAAAGGCTGGTCTGTTATCAGACTGTATAGAGGTGGGAAGGCTAAACTGAGGAATTATGTCTGACAGAAGGGAAGAAATGACTGTGGTGGCCTTCTCAGACCTTGTAGGAAAGGCCTCTAAAAGTATTAAAGCAGTGGCAGCCGCTGCACGCAGACATGAGGGCTAGGCTAAAACAGTAAGGTCAAGTTGTTTGCACAGAAAGGCTACAGTGTGCGGTCCTGGCTCTTGTGTAAGAATTTTGACTGCACTAACCATGCCTAGGAAGGAAAGGAGTTGTTGTTTTGTAAAGGATTGAGGTTTGGGAGATTAGTCGGACACGATCAGCAGGAAGAGCACGTGTGTTTTTACGAGAATTATGCCGAGATAGGTAACAGATGAGGATGAAATTTGGGCTTGACTGAAGTAATGGGGGCTGTCTGTGAAGCCTTGTGGCAGTACAGCCCAGGTAATTTGCTGAGCCTGATGGGTGTCAGGGTCAGTCCAAGTGAAGCGAAGAGAGGCTGGGATGACGGGTGCAAAGGAATAGTAAAGAAAGCACGTTTGAGATCCAGAACAGAATAATGGATTGTGGAGGGAGGTATTGCGGATAGGAGAGTATATGGGTTTGGCACCATGGGGTGGATAGGCAAAACAATTTGGTTGATAAGGCATAGATCCTGAACTAACTTGTAAGGCTTGTCTGGTTTTAGGACAGGTAAAATGGGGGAATTGTAAGGAGAGTTTATAGGCTTTAAAAGGCCATGCTGTAGCAGGCGAGTGATAACAGGCATTAATCCTTTCAAAGCTTGCTGTGGGATGGGATATTGGCATTGAGTGGGGTAAGGGTGATTAGGTTTTAATGAGATGGTAAGGGGTGCATGATTGGTCGCCAAGGAGGGAGTAGAGGTCTCTTGTGGGTTAAGGTGGGGGAATACAAGAGGAGGACGCAAAGGAGGCTTTGGATTGGGAAGAAGGGCAGCAATGAGATGCAGCTGTAATCCAGGAATAGTCAGGGAAGCAGATAATTTGGTTAAAATATCTCGGCCTAATAAGGGAACTGGGCAGGTGGAGATAACTAAAAAAGAGTGCATAAAAGAGTGTTGTCTAAGTTGGCACCAGAGTTGGGGAGTTTTAAGAGGTTTAGAAGTCTGGCTGTCAATACGCACAGCAGTTATGGAGGCAAGGGAAACAGGCCTTTGAAAAGAAGGTAATGTGGAGTGGGTAGCCTCCGTATTGATTAAGAAGGGGATGGACTTACACTCCACTGTGAGAGTTACTTAAAGCTCGGCATCCGCGATGGTCTACGGGGCTTCCAAGGCAATCAGGCAGCCTCAGTCTTCAGCTGCTAAGCCGAGAAGGAGTCAGTCAGGGAGCCTTGGGCCAGAGTTCCAGGGGCTCTGGGAGTGGCTGCCAGGTGAGTTGAACAGTCCGATTTCCAGTGGGGTCCCGCGCAGATGGGACACGGCTTAGGAGGAATCCTGGGCTGCAGGCATTCCTTGGCCTGGTGTCCAGATTTCTAGCACTTGTAGTAAGCTCCTGGGGGAGGAGGTTCTGGAGGAACGCCTGGCCGCTGCAGTTCAGGCGTTTGGAAGTTCTTGTGTGCTGGAGATGTAGCTGGGGTTTGTCTCACAGTGGAGGTAAGGAATTGCAACTTTTTTTATTATTGTACACCTTGAAGGTGAGGTTAATTAAGTCCTGTTGTGGGGTTTGAGGGCCAGATTCTAATTTTTGGAGTTTTATTTAATGTCGGGAGCAGATTGGGTAATAAAATGTATATTGAGAATAAGATGGCCTTTTGACCTTTTAGGGTCTAGGGCTGTAAAGCTTCTCAGGGTTGCTGCCGAACGAGCCATGAACTCGGCTGGGGTTTTATATTTGATGAAAAAGAGCCTAAACGCTATCTGATTTGGGATAAAGAAAAAGGAGCATTAACCTTGACTATGCCTTTAGCTCCAGCCACCTTTTTAAGAGTAAATTGCTGGGCAGGTGGGGGAGGGCTAGTCACAGAACGAAACTGTAAGTCAGACCGGGTGTGAGGAGGAGAGGCGATAAAAAGATTACAGGGTGGAGGAGCGGAGGCTGAGGAAGAAATGGGACCTAGCTTGGTCTGGCGAGGAGGGGAGAGGTCAGATGGGTCTGTAGAAAAGGAAGATTAGAAAGACTCAGCGACGCTTGGGGTTGGGACTGAGGGGACAGGCGGGAGGGAAAGAAGGAAGATTTGGGACGAGTTGCACTGGGCACAGAGACTAGGAAGGGACTGATGTGTAAAAGAATGCGTGGACGTCAGGCACCTCAGATCATTTGCCCATTTTACGACAAGAATTATTTAGCTCTTGTAGGATGGAAAAATTGAAAGAGCTGTTTTCCGGCTATTTGGAACTACTGTCGAGTTTGTATTGGGGTCAAGCGGCATTGCAGAAGAAAATAAGACACTTTGATTTTAGGTCAGGTGAGAGTTGAAGAGGTTTTAAGTTCTTAAGGATACAGGCTAAGGGAGAAGAAGGAGGAATGGAAGGTGGAAGCTTGCCCATAGTGAAGGAGGCAAGCCTAGAGAAAAGAGTAGAGATACGGAGAAGGGGGTGGGGGTTTCTTGCCCTCCAGAAAAGCAGAGAAAGGGTTGGGGCACGGAAATAAGGGATTGGGGCACAGAGATAAGAGGTCGGGGTGCGGAAATAAGGGATTGGGACACAGAGATAAGAGGTCGGGGTGCGGAAATAAGGGATTGGGGGTTCTTGCCCCCTAGAAAAGCGGGACTTGCCACTAAGGGTGAAGGAGAAGGGGTTGAGGGGTACTTGCCCCTCCCCCAGAGGGCGCTGGAGTTTTGAGTCCACGGAGTTTTGGGTCCACGGAGTTTGGGTCCACGGAGTTTTGGGTCCACGTGTCTCCTTTGTCTCTATCAGAAAATGAAAGGAATTGAAATTAAGAGAAGGGAGAGATTGAAGTGTGGCGCCAAGATTGAAATGTGAATATGTATGTATGTGAATGTGTGTATGTGTGTGCGAATGTGTAAGTGAGTGTGTGAATGTGTGTGAGTGTGAATGTGTGTGAAAATATTTGAATATGTGTGAGTGTGGGAATGTGTGTATGTGAATGTGTGTATGAGTGTGTGTGAATGTGTGAGTGTGTGAATGTGTGTATGTGAATATGCGTGTGTGTGAATGTGTGAATGTGTGTGTGAGTGTGTGGGTGTGTGTGTGTAAGAGTATGTGAATGTGTAAGTGAGTGTGAGTGTGTATGTGACTGTGTGAGTTTGTGTGTGTTGTGCGTTGCTAGTTGAGCTGGAACTGGGGAGGAGCAGAGCAACCCAGGAGGGTTGCGTGGGTGGACCTAGCATCTGGAGCGCTGCGCGGCGATTCAGCCTCCTCAGCTGAGAATCAGAGGTCTGTTTTGGAGGACACCATTGGTCCCCTCCAGTAGTTCTTAGAGGCTGGCAAGGACACAGGCTGGGGCAGGGAGTGAGCCCAGCCTCCGGCTTCACTGCGAGACATGACTGGGGTGAAGGGCAGGACCTGTGTAGTGGAGAATTTGAGTGGCCGCCGTCTATGTTGTACTGCACAGCAGCCTGCGGCGCCACCATCCTGTCCTGTGGCACTAGGGGGAGGCAGACACCAGGTTCCCAGTGCGGAGGCCTGGAGCTTCCTTCCGCGGAGGACCGCAGAGACACATCCAGTAGTGGGCCAGGGAGGCGGGTTGTCCTCTCCAGCCATCAGAGCCACGCCCAAGGAGTCAGGCACAGCGGGGAGGAGGGCTCCCCTCCCTTCCCACAGCTCCCACCCTTCCCACACTGCACTTTCCAGGAGTGCAGACGCGGCAGCTGGCCTCCCAGGACCTGCCCCACCCTGGAGGTCTGCACTGAGCCCCTTCGCCAAATGAGGCAAGACTTCTCCTGAGCCTGGGGTCTCAGGGCAAACTCCTGAGGTCGCCTCTCCTAAATCTGAGGCATTCCCAACGGATCTGGAAGATTCATTCTCTCTGGATGGATTTTTCCTCCTCTCAAGCTTCGCAGTGGAAATGATATGAAGCAGGGGCGGGGCAGTGACGGAGCTGCTAGAGCAGGGTAGACAGGCGTGGGCGTGAGCTTGGCTCGGTCACTGACCACCTGGGCAGCCCTGGGGAAGTCCTTTAGTGTCTCGGAGCCTCAGTTTTCTCATCTGTGAGATGGGGTTTGTGATATCCAACTCATTAAAGAGATTGAACGAGATCATGTGTGTAAATGAGATATGTACGCCACAAAGTGCTGCGAACATGTAAAGTGGGTGAGGGATGAAGCAGTGTTCACCAAGGCTTCTGCTGGGCTGGGTGATTGCGTGTTTTTCAGCCATTTATTATTCAGCAAATTTTTGTTGACTATCAAGTATGTGCCAGACACTGTATTAGTGTTTTTGACAAGCTTAAGTGGATAGTGTTTATGAAACTACAGAACATAAACCTTCTAGTTTATCTTCTAGTTCAGGATTTCCCAAATGCCAGCCCCAAGACCTATGCTAAGCTTCTTACATCCAAATACTGGGAAACAGAAAATACAGATCCCGGATTCTGTAGTCTGGGATCTCTCTCTCCTTCACCTCACCTGTGCCTGTGTGCATGTGTAGTTGTGTGGTTTCGGAGCCACTGAGACCCAGAGATGGCAAATGCTCTCAGGGGATAGCATGTCGCATGCCAGGGGCTTCGGGCATGCGCCTATTATCTTTTCCAGAGGGGCAGGGACAGCCCAGCCATGGTCTCAGGACTCCTCCTAAAGGTTTGACCCATAGGAATGTGTCGGCAGATTGCCCAGAATATAGAGTCCGAAGGCCTTCTAATTCTATATTTTGTCACTTAATGGCTCTGTCATTTAGTGCCTGCATAATTTTTAGCAAGTCACTCTCTTTCTGAAGCCTCAATTTCCTCATCTGTAACATGCGGATATTGATGTCTGTCTTGCTGTGGTATCTTCATGTGAGCATACTTTGAAAACTGCAGGCCGGGCGCGGTAGCTCACGCCTGTAATCGCACCACTTTGGGAAGCCTAGGCGGGCGGATCACGAGGTCAGGAGTTCAGGACCAGCCTGGCCTACAAAGTGAAACCCCATCTCTACTAAAAATGCAAAAATTAGCTGGGTGTGGTGGCATGCACCTGTAGTCCCAGCTACTCGGGAGGCTGAGGTGGGAGAATCATTTGAACCCAGGAGGTGGAGGTTGCAGTGAGCCGAGACCACGCCTTTGCACTCTAGCCTGGGTGAAAACTGCAAAGCTCCAATTTTTAACTCCGACGAAAGCCAGAACCAGACTGAGTTTTCAAAGGAGAAACCCTTCAGGCTGAATTTTCTTCCACTTCTTCCAAGTCCAGCTGTATCTAATATTGAAAGATAATCTCCATGGAGGAGCCCCCATCCCGCCCAAAGGTTTCTCATACTCAGTCTTTGGGCGACACCTGCTGGCCATGGCAGGTACTGTGACCTTCTCTAGCTAAACAACTCTGCGGAGAAAACTTGCCCATCTCCTTAGACATTCACAGCCACGCTGCAGGGTCGGTGTTCTGTTCCCACTTCCACAGACCAAAAAGGTGAGACTTGGTCCTCCCAGCTCATGAGAAGTGCGGTGAATCTCTGACTCCAGGTTCTTGGCTCCATCTCATCCCTTCTTGCTCTTAGGCTGGGCGGAGTGGGGAGTCATTTCCTCCCAGGCAGAGGAGATCTCCCACCCCCCAAATCATTCTGAAGTAGGTACTGGGATTTGGGGCAAGGCCAGGGTTGGAGCCTAGGACAGGCCTGGTCAAGAAAGACTCATCCTTGTGTCAACAACCCCACCAGGCAGACCACCACATCCAGTTCCCCATCTGCAGAGCAACTAGACTGATGGCAGGGGCTTCAGCGATAAAAATTCACTCTGAGGAGGCAGAGAGATGCCATTTGGTCAGGCTGTGTGGTGAGGAGCTGGGGACAGGCTACCCGCTGAGCCTGTTGCCTCTGTGCCCACTGTGTGGGGAAGTGGCTAGCCTGAAATCTGGCGTGTGGCTTGGGGGAAGCGGGTGCCCCGGCCAAGGAACTTCTCAGTCAGGAGGCAAAAAGTATTGTGATTGAGAAAGAGGATTTGGCCTCATCCTTGAGAGATGCACACAAAATGATCAATGGATGAAATTATGTAACACAAGAAATTTGCTTCAGAAAAATTCATGGTGATGGGAGGGGAGCATAGATGAAACAAAAAACTGGCCATGAGTCAACTCTTGTAGCATCTGGGAAATGAGTGCATAATAATTCGTTATACTGTTCTCCCCACTTTTGTATATTCTTGAAATTTTCCATGTTCAAACTTTAAAAAATGTAACAGCAGTAACACTACCACCACCACCAAAGTCAATACATAGAATGATGAGTTTGAAATTAGACTGCCTTGAGCATCTGACGCTGCGTGAATTGGACAACTTAGTTAATTTCTCTATGTCTCAGTTTCACTGTCTGTAAAATGGGGATGATAATAATCATACCAGTCTTATAGGGTTGTTTGGAGATTATGCATCTGGAGTAATTAGCATAGTGCTGGGCCCACAGCAAGTGCTCAATTATAATCATTGTTATTAGTAGGAGTCCAGGACTCTGATTATGATTTGCCAAAAGAAGAAGCTACTTTGGCTGATGCAGACAAACAATTAGCCCGCCAGTTCAGCTCAGAGTTTGGACCGATGAGTCTTTGAGGACACAGCTCTGAACTGCCATGTGCCAGATGTGTGGGTGTCTCAGATGGGTAGACACACCATAGAGTCAGGCTTTCCTGAGCCCCTGCAGGGAGGCCTTTTCCCTGCCTCTCTGCATATCCTTCCCATTGCTCAAGCCCAACTCACATCCTACCTTGGTTTTTACTGACCACTCCTTTCTCTGAGCTTAAGCAGCTCTCTTCACAGACTTATCGAACCCCTTGCCCTAGGTGAGACTGTAAAGATCATCCAACCCAGCCACATCATCATAGCTTCATTCGACAAACAGTCATCAAAGACCTGCCTTGGGTACTGAGGATGGAGTGGTGAACAAGGTGGGCAAGAGTCTGAAGGCAACAGGGCCTAGGAGGGAGGTAAACACCACTTAGCTGAGCGCAGGCCAGGCGGTCAGGAGCCCTGGACCTAAGCCCTGACTCTGCCATGTGACCTGGGACGCCCTTCACCTGCCAGCCACTGTTTCCTAGGCACTTGCAGGAGATGCTCCCCAGGTCCCTTCACACTCTGACCTGCTGACTCTGAGCATGTAGGCTTCCCTGTGTTGCTCTTTAAACATCTTCTACTCCACTGGAATGCAAGCTTCCTGAGGGCAGGGACTCTGTGCTAGACTTTCCAGGGATCGGGGAACTCCTTGCACAGGGGCTGGGCACAGAGTTGCCAAAAGAATGAGTAAACCAACAAAATGTACTTCCTTTAGGCCAGGTGTGGACCAGAAACAGTGAAAGAACAGAGTTTTTAACCAGGAGAAGTGGGAAATGGATCCCCCAAAACCTCATACTGTAGCACTTGGAGATTGACAATGCCCACCAGCGTGTTAAAGCCTGCAGTAAAAAACAAAAACAAAAACAACTCCCACAAAAACCTATTTACCTTTGATTATTCCACTGTTTTCCAAACCTATTTGACCATAGATCAGTTTTTGCACCTTACCTATTACCTTCTCATGAAACACTTGTGAAATGCTATGTTAGATCTTTTTCTGTTTTCTGCTGGATTTATCAAAAATAAGGTCAAGTTTGGTAAAGATGCTGGGTTTCAATGTCATTGTGGCCTGAAATGGGAACCTTATTGCTGCATTCTTAGCTGAGCTCTGCCACCCTCACTGGGGCTGGGCTAGGACCTTAGATGACATTCTGAGTCACCCATTGTGTAAGTAAGTGCCATTTGACCCAGGCAACACCCCATTTCCCAACTTTCACCAAATGATGAATGGGATCATGTTTTCTCTCAAATAATCCACATCAGGATTACAGGCCAAGGAGGCCAGTTCAGTAGAAGTTCGTGGGATAGTGGTCCAGAGTGATTGGCATGTCAGCCCAGGAAATCCAACAAAACATTGGACAACAGTAAGAGAAGATCAGCTACCTACTGAGGGGGTGATGGCGCTGGACTGGAGCTGCTCAGACCTCATCCGGATTCATGAGTCTATTCTGTTTTAAGAGAGATTTTTTTTTTCTTTTATGAGACAGAGTCTGTCACCCAGTCTGGAGCACAGTGGTACAATCACAGCTCACTAACATCCTCAGCCTCCCAGGCTCAGAAGATCCTCCCACCTCAACCTCCCGAGTAGCTGGGACTACAGGCATGCACCACCGTGCCTGGCTACTTTTAAATGTTTTTGTAGAGATGGGTCTCCATGTGTTGTCCAGGCTGGTCTTGAATTCCTGGGCTCAAGTGACCCTCTCACCTCAGCCTCTCGAAGTGCTGGGATTACAGGCGTGAGCCACCATGCCCGGACGAGATATTGCTAAAGTTGAATATAAGCAAAGAGGGAAACCAGAATAGGGAAAGGTCTAGAAATTATGTCAGAAAAGAAAAAAGATACGTAGCCTGGCAAAAGGAAGGTGTGGGGGCCTGCGGTAGCAGTTCTTGAATATTTGAATAGCTGTCATTTTGTCCAGATTGGGCACATCTTTTGAACTCCAGAAAGCTAAGGCAGATTTGGGCTTGATAAAGAAAAGCATGTGTACATGACTGTGGACAGTGAAATTAGATAAACTTCTGTGTGGGGAGCAAGCCCCTTTTCCCTGGCAGCATTTGAGAGACTGAGTTGACACCTGTTGGGTCGGTGTAGAAAGCCAGTGGGTATGAGATGGGGCCAGGTGAGCTGAGCTCTAAGGCACTGCCCCCTCTCAGATTCTGTAACTGAGGGGCCAACATTCCCCGTGGTCTCCAGGCAATGTCTTTGTTCAGCCTCACTGTCCCAAATTGCAGCCCACTCACCACTGGGGCACCCCAGGAGCCGTGGCTTTGGCCTCCAGCAGGTGGAATTTCTGGGCCGCACATTTCTCCTGCTCAGAGTGGCTGGAGGACTTGCTAGTGTTTTGTAGCAACTCCTGGACTTTGAGGAGGGTCTCGGTCCACAATGCTGGTGGCCAGTCACAGTGACAGGAGGGATGCTGCCCTGCAGAGAGACCGTGGAAGGCGTTACGGCAGCACCAAGTTGTCTCCCATCCTGAGATCCTCCAGCGCATGGACTGGCAAGTCCAGCCTGTGGTGAAATGGGCAGACTTTCTAGGAAGAGAACTTTCATCATCTAAGTCAAGGTCACCACCATGGGCCTGGGCCTTGACTTTCTCTTCTCTGGGGAGGAAAATCTCTCCAAGGGGGCTTCTGTGTGAACAGCACTGTACAAATACATGATTGACATACAGACTTAAGACCTCTGAGGCAAGCGGGGAGCCCTGACCAGAATCCAGAGAACCTGGTCCCCAGCCACAGTGTAACCCAAGGAAAGTTCCTGGGACGGATTCAGGTTTTGCAGGGCTGGAAGCTTAGACCATTGAGGGCTGGAAGCTTAGGCCTCACTAAGGAAAACAATACACAATTATGAATACAAAATTAGATACAAATATGATCATTAATATATTAATAATCAAATGTGATTATTAATTTAGAAAGATAAAAAGAAATTGCAACAAGTTACAAATCTTGAAAAAACTGACAAATGCCATCATGAAATCCAGACAGATAACATAATATTTGTATTAACTGACACACCTCAAAAATGCTTTCTAAATTAAAAAAAATTTTTTTACGTTACTTCTGCTCACAGCTTTACATAAGCTGGCTTTTGGCTCCATGCATTTCAAACCTTGTCTTTCCTATGCTACACACACACCCCTGGTGCAGGCACCTGAGGCCACAGTTATACTGTGATACAACTTCTGGTTCTGCAACTTCATGTCACAAAGCGCAGTGAGCTGGCCCAGTCGGTGATAGGAGTGTTCCTGCAAGCCATTCCCTATCCTGGAAGTACGTGCATGGCCTGTGAACCATATAAATACATTCCACCAATCCCAAGCCAGAGTCAGATCCCCCCAAAATGTTCACCAGACCCACCGAGAAGCCAGAGCAGAAAAGGGTAGCAGCTGTGATTGACAGTAGTTAAACTCTATTATTCTACAGTGTTTTCATATCTGACCATGTGAACACATTACTAGGGCCCTAAAGGAATCTGAAGCTTGAGCTGTGTAAGTGTCATGGTATTAAACATCCCAAATATGCCTCTGGGACTCCTCTGACTTTGTGTCTTCATCTATATAATGATCAAAACAATTCTGGCATATGTATCCAGATCCTTTTAGGTGAGAATCAGAAATGGACGAAAACATAAAGCCTCTGGAACCTAGAGGCGCTGCCTACAAGGTCAAGATGACAACTGTGAAGACCACAGTGATGCGGGCTCAGCAGGAACTGCTGAGACTTCTTTGGTTTTAGGGGTCAGCACTCCTGCGGGGTCTAATGTCCTGCCAAATGCTCACTCTTAGAGACGAGAAACTCCAATACGAGAACTTTCAAGCTTAAGGCTTTGATCCTAGTTAAGGGACATCTCTCTGGAAGGCATGGCACGTGAGGCTGTAATCAGATATCTGCTACCTTATAAGAATGAGCCCATCTGGTCATTAAATCAACACTTACTGAGTGTACCCCTAGAGCCAGGAGGCACCAGGCTAGGGCCTGCAGGTACAAATCGAAAGGGTCGGAGCCCAGTGTCTAGAAGAGGAGACAAGTCAGACACATGCCTAAATAGCCACAATTCTAGACAAAGGGATGAGACCCATGGGCCAAGTAGATGTCTGAGGCAGTGGGAGACCAGAGGAGGCCTGGTCAGGGAAAACTGGGGGTGCCTGACCAGGCCCTGCTGAATGGGAAGCCTTAAACAGGTGAAAAAGGGGGGCACTGGGTACTTGAGAAAGGTGAAGGTTTTCCAGTGTAGAAGACACTTTCATAAAATTTGATAAGCACATTTGTGAGTGACACATGGGCCAGAAGAAATGCCGGAAGACTTGGGAAGCCAGCAAGTTTAGCTCTGCTCATTGCACTTTCTTTTTTTTCCTATCTCTCTTAGTTTCCATACCTTCCACCCCACTGCTCCCCAGAGAGAAATGTGACAATGAGCTTCAGCTCTGTCGAATCCGGACTACATGGAACCTCTCTGGGTTGGCTTCTCAACCGATTTCAGAGTTGTGAGCTGAGAAAGAACAGCAGGAGAGAGGCCACAGTTATTCAGGGGACTCCTGCCTTGCTGGGGGCTTCCGCAGCCCCTGACCAACCATCCTGGTGTCACTGCTGAGACAGCAGCCTGAACAAGGGCAATGGGACCCCAGAGACTGCATCTGTACAGGCGGAGCCCCAGGGCTTTAGACCCTTTGCTCCAGTGATCTTAGAGCCATAATATTATCATCCAAAATGATGAGAGAGTAAGTGGCAAGCATACCTAGACATCTTCTGAGCCCAGCAGACAGAATTTTGGTTTAAGGAGAACCTGGGTAGTATAATGACACATAATATTTTTTTATATATAGGCATCACAGTCTATGAATTGTACTGATTCATCTCATCTCAAGAAGATGGTATTTTAGATGTATGTGTATATATTTGAAGCCAAAACTGTTTATTTTGTGTAATTTTTTGTGCCTATTAGTTTCTGAATATCTGTGCATAAAAGCTTCTGTTTCTCTGCCTGCACACATTTGTGGGTACACACTATACACCTATGTGGGGTAGGAGGGGGGAATGGGCATATTTGTTTGCATTTACCTTGTGTTTGGTCCTAGGAAGGGATCTTGGTGATCATTCCAGCCCAGCTCTTTCACCTCAATGGTGAAGAAACTGAGGTCCAGAAAGGCAAGGTGACTTGTCACAGGTAACACAGCTGGCTATGGAGACAGAGGTGACACAAGAACCTAGGATTTCTGATTTGTAGATGAGAACTCTTTCTATAATATTAAAATCAATTATAAATTTTGGGGAGGGAAGCAGGGAGATCCTTGTTTTTTCCTCCCCCAACTGATAAGTAAGTACTAAGAAGGTCAATCTTGAATTAGCTATATAATACCAAAAGTTAAGTTTTTCACACAGACCTGGTTCAGTATTGATTCCTTTTATGAAAACCCTGTTTATACTCAAGTTGTCAAAGAATTCCAGAGGGCATATGAAGCCATTGTTAAAATAATTTTATGCCTTTGTTTTTGAAGAAAAGTATCCAAAATATATAAGCTTATTGTTTGAGTTAAACAATAAAAACATCTGCTGTTTCTCAGGATGGCTCTAGTCTTAATATAACATGGCAAAATAATACCCCCTAAATATCCATGATTAACCTGAATTGGAGAGGGCTCAGCTCCCAGTGACTTCATATAGCTGCTTCAACTGGCATTGTTTAAAAAAAACAAAAACAAAAGCACAAAAGCCAAAATACAGACAGATCATCACCCAGCATTCTGATGCAAGAAAATATTAAAACTGATCACTGCTTTTAAATGGGTAGTGTGTCCCTACTAGAAAGGAATCCCACAAATTTGAGGCTTAAAAAAATGGAGCATATGCATAGGTGCCAATGCAGAATTTCTGGATTGGGTTCAAATCACATTGAAGCACAGGTGTGCCTGTCATTAGGTGTTTATGTTTACCTGTACACATGAATGTTTGCCTGGGCAACTGTGTTTGTTCTCACTCTGGCATGAATATATTTGTGTGTGGGTGTGAAGTTTTCCATATAATTTTGGGAACTGTCCCTTCTATCAAAATATAGCCCCTCTAAAATGTCAGCTGGGGAGGGGACTGTCAGGGTTTAAGGTGGGCGTGGGGTAGAACACGCCGCCTGACTCTCTTCCCCGGCGTTTCATTTTTCCCTTGGGATTTCCTGGCATGCTGGCTTGCCCACCCCAATACAACTCCTGTCGAAGAGGAGACTTCTAAATACATCTGAGCCAACCTGTCATTTTCAAAGACATTTCCCTAGATACTAAGGAAGAACAAAATCAATGGGAAACACAAAAAGCATGAGGCCTGACCTGCCTGTTTTTCAGGTCCTTCTTTTGTTAGCCATCTCTCCAGGCTCTTCCGCCTCAGTGTGCACCTTCCGTGTTTCTGCAGCCCCTTTCCTGGATTCCCAGCTCCTTGGCTCTGGCTTTGTCACAGCATGGAAGGCACAATATCGTCCCAGCATTCCCCCAGTGGAGCTGTTCCCTCCTCCCAGTTCCCACAGGTCAAGGTCCTTGTGAGCAAAGCTGTTCCCATTCATGGTAGTTACCTGTGCTCACTATGCGTCAGCCATGGGGCTTGTCTTATTTAATCCTCGCTACGACTTTCCAAGGCAGATGCTGGGGATGTCCCCATTCCACTGGTAAGGAAACTGCAGCTTGGCACACATACATTTCCCAGGCACACAGCTGGCAAGTGGCAGAGCTGGGCTGAGGACTCATCTCCTGCTGTTTCCAAAGCCAGGCTCTTAACCATGACATTAGAAAGCTTCCTTTTGCCAGAGGGGGTCCCCAGGTCTGCTCTCCCCAACTGACCACCCGTTTATTTCCACGTATATGTCTCCTCCCGGGACAGCCAGACTGCAGTCACCGGCACAATGAATGACCTCGCCCTTCGGGTAACACACATGTTGTGGTTCTTTAAAGCCCCCTGTGTATAACTAGCATAAAGCCTCCTACACTCAGGTTGTAGGAGGTACTTGGGGTGGATGCAAAGAAGAGGGTCCACCGCTACTTCCAGCGTGTGAGGCACGGAGCAGCTGTGCCGCTACCCCAGGCCCACTCAGATCCCCTCCCAGCAGACAGCAGCCCCTTTCATCCTGTCTGCCTTAGCGGTTTATTTTAGGCATGACCTGACCAGGTGCTCTGGGTCAATAGGCTTAGTTTTAAATAACTGGATTCCTCTCAATGACCGTTCCCTTTAGAAGGGAGGGGGCATGGTAGAAGAATAAGCCAGCAGGCTGAGGGCGGTGAGAGATGGGAGCTAAGACAGAAGACTGGAAACGTGAGGGCTCTGTCACTCCCTGCGTGACCTCGGGGAAGGCTCATGGCTTCCCCACTCTGGGCCTCAGTTTCCTTATCTGTAAAGCAAAAGATCGGTCTGGGTCATCTCAAACACCCCCTGCAGTCTGTCCCCCCGTCTCTGTTCTATGCCTGTGTTTCCAGATGACAAAACACCTCCTGCAAATTGTTTCAGGGTGGTGATTTTGCATGAAGAGCTGAGCCACCGAGGGATGCTGCAGCTTATAGAGCAAGCTCTGCTCTGGAGTCGGGAGGCCTGGGTTCTAGTCTTGCTTCTGATACAACCTTGGTGGCCTTGAACAAGTTAAGCCCCGATTTTCTCACCCGTTTAAAGGACGAACCTTGAAAACATTATGCTGAGTGAAGTAAGCCAAGCACAAAAGGATACATACTTTATGATCTCACTTATGAGGTACCTAGAATAAGCAACTTCATAGAGACAAAGTAGAATAGTGGTTGCCAGGAGCTGGGGGAGGGGAGGGGAAGGGGGAGTTATTATTTAATGGGTGCAGGATTCTGTTTGGGATGATGAAAAAGTTTTGGAAATGGTAAGTGATGATGGTTGCACATCGTGAATGTATTTAATGCCACAGAATAGTACACTTCAAATGGTTGAAATGGTAAATTTTATGTTATGTACATTTTAACATATTAAAAAACACACTTTTCAAAATTTAGTTAAAATTTCTAGGGATATTTTGGCAAAACCTGGGAGTGAGGAGTCCCAATTCTCCCATGTGAACTTAGGCCGCACATTTCGAGGAAGTAAATTTTCTTCCTCTGGCAAATGCAGCTAGCCAGTGGACCCCTTCTCTCCCTCCAAACTTCGCACTCCACACCTTAGAGTCTGCCCAGGTACAGCCCAATTGTCAGGGCATACTCAAAGCAGCTTCCATGACCCTGCAAAGGGAGCTACAGTCCTGGCTCATAGGCCATTCTCAGGGATACCTGGATCCCTTCTCTGGGTTCTATGTATCCTCTTATTTTGGAATTAAGACGAAAGGAGGGCTTTCCAACCATATTGACCTTTTACAGCAGACCTGGCTCAGCCATGCCTGAGTCCCCAGTGCCTGAGCCAGTGCCTGACACAGCAGGTGCTCAACATTCATTTGGTCACTGAGAAGACGCCCTCACTCCAGTCCTATTCTATGCCAACTTCATAAAGATGAGTGTAAGGAATAAGCCAATTTCTGTCAGGCAGGAAAGCTATAGGGGTGGGTAGGTGAAGACAAAGGAGGAAGATAACACAGGTAGCGTAGACATTAAACTGCTCATTGTGAATAACCGTTTAAATAGTCACAATGTGCCAAGTGCTGAGGAAAATTCGAACAGCGTGCCAGGGGGTGGCTGGACTCATCTGGGGTTCTCCGGAGGGCAGGCTTGCGGAAGTCACGAGGGGTTGGAAGGGCAGCTATGAACTTTGGGGTGGGGAGTAGCACCAGACAGCACTGAAAAGCCTGGGATTCTACCCAGAGCGTCCATGCTCCTCCTGGGGAGGGTGGGGGGGCCGGGTAAGCTGAGTCCGAAAGAGGCAGGAAGCTCGTGTCCCAGGTGACTTAGGCCAGTAGAAACCGGGCGTCCTTGGCTGAAGCATGGCAGGCTGTTGGCACATGGATGACACATGCCTGTCTGCGACCACAGGCTCCAAGCCGGTGGGTGACAGGGACCCCTCGCCTCTCAGACAGCGGAGCCGGGTCGGGGCGGTCTGGCCCGGGCCGCCGCTCCTGTTCCTGGGCTTGTGGGGCTGGGGTCCGTCTGGGCTCCGGGCTCGCGCGGCGCTCACCACCCGGGGTGCCGCGGGGGGGCGGGGAGAGCGGCCGCCTAGCCCAGCCCCGCGGATGACAGGAGCCGGGGAGCCGAGGAGGGAGGAGCCGCCGCCGCAGCCGAGCGCTGGGCTGAGGAGCAGAGAGAGCGGGGCGCCGAGTGCGGGCGGCTGGGAGCGCGCTGAGCGGGGGAGAGGCGCTGCCGCACGGCCGGCCACAGGACCACCTCCCCGGAGAATAGGGCCTCTTTATGGCATGTGGCTGGTAACTTTCCTCCTGCTCCTGGACTCTTTACACAAAGGTGAGACCTGCGCGGGCGGCTGGGCGGCGGAGGCGGCGGGGCCAGGGTGGCGCGGCTGGCGGCGAGGCGGGGTGCCCGGCGGGCTCCAGGTGCGTGGGGGAACCGACCGGGGTGCAAGGCCCCGGGTGGGGCGCAGCGGGGAGGGGCAGGCACCCTGACAGGGGCCGAGTGAGAGTCAGCCCCCGACCGCTCCGCCAGCCACCCGCGTCTGCCGTTTTGGGGCGCGCCCGTAGGGGTGGTGGCAAAGGAGCCCCTCATCTCCCTGCTCCCTGCACGGCGGCAGTTCTGCCCTGGACCCCTCCCCCAGCCCCTTGCCCTCTTCCTGCGGCTTGGTGGCACTGGGACCCCGGAGTGCCCTCCGAGTCGAGGGGTCCTCAGGCCGTGACTCTTGACCTAGGAGTCCTTGCTTATTCAGGCCTCGGACTCGGCGGCTGATTCCTCCGCTATGTCCGTGCGTCCCTCTCCCGCCGCGGACCCCAGCCCTGGCGCGAATGTTGGCGCACCGCATGGCGCTTATCCGCGCATTGGCTGGAGGCAGGGTGGGGATAGTGAGAGTCCCGAGAGCTGGAGGTCCCTCGGATAGCAAGTTTGTTCTCCAAACCCAGAGGTCACCCTCCCCCGGCCCTACCCCACCCCTCTGCCCCGGCTTTAGCCCCGGCTTGGTGCGCCACCGTGGCCACCTCGGGCAGCGCGCCCCAAGATGCGAGATTCTCCGCTTCCGCGCCTGGCCAGTTGGACCTGGGGACAAGTCTTCAGGCTGGGGGGCGTGTCCCTCTTCCCGGAGAGAGGGGGTTGCTAGGGGTGGGTCCAGGTGTCCGGCATGTCCAGACCTGCGGCTGGGGCGCTGCGTACCTGATCCGCGAGGCAGCCGGGATCGGGAGGTTGGAAGAGGGCAGACATTTCCGACTGAAGCCACCTGGGCACTGAGTCGGGACCAGGCAGGCGCAGGTAGTCTGGGTTCCAGGCTATCGCAGAGGACGTGCCCCCGGGCGCGCAGATGGCGGGAGATGAGGCGGCCGAACTCCGCGCCCTTGCGTGGTGGAGCACACACGCTCCAACAAGCTCAGCGTCACCTGTTCAGCCCTCTAACTTTTCTCCTTCTCGCCCCGGGGCGGCTTCTCTCTCCCTTTGCCCTGGCTGTTGCCCTGGCCGGGCGGCAACTCTTAACCCCAAGACGATGAGGAAGGGCACTCCAGTGGAGGGTTGCCACCCGGGGAGGGGTCCAACCCTGCCCTGCCGGTGCTCCAGGGGTCTGGAGTCTGCAGCCTGCCGGAGCCCACTGCGATACATCGTGGGTTGGGGGAAAGAGGATAACCCTTATTTGTAGATACTGCCGGGTCAAAGCCAGACTCAAGGCCCAGATACTGCTGGCATTTACTAGGCGATCGGATTGCGGGACAAGGAAGGGTGGCCTCAAAAATCGTCGACAAAGTAGTTGAGTTTCTCAGGCCCAGTGGGGTCCCCCGGGTTACACACCAAGGCTGGTCTCTGCTGTTTAACCCCTTGCCCCCCGCATCGCACTCCTTCATCCTACCTTAGCAGAGCAAGAAGCCTGCCTCCTGTTCAAGCCCCACCCCCGAACCCCAGTCTCCCTCTCCCCAGGTTCTTCCTGCCTCCCTCCGCCCCCGCAGGCTGGCTCGGCTCGCAGCTTTAATTACATTAATATTAAAAATACATAAGGTGAGGAGCGGCTTTCTCTCTCGATAGTTCTCTCTCCAACCCCCATCCCCTTTCGCAATTTGTCAGGCGAGAAAGCACAGGCCGAAGCCGCTGCCACACTCTAGCCCGGCTTTGTCCCCAACTCCCCCATGCCTCCACAACACTCTCTGGAGACATCTTCCAGGACAGCCCATTCCCGGGGAGTGCAGGAGGCCCCTCAGCAAATACCTGAAGGACACTCCCCTCCCCCTTCCAGGAGCCTGGCATTAATAAATGAAGCCGAGCTATTTGATAGGGCGGGAGCAGATGGGGTTGGGGGTGGAGAAAGGCCCAGAAGGCAACAGGACAGCCAAGGGGCAAAATCTTGTCCAACTCGAGATGGAAGTTGCCAGTGGCCTTGGACCTGTAGGCGGGCTGGAGATGCCAGTTGTGGCGGCTCCTCGGTGGCCTTTGGGTCTGCAGAGCCCGGTGCCCCTGCGATTCAGAGGCTCCAGCGTCTGTCTGTTGGGCGCCAGGGTGCCTCGCCAGACAGGCTTTTCTTTTCCTTGGTGCCTTAATTGGGTCTTAGGTGCCAGGCTGGTCCCTGGGGCCTGTTCTGCTTGGGGTGGCGTGGTAGGGGGTGGCAGAGGCGGCTTGGGGGAAGATGTGATGCGGAGACAGCAAGAAAGATGGGGTTTGGAGTATTTTCTCTCCCGTTGCCAGTCACCCCCGCGGCACCAAGGAAAATGTAAATGTGAATGTTCGAGCCTGTTACAGAAAACAATATCCTCTTGCAATAATTTGTACGTCCATCTGTGAGGAGCGGGAGGAGGCAGGGAGAGAGAGAAGAAAACAGGATGAGATGGAGCATCCTTTGGATGGAATTAAGCAGTTATTGAATGTGTTTTAAGCTTCTGTTATTTCCATTCCTCTCAAAATACCTTTTTTTTATGATGCCTGAGCTCAGACTGATTCCCCAGAACTAAACTGGGAAGGTGTTTTAATCATCGGTTATCGAGTCTCCAATAACTGCCTTATTATTGCCAAAACAAATCCAGGTTTAGGCAGCCGGATGAACCCCGGCGAGGCGCTCTCCGTTGTTCCATCCAGCGTGCCAGCATCTGTGTTGCCTGCATTTGCATTTTTACTGTGTAAAAGAACAAGCTTCCCCGGCACTAAAATTCCTGTTTTCTAAAAGCCAAAATAATGGATTGCATTGATTTTTTCATTTCCCACCCCAACTTCTCCGATGGGGACTCATGGTTCTTCTCTCTTGGGAAGACCAAATTAAAAGCCTTCGTCAGGGCATTAAGAAAATCTCCAACATTCTGTTCAGTGTCTAATTAAAAAAAGGGGGGGGGGGCAATGGGGAAATGTGTTTTTAAAATCTTGAAATGGCAAACGCAACTTAGGGGAGGCAGGCGAAGGGCCAGTGAATACTGGGGAGGGGCTGAGTGGCAGAGAGACCCCGGTTGCTAGAATAACATGAGGGAGATTGGCAGGGCCATGATGCCCGACAAGCCTTTCCGACGCTTCGTTTTTCTGGGCATCAAAGCCAGCTGCCTTTAATATATTTCTGCAGTAGAATGGGGGAGCTAATTAGAAACAAAAAACAAGTAAGCAGTAGACCCAAAGGCGGCGCTTAAGTTGAACAGATCCCGGGGGACTGGACAGAGAGGCTTAGTTTTCTTAGGATGAGGATCAGAGAGGATGTGAGCAAGCAGACAGGGCTTTGGCCCAGGGAGAGCTTGGTAGGGAAGCAGGCCCCAAACAGGCTGGCTAGGAGCCCCCAGACACAGGGTCAAGGTCTGTCCAGAGCACCCCATGGACTGTTAGCCTATGACAGAGGGATGCAGACCTCAAGCCTTCCTGACCTTCTCTGTGTCTTAGAGAAGACACATCCTTGCCACTTGCCACTTGCTTGGTACCCTGCTCTGGCTGGTGAAGGATGATTTAATTGTAGATGAAGAGAGGGGAGGGCAGATGCTCAGAGAGTTTTTCTGCAGGGATACGAGTTCCAGGCTGCGAGCTTCTTCCCTCCTCCGTGATCTTGGAGGAGTTGTTTTCTGGGGGACCTCTGAAGTAGTCAAGAGAAGATCCCCTAGTTCCTGAAGCACTTTCTCAGCTCCCAGCCCAGTCGATTCTAGCGGGTACCCAGGTGCATGAATAGGGTGAGCTACAGGCAGCAGCGATGGCAGGGTGCCAGGAACCCAAGGGCACACCCCAGATTTGCATATAATCTGCATATGGATTTGCATGCTCACCTAGCCAGGCCAAAAGCTGTGCCCTCTGTGAGTAGCATCTTGACCTCAACCTCAGTAGCAGCCAGTCATTGGCTTCCTCCTTGCATGGAAGGGGGTGGGGAAGGAGCTGGGAGAAGGACTGCTGTTGGTAATGCTTCTGTCTCCTACATTTTGTTGCCTCCATATGTGCCTCCAGTGCTCAGCACTGGCTTCACCATCTGGCAAGGCAGCCCCAGAGCTCCCACCACCCCTATCCAAGGACAGACAGTGGCACTGGGGATATTGGGGTAGGATGGGTAGCAATGGGCCAAGACACCGTAAGGTAGACCAAACTTGGGATGTGGGTTGCTCCTCTCATGGTGCAGGAAGAAGAGGGTGAAGAGAGGGGCAAACTAGCTATAGAAATCCAGGGCCCGCATTAGATTCCTGGTGGGTGCACCCCTAGAATGCAGGGAGCTGGGTGCCTAGGGCTGCCATCAGCAGGTAGTGAGGTAGTTGCTGATGGCATGGGGGTGTGAAGTGAGGCAGAATGCTCTTTCACCCTCCTGGTTTGTCACCACCTAGCCTGGGAGGTGGTCGTGGCTTCAGAGAGATGAAAGATATAGCACCAGCTTCTCATTCCACCTCCCCTAGGGCAGCTTCAGGTATGTGGGTTGGTTATGGCGGGGCAGAGGGAGGACAGGCACTACAGTCACTGAGGGAAGGGCGTGTCAAGAGCCTGGAGTGATGCTTGAGGAGTGAGCACTTCAGGAGAGCTGAGTGGCCCCTCCCAGCGAGCCAGCTGGGATGCTGCAGTGGGAGTGTGGCCTCGGGAATGGTTTTGTCTGCATTTCCAGGGCCCTGAGAGGATACTACTATGGCAGGTGCAGCTCCAAAGCCTTCCCAGATTATTTTTCTGCATATCCACTGATCCAGAAGGGGCCTGGCCCACCAGAGCCCACAGAGGTTTCCAAGAGATGTGGTATGGAGGCCTAAGGGGTGAGGTGGAGCCTCAGGGGATGGACAGAGGTAGAGAGGGGGAGGGCCAGAGGGCAGAGCTTCAACCAGAGCTTTTATTCATTATCCAATTTCATATATTGGAGTAGAATGAAAAATAAGAAAGGTTGCAACCCACTGGTGTGGTAGAAATTTGGAGTCAAGGCAAATCTTTCATTCACATCCTGGCTCTGCACTTACTGGCCATGTGACTTTGGGCCTCTCTGAGCCCCACTTTCTCCAGCTATGAAATGAGATTAAAGAAGATAATGCATATCAAGTAGCCAGAACATAGTTAGTGCTCAATAAACATTAGACCTCTACTTTTTCCTCTGCATTGCCTCTACCTTCCTCTCCCTGCCCCCTCTCCAGAATGCATCATCAGATCCTTCCCTAAGCAGTTGAATTAATCAGCCACATTTTTGGCCAAGCCAGTTGGCTTAGACTTTATAACAATAAGAAAGACAGAGTAGTGGCCAGGACAGGGGACGTCAACTCCTTCCATCCGTCACCTAGCTGGATAGCATGTAGGACTCCACATGGCTGAGGCCATGTGGTCACCTGAGTGTCCCTGGGGTGCCCAGCACACTTCCTTCCCCTGGCCATCAGTGGAAATGAAGAGGGCTGAAGTTGGCTCCAGACTTGGATTTGAGGTGAGGCAAAGGTTGGTCTCATATCTGCCAAAGGAAGGCTGGGGTTGGTTGTTAAATCTCTACCACGGTTGGCCAGAGTAAGAACTATTCTGGAGTTCATGCCATAAAGCCTGCGTAAGCACTCCTCACAAAGCGAGGGAGCCCTCATAACTGTTGCTGGATGTATTTCTGTGTCTCTCCCTGCTGAGATGAACCTCTATTTTTCAGGCAGTTTTGCATATAGAGAACACTCTTGGCAGCCTGTGACCTTGGGACTGCTCTTCCTTCCATGACCTAGTCTGTCACAGGGAAGCAGCATGTAACCCAGAGGTCAAGTGCTGCCTATGGCAGGCCATGGCCTGTGGGATCCTACATGTTGGGGAGGCTGTGGGCTCCACAGCCTGTGTGCCTTGTTAAACAGATGTTTGTCCTGTGCTGCTTTAGAGTGAACAGCATTAGCCTTGGGGACCACCCATGCCACTCCAGCTGCTACTCCCCTCATTCGTTCAGCTGCCCTGCCCCACTCCCTGTGCCCTGTCTCTACATGATGCTTGCACTAACAGTTTCCAAGGTCACCATCTTCATTAACAACAATTATTCAAATGCTAGTTAGTTGCATATCCATTAAACTGATTCTAAAGAGATGCATGTGTGTTTGCACGTGCATGTGTGTATGTGTGTCTGTGTGTTGGAAAGAACATTATCCATGGACCTAAAAAACAAAGCTCAGCCTGTCTTACCTGGGCAAGTTGCCTAATGGTTCATGTGCCTTTATTTCGTAATCTGTAAAATGGGCAAAATTACCCCCGTCCTGGCTATCCTACAGAGCAGTTGTTACTGTATATGTGCATAAATAAGAATAAGAGGCATAAAAATGTACATCATGTGACAGTGCTTTGTATACAGAATGAGGCAACATATGAACACACACATGTAAAAACCACAGCAAACCCGTTTTAGCCTTATAAATGCTCTGCTGAAATGTGAGGCATAATTACTGTCATTTCATCATACAGGAACGATGAAGGTCTCACAGCTGTTTGTGGCTGTCTCCCCCTCCGTGGGCCCCAACATATGGAGAATTTTCCTAGCTTTGCTTTTCAGCATCATGGGGAACAGCTGATGAGGCACAGCCAGGCTGGCAATAGTCTTCCTGGAGCAAACTTGGCAGATCCCTTGAGGCCCCAGTGGTAGTGGGAGTGGGAGGAAGCCTACCTCTTCTCCCTCCTCCCATTCCCCTCCAAGGTTCTTAGATGCAAGTGTAGTCCATAGTCCTCTGGACCAACTCCCCCAAAGGGACATTCTCCCTGCAGGGAATCCACAGTCTTTTGTGGGAAGAGCAGTAGGCACAGTCCCATCTTATGTGACCTCATTTAAGGTCACAGTATTCACTGGAATCTCTGAAAACTCTGCCGAGTCGAGACTGGTGGACACCCTGCTACTAGGGTGACCCTCCCGCAGTCGTGGGGTATGAGAGAGGATAGGACCCCTGCGTTGGGGGTGGGAGAGGGAGATTCAGGTGATCACCTTGGGTAAAAGTCTTGCAGGGTTGGAAGGCATCTTTAAGGCTGTGGAATCTGTCCCCTAATCAGAGGCTGACTCCCTCTGCAGCTTTCCCACCCAGTGTCTTTTTCTGTCTTCACTAGCACTTCCTGCAACAGGGACTCCTTCCTTGCAAGGCAGCCCATTCCTGGCCACACAGCTCTGACTATTACAGAGCTCATCCTTAGAATGAGTCAAACCCTGTTGTGGTCTTGGACCTTCTACTCACTGGTCCTGATGTCACCGCTTGGACCACATAGAGCAAGGCAAAGCCCTCTTCCACTTGACAGCCCTGCGACTGTGATAGGCAGATGTCCTGCCCATCTGAGGCCCCTGCTCTGGACACGCAGCATCCCTAGTTGCTCTGATACACCCTCGAATGACATCGTTTCGGTGCTTCATGGTGCTCCTGAGTTCCACAATGGCTAGTTTTCTGACAGCAGGGTGGCCAGAACTGAGAGAACACTGGAGACAGCACTGTAGCCCCAGCTGGGATGCTGGTGAGCTGTGTCCCTGGGGTAGATGACTCCACCTCTCTAGGCCTTGTGAATGGAGGAGATTGGAAAAAATAATCTCTTAAGTCCCTCAAGCATTAACAATCTAAATCTAGGATTCTCTGGGGACAACTGTGCTGTCTGAGCTGACTCCCTGGAAAGAAATTTTGGCCATAAGGGACCTTCCTTTGACAGGCCCTGTCTAGAAAGGGCTGGAAGATTAAAGAGTCTGTCCGACAGTCAGCTGTTGCTCATAACTTCTCCTGGAGCTGATGGCACAGGGCCTTGGAGGTTGAAGGATAGCTGCGTCTCCACTGGACCTCGCAGGTTTCTGGTTGCTGGTCACAGAAACCATGTTTGTGCTAAGAATCTTAAAAACAAACAGCAAAACCACCCATGTTTCTGATGGACACAGGGAGGACACTTGAGCTGTGCTTTGCATGGGGATTGGAAATGGGGAGCGTTTTTTGGTCATCTCAATGACTAGGGTGGGGAGCTGCTGGCGTTTAGTTGGGGGAGGGATGGAATGTCTAATGACAGGGAGATTCCCAGGTAATTCTGAATTATCATACCCCAATTGATCTCTTTTGTCAGAAAATCCCCCCACAGTGTGCTCACACCATGGGGATGGTCTGAATCTAGCCTGTCATGTGCCTGCTGAGCCACACATCCTGGCATAAAGATGTGAAATGCAGCTCTGCCACTGCGAACTGTGCAACACCAAGAAATTATTTGACCTAAGAGCCTGTCTTCTTATCTGTAAAATGGAGTCTTGAGTAGTAGCTACATCCAAGGGCTGTTGTAAGAATTACATGTGCAATAATGCAAGAAAAAGGCTTCCCACCATGCCTGGCACAAAACAAATGCTACAAAGAAATGATGGGGCTGGGCATGGTGGCTCATGCCTGTAATCCCAGCAGTTTGGGAGGCCGAGGCAGGCGGATCACTTGAGGTCAGGAGTTCGAGACCAGCTTGGCCAACATGGCGAAACCCCATCTCTACTAAAAATACAAAAATTAGCCAGGCGTGGTGGTGCACGCCTGTAATCCCAGCTACTCAGGAGACTGAGGCAGGAGAATCGCTCAAACCTGGGAGGTGGAGGTTGCAGTGAGCCAAGATGGTGCCACTGCACTCCAGCCTGGGTGACAGAGCCAGACTCCGTCTCAAAACAACAACAACAACAACAAAAACAAAAACAAAACAACAACAACAAAACAAACCAAAAAAACCAAAAGATGGCACTGTGATGGGGAAGGTAGTGGTGGAGCAGGTGTGCCAGATTGGGTGGACATCACAGGCAGAGAGCATGGGACTTGGCCCGCTGCTTCCTCTTGTCCAAGGACCATACCAGCTCAGGCTGCCTGGTACATGCTCTGATGCTGTCTGGGAAACTCAACCCTCTCCTTGCCAGTGTCTGGGCTCAGACAGTTTCCAAGATGCAACATAAAGGGTTTTTAGTGAAGCAGCAAGACACCGTCTGGCTGGTCCTCCTCTGGGTTTTGAATGGACTTGGTGGGTGAGCCGGTGGGAGGATCACCCTACTGGTTGATCCTCTCTAGAACCAATTTTTCCAACTCTGGGATGAGAACAATCAGAGTGAGGGCACATAACACATCTCCCATGAAAACCTTTGTGTGGAAATACAGTGAAGTAATCAACCTTGCAAATCAATCCAAGAAACCTCTCCAGCTCACATCTGCATGAAGAACTCTGCGTAAGGCCTGGGAATTAGCAAAAGCTGTGTGGCTACTGCAATGCTCTGTTGCTATTGATTCTACCACTGTTGTTTTCTTATCTTGATCTCCAAATTAAGTTAATTAATGTGGTGGTAGGGTCTTGTCAGCCAAGCAGATGACAATTGTCTGTCGTTGGGAAAGGAAGTATAGAAGTCCAGGATGGCAAATCTACTTTTCCAAAGGACTGTTACTCTCAGTATAGACAGAGGACACCAGTCTCAGAAATAGAATTTCTGGCCCTATGACAGACTTGGTGAATCTGTTATCTAAGGCTCTGCATTTTTAACAAGCTCTCCAGGTGATTCTTATGCATACTGATGTTTGAGAACCACGGTTTTAGGTTATTATTATTATCATCAGAGGTGAGCAGTAAATATTTGTTGCACAAGGATTCACTTTTCCCACAAATACTTACTGCTTGCCTGCTATAATGATAATGCTTGTAACAACAGCCACAAATACTTAGGTGGTGCCAGGCACTTACATAAAGCAGAAACTGTCCCAAGCTCTTCATATATATTAACTCGTCCAACCATAACAACCCTTGAGGTAGACATTGTCACCACCTTTGTATAGATGGGGAAACTGAGGCACAGAAAGGTGAGGCAGTCTTGCCTGGGGTTACACACACTGCTTGTAAGTGACAGAGTAGGGATTCAAACCCAGGGAGCCTGGTACCAGAGGGTGGGCTTTTCACTACTGTACTGTGTGCCTAGTATGTGCCCAGGAGACAGAGTGGTGACTAGACAGTCACTGCCCTCGGGGAGCTAATGGCCTTGCAAGGGAGAGAATACCTACTGGCCGGTTGGTCCTGACCATTCCTCCTGTCCCCTGCCCCCTGCTCCCCTGAAGACCCATGACCTCTCCTACGAATGGTTGCCATGCCTGGGTGAGGCTGCCCTTGAAGGATCTTGCCTGTCTCTGAGGGGGTGTGGCAGGGGCCCCAGTGCTGGCAGATACTCCTGGATGAAAAGTCCAGTGAATGAGATGAGTAAATATTGTAAGGGAAGAGAACAAAATGACTCATCTCCCAGTGGAGGTGGCGAGGTGTTAATATTTCAGTCCCCTCGGGTTGTCCTTTACGATGATTACAGATGATGACATGGGGGTAATTCAGTGTACACCTCAGAGCAACCTCAGTCAGCCAGCTCCTCCCACTGCAGACAGACACTTCCATCCCACACAGGCAGGTGGGGTGGGAGCCCTGGGGGTCACATACACGGGGCTCGAGTTCCCTTTGCAAAACTAATCCTGATGCCCAAGCAAGCGGTGGAGGGCGAGCGAGTGAGTTGATGCAATGGATACTTAGGTTTCAGCGGTGACCCTGGGGGCAGGCAGCCCAAATGCCTGGGGGCGATTTCTGGTTTAAAAATATTGCTGTGCTATTTCCACACTTCTAATCTCCTAGCAATTTGGAGCCTGTTTTATGAAACACAGCATCGGGGTGGTGCTCAATGTTAAACGGCAGAGAAGATTAAATGGGTTTAAGTCTGGGCGTCTGTCACATGACAACCAAGCCCATAACTTCCATTTTCTATTAAAAATCCATTTCCCCCTTTGACCAGAAGAAGCCTTGCTGTTGATCTGAGTGTCTCTGTCTTTATTTATGAAGTGTTCCCCCTCCTCTTCTTTCTTTCGGTAAATATGCCTGGTTCTGTCTGCAGAGGGAAGAAAGAGCTGCGGGGAGTGGCTGGGATTGGAGGGGAAGGGAGGAATCTCTGTCAGGGGATTTGCTTTCCAAATTGGGACCAGCTTGGAGAGAAGGCATGAGGGGAAACTTCTTCAGAGCCCAAACTTTGAACTCAACAACATGATGGAAAAAGCTCGGGTTTGGAGCTGGTTGAATTTTGACTCCATCTCTTCCTGGCTGTAGGATCTTGGAGAAGATGTCGACTCCTTCAGCCTCCTTTTCCTCACCCTTAAAATGAGACTAATGGGCCCTCCACCTCATACCTTTGTGTGAGGATTAAATGGTCAAACCTGGTGCCTGGCACAAGAAGGTGCTGCAAAATGTGAGTCTCCTTTCTTTTGGGGACTCCACAACATTAGGCCAATAAGACTTTAGGGAAATAGATGTCCAGCCAAAATGCCACAGAAGTTAGACATAAGGACTACAAGAACTTGGATAACCTCAGGCACCACTGTCGGGGACTGCTGGACCCTCAAACCTTGCTTTCCTAAGCTTGCAAACCTCCACATATCCCCCACTGCCTTCGACCCCCAACTGTCTTCCACCGCTGAGGCCCAAACTCCTCAATCCAGCTGGTTTCAGCTCTTCTCCCCAAACCCACCCAGTGCTCCAGCCTGCAAGGTTTCCACAGCATCCCCCAACATGCATGCCTCACCCACTGTTGTTGGGCTGTCTTCTCTGGGAGTGCCCCCCCTTGTCACCCCACCTATCCAGGTCTTCCAGCTCAGCTCAGCTCCTACCTCTTCCCAACGCTTTTTCTCTGGCTGCTGAATAACTTTCCCCTTCCCTCCCCATGGCTCCTGGCTAAATCAGTGCTTTCAGCCCCCGGGTCACATATGGCCTGGTGCTATTGTTTAACCCCCTTTCCTGCTCCCCCTGTCCTTTACAAGCTCCTGGAAGGTGGAGCCATTCTCCTTGTCTTTGATGCCTCCCACCATACCTGGGATACTGTGGTGCAGCGCGTGGCTGGTGCTTGGTAAATATCTCCTGAGGCAATGAATGTCTTCTCTGGTCCCTGGATCAGAAATGACTGGGGAAGGAGGACACTGAAGGGTGCAGGAGTCAGCCGAGAGGAAGTAGGGTTTGGAGAGGGCTTGGAATTCTGCAGAGCTGCAGGGTGGAGCTGTGCCCTTCCATCCCTGCAGTAACCTTAGGCACCCTCGACCCCTCAGGGAGAGTGAACAATCCCTATCTCGCATATTATAACATCCTCATGGGGAATCAAGAACTGCCCCATTCCATTCCACCATCTTGGCAGCTCTGGGAGGCAGCTAAGATGGTGCAATCACATCCTGCCCTTTTGTAAAGGAGGCTCAGGAGGGCTAAGCGGCTTGCCTGAGGTCACACAGCAGGTGAGGGGTGAGCACCCAGAGGGGAGGTAGTTCTGTCAGACTTCAAGGCAGGGGTCTGGGGCTCCTCTGGGAGCTTGCTAGGGCTTTGTCACCGCTCTGAAGATTCAAATGAGTCTGAGAAGGTGGGGAAACCCCTGCTGTAGAGGCAGCACCAGACTCTGTGAGGCCAGAGTTAGGACACCAGGCTCCTACTACTCCCCCTTCTGTCCCTGGAGTTCTGAACACACCCATTGCTTCTGTGGCCACTTAACCTGCTGCCCATGTGCCCAGTCTTCAGCGTGGCACATAGCAGAGATTTGAGGTATTTGCTGGTCTGTGCCTCAGTTTCCTCTTTATGTATTTGCTTACTCCCTTGGCAGGCAGGGCGAGGCTAAATTAATGGTGATTTAAGGGTTTCTGCATTCTGAGCTGACAGGTGCCTTGTGATGGTAAAATATGAACCCAATGTAAGTGCAAAATGCTATTGTTTTACACCTGAGGGTGATGTTTCATGATGGCAATGCACTGTCAGAGCCATACGCAGAAATGAATGGTGTGTCTAATCCTCCCCTGCTCCCCCAGACTCAGAAGACAGAAGCTCACATCCCAGGGTGGGAGAACTATGAGGCTTCTTGCCTTTTGCTATAAATCTGCCTTTTCATCAGCCCTGACAGGTGGCTGGACAATCCCAGTCAATTCATCAATTAAATCTACCCATTTGTAGTTGCTGGGAACCTTGTGTCCTTGGCTCCAGCAAGATCCGAGGCCCAGGAGTGCAGGAAGGCTGCTGTCATTGTGGCTGTTGCTCCTGGAGGGAGTAGAGGGGGCCTGGGGAAGTGGCCATCTCAGGAGGCAGGGAGAGTGGAATGGATTTCCATCCAGGAGAGAAGGAGAGTGGGAATGTGTGTTTGGAATGCGGTTGGGGTGGAGGAAGGGTTGGGAAAAGTACCCAGCCTGAAAAACCATATTCTGTGGTTTTATTTGTCTTCCATGGGGTTTCTGCAGTAGAGTAGGAGGTGCATCCCCCAGCTCTGAGGCGAGGCAAAGCTGGGTTCTAGCCCCAGCTCTGGCATTTGCACATTGTATCACTTTGGGGAAGTTAGTGAACTTCTCAGAGTCATAATTTCCTTATCAGTAAAATGGAAATAATAATAATAACACCCCCGAGGGAGTTATGAAGATTAAATATAATATCTGTATAATATAAATACGGTATCTAGAATGGATCTGGCACAGAGCCTGGCCTGTAGTTAACAATGAAGTCAGTGGTGGCTATTACTATTGCTGGAGTTCTGGCTATTGCTATTACTATTATCATTACAGAGGGCTACATCATACTTAGCCTTGAGAACTTACTTACCTTCTCCCATGAATCAATTCCTGAATTCCTCCTTGTCGGGGATTCTCTTGGCTTCCTAAGTCCATTTACAGGCACAATGTAGAGTCTTTCTGTACTGTGATGGATTTTGGCTCCCAAATCCATGAAGCTGCCAAGGTGAGAGTGCCTGATTACCTAGGTTTCTCAGGAGGCACCCAGGACCCCGGAGCAATGTCCCTGTTCCCAAAAGCAAAGTATTGTCTGAAATGCCCAGAATCCAACAGAAACCGCTCCCAGGAAGGAGTGTGTGTGTCGTGTATGTGCATGTATGTGTGTGTGCACCTGTGTGTTCTTGGCCAGCTGAAAATGGAAGTTGGTGGCCAGGTTATGTCTGAGGAAGGTGAAGGTCCCTCTTTATTATTGCAGTGGTTACACTGTGGTCATACATCACAGAATGGTTAAGACAGTGACTGTAGGGCCAGATTGCCAAAGTCTGAGTCCCAGTGCCCTCACTTACTGGTTTTGTGGTCTTGGGTAAGTTGCATTGATCTCTCGGTGCCTTAGTATCCTCATCTGTACACTGGGATACTAATAGTACCTGTCTCTTAGTGTTGTCTCTTAGTGTTATATTAAAAGAAGTCATATAAGTAAAGTCCCTAACAACAGTGCCTGGCACATTGAAGATGCTTAACAAATATTTGCTGCATGGATGTCAGTAAGGAAGGCTTTCAGAAAGTGAGAAGAGTCTTGGAAGTGGGACCTGCTAAGTGTATATTCTAAGAGAAACCTCCCGAGCCTCGGTTTGCTGCCTGGTGAAATGGCATGATTTCATGTTCTTGGGGAACACTCCAGCCACAGCAAGTTGGGCATGCTTCCAGAGCTTCTGAGGGTCCCGTGCAGAGCAGACTTGCTTGGCCACCAACTTTATGACTGTCACAAGAGTAGGCAGCATGAAGAGGAGAATGGCGAGGCCATGTGGCTCCCCTCTCCAAGAAAGTGCCTTTAGCTGCTATGAGTGCAGTGCCTGGTGGGGACAGCAAATGCACTTGCTGCTAAGAGGATGCTCCTGACACCGCAGCAAGAAGCCCACGAATGTGTTTTCCAGCACGTCTGCTAATGGCTCCATCACGGCTTTTATGAGACGATGTGAATTGCTCTGACCAATGAGGCTTAATGGCCTTCCTCAACGAGCTGCCTGGTATATTCTCCCCAGAGGCTCGGTTCAGAGTTAAGCCAAGAATATTAATACGGCCGGATGTGGGCCCTCCCCCATCCTATAAAGTTGTGGACATTGAGGTCAAGTTGGGTCCCCTGCAACGTTCTTTAAACAAGCAGCAGAGTGGTTTGTTTGCTCCTTGACCTTCCTGGTGGAGAGAGAGTGGCTTCCGGCTAGAGACCTGGGACCCTGCCGTCTCTTCCTCTGGGTTGGTGTCCACTTGCTAGGCAATGGATTTCTTAAAGGGGCAGGCTCCTCAAGAGGAAGGGGGACACCCCTTGATTCCAACATTCAGGGTTGCTGGGATAAGAGCAGGAAATATCTAGGCCTGATGCTGGGATAAGAGGAACAGATGGCCAGTCCTCCGAGTCAGGTGGCCCTGCCACTGCCAGCTGTAATCATAAGAACATTCTCCCATGTGGTTGAGGGTTGGAATGGCACCATGTCAGAGATGGAAGCGGTCTTTGCAGTCTTGCCCATCCTCTCCCTCCATTTTCCAAGTGAAGGAGCAGACGATCCAAGTGAGGAAGGGAATTGCACAGTCACATGGTGTGAGGACTGGGTTTAGAAGCTGGGTCTTTTGCCCTAAGTCTAGATCTTATCCACCCACTCTTCTGCTGGTCCTCATTCAGTCCTCTGTGGCAACGCATTTCCCAAATCAGCTGTCAAGGTCTCCTGCACTCTTCCGTCTTCCATTCCAGGCGAGCATCCCAGCTCCTGTAGCCATTCATCTCAGAGCATGGTTTTGAGACCTTTTACAACTTTCGTCTGTGGGATGATAGAAAGAGCACTATAATCCTCTTTAGGAGCAATGGGTTCACATTTTAGTTCTGTACCTTAGCTGTGTGATTCTGAACAAATTCCAAAAATCCTGGGATTTTCTTTTTTTCTCTTTTCTTTTTTTCTTTCTTTCTTTTTTTTTTTTTTCGAGACAGAGTCTTGCTCTGTTGCCCAGGCTGGAGTGCAGTGGCATGATCTCTGCTCACTGCAACCTCTGACTCCCAGGTTCAAGCGATTCTCCTGCCTCATCCTCTCGAGCAGCTGAAACTACAGACGCGTGTGCACGGCTAATTTTTGTATTTTTAGTAGAAACGGGGTTTCATCATGTTGGCCAGGCTGTTCATGAACTCCTGACCTCAGGTGATCCGCCCGCCTCGGCCTCCCAAAGTGCTGGAATTACAGGCATGAGCCGCCGCACCCGAAGGCTGTGGTTTTCTATAGATCAGGAACTGTCTCTGATTCACCTTTGCCAGTGCCTGGTGTATAGTCAGTGCTCAATAAGTGCATACTGAATGACTGATGCTTGAAGGTCAGGTGAATGAGTGCAGCCTGTCGCAAGCCTCCGTGGCTTATATGGGTATTGTTAGAGCCCATGCTAACCAAGTCTCTCCCCTTGCCTCTCCTGCAGCCCGCCCTGAAGATGTTGGCACCAGCCTCTACTTTGTAAATGACTCCTTGCAGCAGGTGACCTTTTCCAGCTCCGTGGGGGTGGTGGTGCCCTGCCCGGCCGCGGGCTCCCCCAGCGCGGCCCTTCGATGGTACCTGGCCACAGGGGACGACATCTACGACGTGCCGCACATCCGGCACGTCCACGCCAACGGGACGCTGCAGCTCTACCCCTTCTCCCCCTCCGCCTTCAATAGCTTTATCCACGACAATGACTACTTCTGCACCGCGGAGAACGCTGCCGGCAAGATCCGGAGCCCCAACATCCGCGTCAAAGCAGGTAAGGGACAAGACACTGGCTGCCCCAGTGGCACAGGAGGAGGCTGCGCCGTCATTCTGAGGATATTCGGAGGGGCTTGCAAGAAGTCGTTCACTCAAGAACAGTTTTGTTGTTCTCTTTTGAATCTTTGTTGTACCACTTGCTGTGTGTCCATAGGCATAAGAGACACCTTTCTTTCTCCTTTCTCTCTTTCTTTCTTTCTTTCTTTCTTTCTTTCTTTCTTTCTTTCTTTCTTTCTTTCTTTCTTTCTTTCTTTCTTTCCTTTCTTTCTTTCTCTCTCTCTCTTTCTTTCTCTTTCTTTCTTTCTTTTTTTCTTTTTTTCTTTCTTTCTTTCTCTCTCTCTCTCTCTCTTTCTTTTTGCTTTTTGAGACAGAGCCTCACTCTGTCGCCCAGACTGGAGTGCAGTGGTGAGAAGACACCTTCCTAAGCCTCAGTTTTCCCATCTGCAAAGTGGATGCAAGTACCTACCTCTGTATCACTACGTGTGATGGTTAAATGAGTTGGTGCTCATTTAAATGAGGTGCTCACTTCAGCCCCCTTGACTTATAGAAAACCCGCAGTGAGGTTTCCTTGAAGCCTTTTATTGAAAAATAATATATAAAGGAAAGTGCACACATTACAAGTATGTAGCTTGATGAAATTTTACAAACTTCAACTAACACTGAGATTGAGAAATACAACATCAGCACCTTAGAAGCGTTCCTCAAGCTTCTTTTGTGACACTATTCCCCTAAGAGCCACCACTATTCTGATTTCTAACAATGTAGATATTTTGCTTATTTATGAACTTTATACAAATGGTGTCCAACGGTGTATATTGTCTAGACCTTTTGCTCACCATTCTGCTTATGGGATTTACCCCTGCTGCTGTGTGTGGTGGGAGGTTGGTTGTTCTCACTGCTGCCTAGTGTTCTATCATGCAACTAGACCACACTTTCTTTGTCCATTCTACTGCTGAGGGGATGTCTGAGGATGACATATCTCATGAGAAAAGGCAATTTGGTAAAATTCACGATGAAAGACTTTTAGCAGTGAAGGATTTTGGTCTTTGGAAGAGTAGGTGGAGGCAAGGAGGTAGGGTTTCTCAGGTGGTCTATTTTAAGAAAAAAGAAAGTCTTATTTCTCTGGATTATGTCGGGAGGCCAAGGGGACAGCTAAGATCAGCCATTCTTCACTAGGACACCAGGGTACACTGGTGTCTCACAATCAATGGTAAGGTGGGTCTCGGATCATTATAAAGCACTGACGTTTTGGGAATGGTTTTCAACTTAGAAGAGCTTTTCAACTTAAAGACCCAGCCCACTGCAATGGTGCCAGGCCTAGGTCACACCATCTTTTCCAGGGACTGTGTTGGGCCAACCAGGGAGAGTGGTTCTGGGAAAGGCCTCCCAACCAGCATGTGGTGACAGACCCTCTCTGACTTCTTGGGGTCCTTTTCCCTTAGGTACACCTCTCATAAGAGCAAGGTTTAAAGTAGCTGGGAACGGGAGTGTGTAGGGGTGAGGTGGGGTGAGAGCTGTCCTTCATTCCATTGGTTGGTTTGGGGCTAGACCATGAGCTCTTAGAACACAGAGATATGCTCAGGGTTTCTCCCTGGGCTCCCCATGGACTCTTTTTAGGAGCAAGTGCTTTGCACGGCTCAACCCCTAATGCAGCACCAAGTGCTGGGCTGGGAGCCCTGAGGCCTGGGTTTGGAGCCCAGCTCTGGCCTCCACAGCGTGGAGGATTGGGCTAAGGGGAAGGGACCATGTTTCCTGTCACCTCCCCCTCATTGGGTTAGGATGCAGTTTTCACAGTAAGTCTATACATGTGTTTTCACAAATGAAGAGATTAAAACAAAGAGAGTTAAGTCACTTGCCCAAGGGCACATAGCCAGTTAATCGCAGAGGTGCAGCTATCATGAAAAGTGACATTGCCAAAGTGCTTTCCTTGGGCTGGGCCTTTTATACGCTGCTCTTATGGTGATTTCCTTTCATAAATGAAGAAACTGGGGCTCCAGAAGGTTAA